>NC_000003.12:60919090-61222121 GCF_000001405.40 Homo sapiens | reverse complement strand
AGACTAGAGAGTCTTCCAGATGGAGAGTTCAGAGGAGGGCACAACCAGACTCCCTCTCCGCAGTGACGTTGCTGGGCCATCCGAGCACTGGGCCAGGAGCCAGGAGCAGAGGCTGCTGCCTGACCCTGCAGTGGAGTGGGGACCTGGCAGAATGGTCACCCTTGGCTCAGGGTAGGAGCAGATTCAAATCAGGTGCACACAGGCCACGTGGTGGAGGTGGAATGTTTACCCCCAAGGCTGGGTCAGTCTGGTTGGACGTTGGACCCCACTCTTCTTAAGGGTGCTTTCCCCAAGTCACATGTGGGTAGAGTTGGCAACTGTAGAAACCAAATGGGGAGCTGGTATTCTCCAACCTCTCTGTTTTCTTCCTTTAGAATGAGGCAGGCATGCAGGAAAGGTGACCTTAGTTAGGCTGGAGGCAGCAGTAACAGTGGTGGCCCTGCATCCTTGGACTGACTTGCATGTTCCAGTCAGCAGGGGTTTGGTAAGGTACTGACAGTCACTCTTCATGCCTCTTGGTAGCACAACTTTATAACCAGTTTCAGCATTCATTGAAAAGTATCCAGTGTAGATGCTCCAGGAACAGAGTTTTGCTTAAATGTGAATGACTTTTTAAGTCTAAGGCTATCTGAGGTCTATGTAATGATGGAAAGGTAATAAATGAAGTTAAACACTGAATATCTGGTTTTGCCTTCCTTATAAATGGATTGTTTTAATATTGCATCTGCAAAACATCAGTTTCTCCCCAAGATGAACCTCTTTTTCTCAAATTCAGGCTATTAGAGTTTGGGAGAGGACCTGTGCTATTGGGAACAGAGCTATTTGACTTAAAATGTCATCCCGTTCTGAGAAAACATACTGGGGCCATGTTAGGGCATCCCTGTGCAAATGCCACATTGTCAGAATGTCTCCCCCTGGGGTTAGACTAGCCATGGCACCTTCCAGTCCTGTTGGGGTGGCACAATTTACTGCTTACCCATTGCCTGGGCACCAACCCAGCCAGGGTCAGGGAGCCAAGCTCCCTGAGATTTCATGGAATTTGATTTGTCTGTGACTCTATGAATTTTCAGATGCTAATTATTGGCTGATTGGTATTCTGCTCCTCAGATGTCACCTAATGATTTTCCAGAGCTTCTGCTACTTGGTAAATTTATTTTTCTGATGCATGGCAAATATGACAGCATTGAATAGATGTGGCAAGGGCATGTCGTGTTGTGTGTATGTGTCTCAGGCCATAGAAGGGTAGGCTTCAGTAGAGAGATAACTTATTGTTTTGTGAAAGCATGGGGTACAAATTAAGAGAATGAATGAAAACCAAGAACAAAACTCAAAACTAACCTTTCCTTAATAATTTGCAATCAATTTTCATTCCTAGTAATAGTGAAAACTTATAATATTCTTTTATTAAAGAAATTTTACGGAGTATATGTGCCAGACAGTGTTCTAGAAGATGTAGATTTAATATAGAACAAGACAGATGTGGTCCGTATTATTGCTGAACTTATGGTCAAATAGAAAGACTTTCACCTACATTTTAACAATATTGATTAGCTCCCCAGGTAAATAACAAAAGTAAGAATTATTCTGGTCACCTCCCTGGACTCTAAATGTATCTGAGTTTCAGAAATTCTGAAAATATTCTGTAAGAAATGCATACATATAAATTGAAATAAAACTTCTAGGAATATATCTGAGAAGTGTTAGGTTTTTGGGGCCTTTGCTGCTATGTCTTATGAGGGTTTAAATTATTATGCAGATTCTTAAATAATTCCATGTGTTTAAAGTATTAATTTATTATTATGTGGTTTAACCAGGGCTGTGTTTTCCAACTGCCTGGTTTTCACCGATATGCAGGAAAAGGTTTTAGAAAGGGGTTTAAGAATCTTCTCTTAGTTGAAAATTGGCTATCATTTGAAAGAATGCTGCAATAATTTGTCTGCAGTAACAGCTCACTGAACGTAGCATAAAAATGAAAACGAGGGCTGAATTTATTCGGTGTCTTCATTCTTGTACCTGAATGCACAGACTCTTTCCTAGGTATGTAAATAATTGTTAAAGACTTAAAGGTCAATAACCAATTCCTTAACGTGGCAGTTAAGTCAGGTGAGGGCTGCAGAATGCAACAATAGAGGCAAATCCCTCAGTTCCAGGTAATGTTGCCTTAAGAATGGTGCAGTTGGATGGTACCCAGAGAAAGGTTTCTACTGGGATAAGATGAGTCACCATCAAAGCAGGTTTCTATATTTCGGAAAGATATTTGTTTAAATTCAGACCTATTTTTAAGGGAGCTGGGGTTTGGATCCATGGATTGAGAGGCTTGAGGTTTGTAAAGATTTTTTGGAGGGCTATCCTCTGAAAAATCAGCAAGATAAATCAGTGTGTTACTGGCCTGTACTGCTCTACTTCCATGTTTATTTCTTTTAGGAGAACTGAAGCCCAAAGTATTTGGATTCATTTAAATTTAATTTATGTCTTGCAGGAGGTCAAATGAAGGATACAGAGTTTGTCTGCTCTAGAACAAAATATGGACGAATTAGGCATGAGGAAAGTGGGAAGTGGTATAATATTGTAACTGTAGGTGAAAATGTTTTCATGGCCTGTAGTTTAGATCCTTGGATTTTTAGGTCAAGGAAAACATGGGAAAGAGAGGGCTAATTTGAGTGGCTATTCCTGACTATTGTCTAGATATCTATACTCTGGAACAAGAACTTTTGGGTTCTGACTTGCTCGCATTTTGGATAGCCAGGACACACACAAACACACACACACACACACACACACACACACACACACATTTTTAGATTTACACAAAGATGTACACAAAGATGATAGAATCTGCTTGTATTAGTTTATTCAACAAGTATGGTTGTGTGCCACATAATGTCATTTCAGTCAATGATGGACTGCAAATAGGACCATGGTTCCATAATATTATAATACT
The DNA here is from genome assembly GCF_000001405.40 of Homo sapiens. Lineage (NCBI taxonomy): Eukaryota > Metazoa > Chordata > Mammalia > Primates > Hominidae > Homo > Homo sapiens. The sequence continues at coordinate 61,219,180 of NC_000003.12, read as the reverse complement.
ATATTTTTACCATACCTTTTATATGTTTAGATGTTTAGATACACAAATACTTATCATCGTGTTATAATTACTTACAGCATTTAGGACAGTAACATGCTTTACAGGTCTGTAACCTAGGAGCAATAGGCTATACCATATAGGATAAGTGTATAGTGGGCTACACTTTCTAGGTTTGTGTAAGTACATGCAGTGATGTTTGCACAATGACAAAATCACCTATGGGTGCATTTCTCAGAATATACTCCCATTACTAAGTGACACATGAGTGTTTATTGAATGACTGTTGGGTGCTGGGATAGAATCTGGGGTTTTCAATGTGTGAGTAAGGTGGGGTTGGTTTGAACAATAAAGGCCATACATTTTATAGAGCTTAGATTCTAATTAGGGTGAGAAAACATAAACACACGATAAAGTAGTGCATTAAGACAATAGCATGGGTTCCTATCATAAGACACTATATGATTACGGTGAGGCCAAAGCTCAGTTTAAAACCAGTCCTACCACCTGTCCCTTTCAACCTTCTCAGGAACCTTCAGTACTGGTTACCCTTTCTCTTCTACACTCACTCTGCATCTTAAATAGATCTTCTCCATTACCTTGATACATACTCGGCCTTTTTTCTGTTTAAAAACTATACAAACAAACCGTCTTCCAGCCCTTTGTCCTTTAGTTGCCACTCTTTCCTCCCCAGTCACAGCCAAGCTTATCTAGGATTGTCTTTACTCATTGTCTTTGTTTAATGACTTCCACTTCTGTCTTAACCAACTCCAAACTGAATTCTGCCTCCATCAGTCCACAAAACAGTTCCTGCTGAGTTCCTCGATGACCTTCCTATTGGGCTTTTTTTAGTATTTATATTGCTTGACCTTTCTGTGAATCTTGAGGATTTAGTTTTACTTCTCTGGCAACTGTTCTCTCTCTTATGTAGGATTCATCCTCCTCAACACAACTGTTAGATGTTGAACTTGCTCACGGATCAGTCCTAGGCCCTTTTGTCTTTCTACTTATACTGACTCCCTGGACAGTCACATCCATATTCACAACTGCAGTTACTTCCTACTTACAGATAACTTACCACTCTCAGACCTCCCCTCTTAGCTACAGTCCCATCTACCCAACTGCTTACCTGGATATTTTCCTTTAGATGTCTCTAAGGCACTTCAAATTCAATGTATCCACAACCAAATTAGTGATCTCTTTTGACTCCAGATGTGGACCTTCATCCAGTGGGATTTAGTTAAGGTCCTTGTCTAATCCCAATTCACAAAGGGAAACTGTCATAAAATTGTAATTTTCAAACATATTTTAAAAATCATATTTAGTAATTCTTTTCCAACTTTAATGCATTATAATAAGAAACCTTTGATATCTATTGTTTGATATTCATTGAAACTACTTTCAGGCCTACTATATGTTTAATTTTTGCTTATGTTTCATATGTGCTTGTAAAGAATGTTGTGGCAGATTGTATTTTCCAAAGGTGATCACATCAGCACATTTATCCAATCCTGTGCTCTTCTTACAGTGTAACAGACACTCCCTCATTGAGGGCGGCAAGGCTGTTGTTCTCTTTCTTTTAGTCTGGGTGGGGGTTTGTGACTGACCTGACCAGTGGAGTGCAGTGTAAATGGTGTTATGTGATTTCTGAGCCTAGGTCATAAAAAATACAGCTTCTCTCAGAACTCGTCTTTGGAACTCAGCCACCATGTTGTGAGGAGACTCAAGCCACATGGAGAGGCCACATGGACATATTCCAGCTGCTAGCTCTAGCTGTGGTCTCAGCTAACCCTGAGCAACAACTGGCAGATATGTGAGGGCATGAGTCTTCAGATGATCCCAGCCCCTAGCTTAGATATTTGAGGGCATGAGATATCAGATGATTCCAGCCCCTAACTTTCAAGTCTGCTAGCGGAAGCCTCAGGCTTTGTAGCATACAGAAAAGCCATCCTGCTGAACCCTGCCAGGATTCTTGATCCGTAGAAACCGTGAGAGATAATAAATTCTTACTTTTATTTTTATTTTTTTATTTTATTATTATTATACTTTAAGTTTTAGGGTACATGTGCACAACGTGCAGGTTAGTCACATATTTATACATCTGCCATGCTGGTGTGCTGCACTCATTAACTCATCATTTAGCATTAGGCATATCTCCTAATGCTATCCCTCCCCCCTCCCCCTACCCCACAACAGTCCCCAGAGTGTGATATTCCCCTTCCTGTGTCCATGTGTTCTCATTGCTCAATTCCCACCTATGAGTGAGAACATGCGGTGTTTGGTTTTTTGTCCTTGCGATAGTTTACTGAGAATGATGATTTCCAATTTCATCCATGTCCCTACAAAGGACATGAACTCATCATTTTTTATGGATGCATAGTATTCCATGGTATATATGTGCCACATTTTCTTAATCCAGTCTGTCATTGTTGGACATTTGGGTCGGTTCCAAGTCTTTGCTATTGTGAATAGTGCTGCAATAAACATACGTGTGCATGTGTCTTTATAGCAGCATGATTTATAGTCCTTTGGGTATATACGCAGTAATGGCATGGCTGGGTCAAATGGTATTTCTAGTTCTAGATCCCTGAGGAATCGCCACACTGACTTCCACAATGGTTGAACTAGTTTACAGTCCCACCAACAGTGTAAAAGTGTTCCTATTTCTCCACAACCTTTCCAGCACCTGTTGTTTCCTGACTTTTTAATGATTGCCATTCTAACTGGTGTAACATGGTATCTCATTGTGGTTTTGATTTGCATTTCTCTCATGGCCAGTGATGGTGAGCATTTTTTCATGTGTTTTTTGGCTGCATAAATGTCTTCTTTTGAGAAGTGTCTCTTCATGTCCTTCGCCCACTTGTTGATGGGGTTGTTTGTTTTTGTCTTGTAAATTTATTTGAGTTCATTGTAGATTCGGGATATTAGCCCTTTGTCAAATGAGTAGGTTGCAAACATTTTCTCCGATTCTGTAGGTTGCCTGTTCACTCTGATGGTAGTTTCTTTTGCTGTGCAGAAGCTCTTGAGTTTAATTAGATCCCATTTGTCAATTTTGGCTTTTGTTGCCATTGCTTTTGGTGTTTTAGACATGAAGTCCTTGCCCATGCCTATGTCCTGAATGGTAATGCCTAGGTTTTCTTCTAGGGTTTTTATGGTTTTAGGTCTAATGTTTAAGTCTTTAATGCATCTTGAATTAATTTGTATAAGATGTAAGGAAGGGATCCAGTTTCAGCTTTCTACATATGGCTAGCTAGTTTTCCCAGCACCATTTATTAAATAGGGAATCCTTTCCCCATTGCTTGTTTTTGTCAGGTTTGTCAAAGATCACATAGTTGCAGATATGCGGCATTATTTCTGAGGGCTCTGTACTGTTCCATTGATCTATATCTCTGTTTTGCTACCAGTACCATGCTGTTTTGGTTACTGTAGCCTTGTAGTATAGTTTGAAGTCAGGTAGAGTGATGCCTCCAGCTTTATTCTTTTGGCTTAGGATTGACTTGGTGATGCGGGCTCTTTTTTGGTTCCATATGAACTTTAAAGTAGTTTATTCCAATTCTGTGAAGAAAGTCATTGGTAGCTTGATGGGGATGGCATTGAATCTATAAATTACCTTGGGCAGTATGGCCATTTTCATGATATTGATTCTTCCTACCCATGAGCATAGAATGTTCTTCCATTTGTTTGTATCGTCTTTTATTTCATTGAGCAGTGGTTTGTAGTTCTCCTTGAAGAGGTCCTTCATGTCCCTTGTAAGTTGGATTCCTAGGAGCAATTGTGAATGGGAGTTCACTCATGATGAGGCTTTCTGTTTGTCTGTTATTGGTGTATAAGAATGCTTGTGATTTTTGTACATTGATTTTGTATCCTGAGACTTTGCTGAAGCTGCTTATCAGCTTAAGGAGATTTTGGGCTGAGGTGATGGGGTTTTCTAGATATACAATCATGTCATCTGCAAACAGGGACAATTTGTCCACTTCCTCTTTTCCTAATTGAATGCCCTTTATTTCCTTCTCCTGCCTGATTGCCCTGGCCAGAACTTCCAACACTATGTTGAATAGGAGTGGTGAGAGAGGGCATCCCTGTCTTGTGCCAGTTTTCAAAGGGAATGCTTCCAGTTTTTGCCCATTCAGTATGATATTGGCTGTGGGTTTGTCATAGATAGCTCTTATTATTTTGAGATATGTCCCATCAATACCTAATTCATTGAGAGTTTTTAGCATGAAGAGTTGTTGAATTTTGTCAAAGGCCTTTTCTGCATCTATTGAGGTAATCATGTGGTTTTTGTCTTTGGCTCTGTTTATATGCTGGATTACATTTACTGATTTGCATACATTGGACCAGCCTTGCATCCCAGGGATGAAGCCCACTTGATCATGGTGGATAAGCTTTGTGATGTGCTGCTGGATTCGGTTTGCCAGTATTTTATTGAGGATATTTGCATCAATGTTCATCAAGGATATTGGTCTAAAATTCTCTCTTTTGGTTGTGTCTCTGCCAGGCTTTGGTATCAGGATGATGCTGGCCTCATAAAATGAGTTAGGGAGGATTCCCTCTTTTTCTATTGATTGGAATAGTTTCAGAAGGAATGGTACCAGTTCCTCCTTGTACCTCTGGTAGAATTCGGCTGTGAATCCATCTGGTCCTGGACTCTTTTTGGTTGGTAAGCTATTGATTATTGCCACAATTTCAGAGCCTGTCATTGGTCTATTCAGAGATCCAACTTCTTCCTGCTTTAGTCTTGGGAGGGTGTATGTGTCGAGGAATTTATCCATTTCTTCTAGATTTTCTAGTTTATTTGTGCAGAGGTGTTTGTAGTATTCTCTGATGGTAGTTTGTATTTCTATGGGATTGGTGGTGATATCCCCTTTATCATTTTTTACTGCGTCTATTTGATTCTTCTCTCTTTTCTTCTTTATTAGTCTTGCTAGCTGTCTGTCAATTTTGTTGATCCTTTCAAAAAACCAGCTCCTGGATTCATTAATTTTTTGAAGGGTTTTTTGTGTCTCTATTTCCTTCAGTTCTGCTCTGATTTTAGTTATTTCTTGCCTTTTGCTAGCTTTTGAATGCGTTTGCTCTTGCTTTTCTAGTTCTTGTAATTGTGATGTTAGGGTGTCAATTTTGGATCTTTCCTGCTTTCTTTTGTGGGCATTTAGTGCTATAAATTTCCCTCTATACACTGCTTTGAATGGGTCCCAGAGATTCTGGTATGTTGTGTCTTTGTTCTCGTTGGTTTCAAAGAACATCTTTATTTCTGCCTTCATTTCGTTATGTACCCAGTAGTCATTCAGGAGCAGGTTGTTCAGTTTCCATGTAATTGAGCGGTTTTGAGTGAGATTCTTAATCCTGAGTTCTAGTTTGATTGCACTGTGGTCTGAGAGACAATTTGTTATAATTTCTGTTCTTTTACATTTGCTCAGGAGAGCTTTACTTCCAACTATGTGGTCAATTTTGGAATAGGTGTGGTGTGGTGCTGAAAAAAATGTATGTTCTGTTGTTTTGGGATGCAGAGTTCTGTAGATGTCTATTAGGTCTGCTTGGTGCAGAGCTGAGTTCAATACCTGGATATCCTTGTTAACTTTCTGTCTTGTTGATCTGTCTAATGTTGACAGTGGGTTGTTAAAGTCTCCCATTCTTATTGTGTGGGAGTCTAAGTCTCTTTGTAGGTCACTCAGGACTTGCTTTATGAATCTGGGTGCTCCTGTATTGGATGCATATATATTTAGGATAGTTAGCTCTACTTGTTGAATTGATCCCTTTACCATTACGTAATGGCCTTCTTTCTCTCTTTTGATCTTTGTTGGTTTAAAGACTGTTTTATCAGAGAGTAGGACTGCAACCCCTGCCTTTTTTTGTTTTCCATTTGCTGGGTAGATCTTCCTCCATCCCTTTATTTTGAGCCTATGTTTGTCTCTGCATGTGAGATGGGTTTCCTGAATACAGCACACTGATGGGTCTTGACTCTTTATCCAATTTGCCAGTCTGTGTCTTTTAATTGGAACATTTAGTCCATTTACATTTAAAGTTAATATTGTTATGTGTGAATTTGATCCTGTCATTATGATGTTAGCTGGTTATTTTGCTCGTTAGTTGATGCAGTTTCTTCCTAGCCTTGATGGTCTTTACAATTTGGCATGATTTTGCAGTGGCTGGTACTGGTTGTTCCTTTCCATGTTTAGTGCTTCCTTCAGGAGCTCTTTTAGGGCAGGCCTGGTGGTGAGAAAATCTCTCAGCATTTGCTTGTCTGTAAAGGATTTTATTTCTCCTTCACTTATGAAGCTTAGTTTGGCTGGATATGAAATGCTGGGTTGAAAATTCTTTCCTTTAAGAATGTTGAATATGGGCCTCCTCCACTCTCTTCTGGCTTGTAGAATTTCTGCCGAGATATCCGCTGTTAGTCTGATAGGCTTCCCTTTGTGGGTAACCCGACCTTTCTGTCTGGCTGCCCTTAACATTTTTTCCTTCATTTCAACTTTGGTGAATCTGACAATTATGTGTCTTGGAGTTGCCCTTCTCGAGGAGTATCTTTGTGGCGTTCTCTGTATTTCCTGAAGCTGAATGTTGGCCTGCCTTGCTAGATTGGGGAAGTTCTCCTGGATAATATCCTGCAGAGTGTTTTCCAACTTGGTTCCATTCTCCCCATCACTTTCAGGTACACCAATCAGACGTAGATTTGGTGTTTTCACATAGTCCCATATTTCTTGGAGGCTTTGTTTGTTTCTTTTTATTATTTTTTCTCTAAACTTCTCTTCTTGCTTCATTTCATTCATTTCATCTTCCATCATTGATACCCTTTCTTCCAGTTGATCGCATCGGCTCCTGAGGCTTCTGCATTCTTCACGTAGTTCTCGTGCCTTGGCTTTCAGCTCCATCAGCTCCTTTAAGCACTTCTCTGTATTGGTTATTCTAGTTATACAATCGTCTAAATTTTTTTCAAAGTTTTTAACTTCTTTGTCTTTGGTTTGAATTTCCTCCTTTAGCTCGGAGTAGTTTGATCGTCTGAAGCCTTCTTCTCTCAACTTGTCAAAGTCATTTTCCATCCAGCTTTATTCCGTTGCTGGTGAGGAACTGCGTTCCTTTGGAGGAGGAGAAGCGCTCTGCTTTTTAGAGTTTCCAGTTTTTCTGCTCTGTTTTTTCCCATCTTTGTGGTTTTATCTACTTTTGGTCTTTCATGATGGTTATGTACAGATTTTTGGTGTGGATGTCCTTTCTGTTTGTTAGTTTTCCTTCTACGAGACAGGACCCTCAGCTGCAGGACTGTTGGAGTTTGCTAGAGGTCCACTCCAGACTCTGTTTGCCTGGGTATCAGCAGCAGTGGCTGCAGAACAGCGGATTTTCGTGAACCGCGAATGCTGCTGTCTGATCGTTCCTCTGGAAGTTTTGTCTCAGAGGAGTACCCGGCCGTGTGAGGTGTCAGTCAGCCCCTACTTGGGGGTGCCTCCCAGTTAGGCTGCTCGGGGGTCAGGGGTCAGGGACCTACTTGAGGAGGCAGTCTCCCCATTCTCAGATCTCTGGCTGCGTGCTGGGAGAACCACTGCTCTCTTCAAAGCTGTCAGACAGGGACATTGAAGTCTGCAGAGGTTACTGCTGTCTTTTTGTTTGTCTGTGCCCTGCCCCCAGAGGTGGAGCCCACAGAGGCAGGCAGGCCTCCTTGAGATGTGGTGGGCTCTACCCAGTTCATGCTTCCTGGCAGCTTTGTTTACCTAAGCAAGCCTGGGCAATGGCGGGCGCCCCTCCCCCAGCCTCGCTGCTGCCTTGCAGTTTGATCTCAGACTGCTGTGCTAGCAATCAGCGAGACTCCGTGGGCATAGGACCCTTCGAGCCAGGTGTGGGATATAATCTTCTGGTGCGCCGTTTCTTAAGCCCATCGGAAAAGTGCAGTATTAGGGTGGGAGTGACCCTATTTTCCAGGTGCCGTCTGTCACCCCTTTCTTTGACTAGGAAAGGGAGATCTCTGACCCCTTGCACTTCCCGAGTGAGGCAATGCCTCACCCTGCTTCGGCTTGTGCACGGTGCTCTGCAACCACTGTCCTGCGCCCACTGTCTGGCACTCCCTAGTGAGATGAACCTGGTACCTCAGATGGAAATGCAGAAATCACCCTTCTTCTGCATTGCTCATGCTGGGAGCTGTAGACCGGAGCTGTTTCTATTCGGCCATCTTGGCTGCCAGCCACCACTTTTATTTTTAAATATCTAGTTTTTGGATAATTTGTTATATGTCAATAAAAAACGGGGGATGGAGCCAAGATGACCGAATAGGAACAGTTCCAGTCTACAGCTCCCAGTGTGAGCGACACAGAAGATGGGTGATTTCTGCATTTCCAACTGAGGTACCAGGTTCATCTCACTGGGGAGTGCAATACAGTGGGTGCAGGACAGTGGGTGCAGCGCACTGTGTGTGAGCCGAAGCAGGGCGAGGCATTGCCTTATCCGGGAAGCGCAAGGGGTCAGTGAATTCCCTTTCCTAGTAAAAGAGAGGGGTGACAGATGGCACCTGGAAAATCAGGTCACTCCCACCGTAATACTGCACTTTTCCAGCAGGATTAACAAACGGCACACCAGGAGATTATATACCGCACATGGCTCGGAGGGCCCTACGCCCACGGAGCCTCACTCATTGCTAGCACAGCAGTCTGAGATCAAACTGCAAGGCGGCAGCGAGGCTGGGGGAGGGGCGCCTGCCATTGCCAAGGCTTGAGTAGGTAAACAAAGAGACCAGGAAGCTCGCTCTGGGTGGATCCCACCACAGCTCAAGGAGGCCTGTCTGCCTCTGTAGGCTCCACCTCTGGGGGCCGGGCACAGACAAACAAAAGGCAGCAGTAACCTCTGCAGACTTAAATGTCCCTGTCTGACAGCTTTGAAGAGAGTAGTGGTTCTCCCAGCACGCAGCTTGAGATCTGAGAATGGGCAGACTGCCTCCTCAAGTGGGTCCCTGACCCCCGAGTAGCCTAACTGGGAGGTACCCCGCACTAGGGGCGTTCTAACACCTCACACGGCCGGGTACTCCTCTGAGACAAAACTTGAACGATCAAGCAGTAGCATTTGCGGTTCATCAATATCCGCTGTTCTGCAGCCACGGCTGCTGATACCCAGGCACACAGAGTCTGGAGTGGACCCCCAGGAAACTCCAACAGACCTGCAGCTGAGCATCCTGACTGTTAGAAGGAAAACTAACAAACAGAAAGGACATCCACACCAAAAACCCATCTGTACGTCACCATCATCAAAGACCAAAGGTAGATAAAACCACAAAGATGGGGAAAAAACAGAGCAGAAAAACTGGAAACTCTAAAAATCAGAGTGCCTCTCCTCCTCCAAAGGAACGCAGCTCCTCACCAGCAATGGAACAAAGCTGGATGGAGAATGACTTTGATGAGTCAAGAGTAGAAGGCTTCAGATGATCAAACTACTCCGAGCTAAAGGAGGAAGTTCGAACCAATGGCAAAGAAGTTAAAAACCTTGAAAAAAAATTAGATGAATGGCTAACTAGAATAACCAATGCACAGAAGTCCTTAAAGGACTTGATGGAGCTGAAAACCAAGGCACGAGAACCACGTGACGAACGCACAAGCCTCAGTAGCCGATGCGATCAACTGGAAGAAAGGGTATCAATGATGGAAGACGAATGAAATGAAGCGAGAAGAGAAGTTTAGAAAAAAAATAATAAAAAGAAACAAACAAAGCCTCCAAGAAATATGGGACTATGTGAAAAGACCAAATCTATGTCTGATTGGTGTACCTGAAAGTGACGGGGAGAATGGAACCAAGTTGGAAAACACTCTGCAGGATATCATTCAGGAGAACTTCCCCAATCTAGCAAGGCAGGCCAACATTCAGATTTAGGAAATACAGAGAATGCCAGAAAGATACTCCTCAAGAAGAGCAACTCCAAGACACTTCATTGTCAGATTCACCAAAGTTGAAATGAAGTAAAAAATTTTAAGGGCAGCCAGAGAGAAAGGTCGGGTTACCCACAAAGGGAAGCCCATCAGACTAACAGCGGATCTCTCGGCAGAAACTCTACAAGCCAGAAGAGAGTGGGGGCCAATATTCAACATTCTTAAAGGAAAGAATTTTCAACCCAGCATTTCATATCCAGCCAAACTAAGCTTCATAAGTGAAGGAGAAATAAAATCCTTTACAGACAAGCAAATGCTGAGAGATTTTCTCACCACCAGGCCAGCCCTAAAAGAGCCCCTGAAGGAAGCACTAAACATGGAAAGGAACAACCAGTACCAGCCACTGCAAAAACATGCCAAATTTTAAAGACCATCAAGGCTAGGAAGAAACCACATCAACTAATGAGCGAAATAACCAGCTAACATCATAATGACAGGATCAGATTCACACATAAGAATATTAACCTTAAATGTAAATGGACTAAATGCTCCAATTAAAAGACACAGATTGGCAAATTGGATAAAGAGTCAAGACCCATCAGTGTGCTGTATTCAGGAAACCCATGTCATGTACAGAGACACACATAGGCTCAAAATAAAGGGATGGAGGAAGATCTACCAAGCAAATGGAAAACAAAAAAAAAGGCAGGGTTTGCAATCCTAGTCACTGATAAAACAGTCTTTAAACCAACAAAGATCAAAAGAGACAAAGAAGGCCATTGCATAATGGTAAAGGGATCAATTCAATGAGAAGAGCTAACTATCCTAAATATATATGCACCCAATACAGGAGCACCCAGATTCATAAAGCAAGTCCTGAGTGACCTACAAAGAGACTTAGACTCCCACACAATAATAATGGGAGACTTTAATACCCCACTGTCAACATTAGCAGATCAACAAGACAGAAAGTTAACAAGGATATCCAGGAATTGAACTCAGCTCTGCACCAAGCGGACCTAATAGACATCTAGAGAACTCTCCACCCCATATCAACAGAATATACATTTTTTTCAGCACCACACCACACCTATTCTGAAATTGACCACATAGTTGGAAGTAAAGCACTCCTCAGCAAATGTAAAAGAACAGAAATTAGAAGAAACTGTCTCTCAGACCACAGTGCAATCAAACTAGAACTCAGGATTAAGAAACTCACTCAAAACCACTCAATTACATGGAAACTGAACAACCTGCTCCTGAGTGACTATGGGGTACATAACGAAATGAAGGCAGAAATAAAGATGTTCTTTGAAACCAACGAGAACAAAGACACAACATACCAGAATCTCTTGGACCCATTCAAAGCAGTGTATAGAGGGAAATTTATAGCACTAAATGCCCACAAAAGAAAGCAGGAAAGATCTAAAAGTGCCACCCTAACATCACAATTAAAAGAACTAGAGAAGCAAGAGCAACACTCAACACTAGCAGAAGGCAAGAAATAATGAAAATCAGAGCAGAACTGAAGGAAATAGAGACACAAAAAACCCTTCAAAAAATTAATGAATCCAGGAGCTGGTTTTTTGAAAAGATCAACAAAATTGATAGACCTCTAGCAAGACTAATGAAGAAGAAAAGAGAGAAGAATCAAATAGACACAATAAAAATGATAAAGGGGATATCAACACCGATCCCACAGAAATACAAACTACCATCAGAGAATACTAGGAACACCTCTATGCAAATAAACTAGAAAATCTAGAAGAATTTGATAAATTCCCAGACACATACACCCTCCCAAGACTAAACCAGAAAGAAGTTGAATCTCTGAATAGACCAATAACAGGCTCTGAAATTGAGGCAATAAGTAATAGCTTACCAACCAAAAAAAGTCCAGGACCAGATGGATTCACAGCTGAATTCTACCAGAGGTACAAGGAGGAGCTGGTACCAGTTCTTCTGAAACTATTCCAGTCAATAGAAAAAGAGGAAATCCTCCCTAACTCATTTTATGAGGCCAGCATCATCCTGATACCAAAGCTGGGCAGAGACACAACAAAAAAAGAGAATTTTAGATCAATATCCCTGATGAACATCAATGCAGAAACCCTCAATAAAATACTGGCAAACCGAATCCAGCAGCACATCAAAAAGCTTATCCACCATGATCAAGTGGGTTTCATCCCTGGGATGCAAGGCTGGTTGAACATATGCAAATCAATTAACGTAATCCAGCATATAAACAGAACCAAAGACAAAAACCACATGATTATCTCAATAGATGCAGAAAAGGCCTTTGACAAAATTCAACAACTCTTCATGCTAAAAACTCTCAATAAATTAGGTATTGATGGGTCATATCTCAAAATAATAAGAGCTATCTATGACAAACCCACAGCCAATATCATACTGAATGGACAAAAACTAGAGGCATTCCCTTTGAAAACTGGCACAAGACAGGGATGCCCTCTCTCACCACTCCTATTCAATATAGTGTTGGAAGTTCTGTCCAGGGCAATCAGGCAGGAGAAGAAAATAAAGGGTATTGAATTAGGAAAAGAGGAAGTCAAATTGTCCCTGTTTGCAGATGACATGATTGTATATCTAGAAAACCCCATCGTCTCAGCCCAAAATCTCCTTAAGCTGATAAGCAACTTCAGGAAAGTCTCAGGATACAAAATCAATGTGCAAAAATCACAAGCATTCCTTTACACCAATAACAGACAAACAGAGAGTGAAATCATGAGTGAACTCCCATTCACAACTGCTTCAAAGAGAATAAAATACCTAGGAATCCATCTTACAAGGGAGGGGAAGGACCTCTTCAAGGAGAACTACAAACCACTGCTCAATGAAATAAAAGAGGATACAAACAAATGGAAGAACATTCCATGCCCATGGGTAGGAAGAATCAATATTGTCAAAATGGCCATAATGCCCAAGGTAATTTATAGATTCAATGCCATCCCCATGAAGCTACCAATGACTTTCTTCACAGAATTGGAAAAAACTACTTTAAAGTTCATATGGAACCAAAAAAGAGCCTGCATCACCAAGTCAATCCTAAGCCAAAAGAACAGAGCTGGAGGCATCACACTACCTGACTTCAAACTATACTACAAGGCTACAGTAACCAAAACAGCATGGTACTGGTACCAAAACAGAGATATAGATCAATGGAACAGAACAGAGCCCTCAGAAATAATGCCACATATCTACAACTATCTGATCTTTGACAAACCTGAGAAAAACAAGCAATGGGGAAAGGATTCCCTATTTAATAAATGGTGCTGGGAAAACTGGCAGCCATATGTAGAAAGCTGAAACTGGATCCCTTCCTTACACCTTATACAAAAGTTAATTCAAGATGGATTAAAGACTTAAATGTTAGACCTAAAACCATAAAAACCCTAGAAGAAAACCTAGGCAATACCATTCAGGACATAGGCATGGGCAAGGACTTCATGTCTAAAACACCAAAAGCAATGGCATTAAAAGACAAAATTGACAAATGGGATCTAATTAAACTAAAGCACTTCTGCACAGCAAAAGAAACTACCATCAGAGTGAACAGGCAACCTACAGAATGGGAGAAAATTTTTGCAATCTACTCATCTGACAAAGGGCTAATATCCCGAATCTACAATGAACTCAAATAAATTTACAAGACAAAAACAACCCCATCAAAAAGTGGGAAAAGGATAAGAACAGACACTTCTCAAAAGAAGACATTTACGCAGCCAAAAGACACATGAAAAAATGCTCACCATCACTGGCCATCAGAGACATGCAAATCAAAACCACAATGAGATACCATCTCACACCAGTTAGAATGGCAATCATTAAAATGTCAGGAAACAACAGGTGCTGGAGAGGATGTGGAGAAATAGGAACACTTTTACCCTGTTGGTGGGACTGTAAACTAGTTCAACCATTGTGGAAGTCAGTGTGGCGATTCCTCAGGGATCTAGAACTAGATATACCATTTGACTCAGCCATCTCATTACTGGGTATATACTAAAAGGATTATAAATCATGCTGCTATAAAGACACATGCACACGTATGTTTATTGTGGCACTATTCACAATAGCAAAGACTTGGAACCGACCCAAATGTCCAACAATGATAGACTGGATTAAGAAAATGTGGCACATATACACCATGGAATACTATGCAGCCATAAAAAATGATGAGTTCATGTCCTTTGTAGGGACATGGATGAAGCTGGAAACCATCATTCTCTGCAAACTATCACAAGGACAAAACACCAAACAGCGCATGTTCTCACTCATAGGTGGGAATTGAACAATGAGAACACATGGACACAGGAAGGAGAACATCACACACTGGGGATTGTTGTGGGGCGGGGGGTGGGTGGGATGGCATTAGGAGATATACCTAATGCTAGATGATGAGTTAATGGGTGCAGCACACCAACATGGCACATGTATACATATGTAACAAACTTGCACGTTGTGCACATGTACCCTAAAACTTAAAGTATAATAATAATAAAATTTTAAAAAAAGAATATAAATACTTTCTCTTCTATTATTGCTAACTTTCGTCATGCCTAACAATAACTTATTCCGTCAGCTTTTTTTTGGTTCCTATTTCCGTGGTGTGTACTTATCCACACTTTTCTTTTCAAAACTTATGTTTAAATTTGTTTCTTATAAACAACACATAGCAAGATTTTAAAACATTCGTTTTGATAAAATTTTAACAGATGTACTTACCCTGATTCCTGACACAGCTGGACTTAGTTAAAATATTTTCTTTTTTATATTCTATTCAGCGTGTTTTCCTTTGCTTCTTTCTCCCTTCCATTTCAATGTTGTATAGAGAATCGATTGCGTTTACTCTATGTTGTTTCCTCTATTGATTTGGAAATTTCTGTTCTTTTGGTGGTTACTCTTGTATGTTTTAAAATTCGGAAATAGAGCCTACATGCAAAATAATTTGTGCAAGTGTACATATACAGTTTAAAGAAAATAATAAACTGATTGTCCAGATACCTCTTTCTAGGCCAAGAAACAGATCATTACCATATTCCAGAAGCCCCCCCATTCCTCTCACGTATTCCATCTCCTCTCCCACTCTCAAGATAAAGATAGCCTGAATTCTGTGTAAATTTCTTCCCTTTCTTTATTTTGTTTTGTACCACTTATACTTTATATTCAAAAACAACACAGTATTTATTTTTGCCTTTTTGAATGTTATACAAATAGAATAATATGTATAGCTTTCTGTGACTTGCTTCTTTTGTTTTACATTATATTTTGAGAGGTATCTATGTTGATGTGGGTAACTTTCACTGATTTTCCAAAGTTATATAATACTCCATTCTAAGAATATGTAAAAAAAGTGTTTATCGTATTGCTGATAGATGTTTGGGTTGTTTTCTGTATTTTTTGCCATCCTGGCAATACATTTGTAGAATGTAAACATTGTACAAATCTCTGTGAGTACATGTGTAAGGGCCTCTTTGCTTATATAGACAGAGAAAGAAATGCTGGTTATCCTTAACAAGTTAATCAGTAGTTTTAGTGCATATCTTTAATGCCTTAAGTAGTATTTCTCTCCTCCTTGTAAACAATTTATTACCCCCTTCTTTATTCCATATGATTGTGATAAACCACTCAGTTTCACTTTATTGGCAAATGCTAAAAATTGTTTTGTTTTGTTTTTTTACAAGTAGAGCTTAATAATTATTAATCAATACCCATTACTTATTATTAAAGTTACCAGATTTACCATCATGCTTACTAATTTCTCTGTTTACTATTGCTTCTTGTTTCTCACTGCTTCCTTCTGGGATAAATTCCCGCTTATTCAAGCATATCTTATTTTAGTATTTCTTTTGGCAAAAGTAAACTACTGTGAGCACTAAACAATTTTTTTTTTGAAAAATGTTCTGATTTATCTATTGTTCTCTATCATTCTTGAATGTTAGGTTTAGCATGGGCATATAATTTTTCTTTTTTTTTTTTTGAGAAAAAGTTTCTCTCTTGTTGCCCAGGCTGGAGTGCAATGGTGCAATTTCAGCTCACTGCAACCTCTGCCTCCTGGGTTCAAGCTATTCTCCTGCCTCAGCCTCCTGAGTAGCTGGGATTACAGGTGCCCACCACCACGCCCAGCTAATTTTTTTTTTTTTTTTTTTTGAGACGGAGTCTCGCTCTGTTGCCCAGGCTGGAGTGCAGTGGTGCGATCTCTGCTCACTGCAAGCCCCGCCTCCCAGGTTCACACCATTCTCCTGCCTCAGCCTCCCAAGTAGCTGGGACTACAGGCGCCTGGTACCACACCCATCTAATTTTTTGTATTTTTAGTAGAGATGGGGTTTCACCATATTAGCCAGGATGGTCTCGATCTCCTGACCTCGTGATCTGCCTGCCTCGGCCTCCCAAAGTGCTGGGATTACAGGAGTGAGCCACCGCGCCCGGCCTGTATTTTTAGTAGAGACAAGGTTTCACCACGTTGGCCAGGCTGGTCTCAAACTCCTGACTTCAGGTTATCTGCCTGCCTTGGTGTCCCAAAGTGCTGGGATTACAGGCGTGAGACACAGTGTCCGCACTGTTGCTTTACTTTCATTTTTGCTAATGACATGTTCTTTTGCTAGAAGTCTCTTTTTTTTCCCTCTCTGGTTGACTTTAAGATTTTATTTTTATCTCTGCGTTCTGTGGTTTCATTCTGATATATGAAAGTATGCATTTGCTTTTATTTATCTTTTTGAGATATTGTTATACTTTTTCCAGAGGACTCATGTCTTTCATTCTAGAAACTCTACATCCATATATTTTTATATTGGCTTTCTCTCTCTCTTTTTTTTTTTTTAACGAAAAAGTAAACTTTAATGTCAAAAATGCAAACTTGGGGAAGAACAGAAAAGATCACACACAAGGCTGTCACTTCACACTTGGAAGGTTGCACAGCGTCCGGGCAGAGGCGCTCCTCACTTCCCAGATGGTTGGGCAGCCGGGCAGAGGCACTCCTCACTTCCCAGACAGGGCGGCTGCCGAGCAGAGGCGCTCCTCACTTCCCGGACAGGGCAGCGGCCAGGCAGAGGGGCCCCTCACTTCCCAGATAGTTGGGCGGCCGGGCAGAGGCGCTCCTCACTCCCAGTCAGTTGGCCAGCCGGGCAGAGGGGCTCCTCACTTCCCAGATGGTTGGCGGCTGAGCAGAGGCGCTTCTCACTTCCCAGACGGCTTTTTCTCTTTCTTTTGGGCTTGGCTATATATGTGTGTGTATGTGCGTGTGTGTGTGTGTGTGTGTGTGTATCTATGTGCGTGTATATATATGTAGGTATATATATACACATGTGTATGTATATTTGTACATGTGTGTGTATATATATGCACATATGTATATACATACACACACATATATATACACACATACACACACATATATGTATTTTAAGTCATTATTGTATTTTGTTTAGCATTTCTGTGTTTGAAGTGGAAAGGGATTCAGCTCAATCTCCATGTTATCAGATTATTCATCTCTTAGATTTCACAAATGCAATATTACACTATTTTATCTAATATTCTCCAAACTCTGCTTGTTCTAAACTCATTGGTAAACGGTGTAGCTCAGGGGGAAGGAGAAATTTCTGATGCTGTCCCATAGAAGGGACCTACCTCCTGCATTAATAGTCTGAAATTTACATCTTAGCCCGTAAGTCTGACCTGTTCTTTGGTGGTCATGCATCAGTGGTAATGCATTCTTTGATGGAATAGAGGGATGTGGAGGGAAACAGCCCAGTAAAAGCTAAAACAATCCCTTCAGATATTGAAGGAAAAAAAAAGAACCATGGAAAAGCTGTGGTGTAGCTGTCTATCCCCAACTACTGCACCTTTCGGAGATGTTAGGACCTAGCCAAAAATGAGAGAAAGAATCATATTCCCATTACTGGTGACTGTAGAGGCACCTTATGAGTAAGATTGGATGATTAAAGAACCAGCTTCACGATACTGTAAGTTATTACTGTTGCTTTTGCAGATCTTTTGTCACATTGATTTGTGTGTGGTCAGTGCATAGTATTTATGTTTTGATCACAGAGAGCTGAAGTTAACAAGATTTGATTTGAAATGTCAAGTTGTGGCTTCCTCTGTTTTGTGAGTTTCTTCCGAGAGAAGGCTGCAGTCTACATACAGGAAGGGTGATTGTCCCTGTAATCATGCACACATATACTTACGGAGCAAGTGGTGAGGTTTATATTAGAAGGACCATGCATGTCATATAAATGGAATAGGCATCCCTAAGTGAAACTTTTTCAGAGAAATGGAAATAGAGCATGCAAGAAAGATGACAAAAAGAAATAAGAAAATAAAATGCTTAGTCAGACTGAGTATGTCACACTCATGTTTAATTTGATTTTCATCTCGCTATAAGCCGTTCCCATTCTGTTGAGGAGTACACACTCCAAAAGATTTGACTGTAGATTTGGCCAAGGTTTGTGTGCTTCAATTCTGGGTAGATGTGTGCACCATTTTCAGTTTCTGACTGTCTTTTTTTGGCCTCTTGTGCGGGAGGTATGAGGCACAAGTTTTATCAATGGTTTATTTGGCTAGCACCATATACCATGGCATATGGAAATTCTATTTAGAGACATGGGGAGAAAATGTTTGTTGTTGTACTCACAGACAACTCTGTCTTTCATTTTTATGTCTTTGTAGCTTTGAAGCTCAGGAAAGAAGAGAAATCCACTGAGAACAGTCTGTAAAGGTAAGTGTATTTATTACATGGCCTTGACAAACATTGCCTTTACAACATTGATTTTTCTTTTATTCAGAGATTTAAACACTTGGACTAAAGATATAGCTGACAGGACAACTTCCTTAACCACCTGCTTGTCCTCCCTCTTAGGCAAAAGTGCTGAGCAATAGTTAGCAGAGAGCAGGAGGAAATAAAATGATGTGTTGAGAGTAGACAAATGCAATTGTATGCTTGCTGACTTTTGCTTTCTTCTCAGCAGCTAAGACATTCCAATGGAGCTAAGTTTACTAAGATTAATGCTAGATGGAAAAAGAATGCACTTGTACCACTTCTGGCCAATAGTTAAATAAAACTAGCTGGCCAAATAAAGCATTTAAAATAAAATGCAGAGTGGCATTTCAATTGGGTTGAATGAAATTTATTGTGAAAGTCAGTTGTGCAGTTGCATGGAAGAGCCAGTTTTGTAGAAAGAAAAGAGCCACTGAATTTGGTGTATCTAATTTCATTCCACCCAGTCACTCTGAGCCCTAAATGAATTACAGGAAATGAACTTCCAAGCTTGAAGCAATGGGAAAAGTACCTACTCGGTCTCTTGTGAAACATTACAATCAAGTTGGTTTTTACATGGAAAAATGTAATTGTTTCCTCTTTGCTAGGTATATTTATGAGCATACCTCTGTACAGCTTTGTTCTTTGATTCATTGTTTAATTTCTGTTCTGCATGAAGTATTTTAATTTAAAGAATTCATTCTGGGCAATTATAGGGCTGCGGTTTCATCAAGAGTCTTTGGTGGCCAGGGTGAAATATGCTATAATTTTACATTTGTTTTCATCATAAATTACATTTTTGATACTTTTAGGGTTTTTTTCTGTCATTTTTATTGCAGCAATTATTACTATGACCACTTTAGTTAAAGTTGAAAAGCCATTTTGATTTACCATGTACTTTAAGTTCTTCCTAACTTCTTGACAAATCTATTTCTGGGGCTGAATTTTTCATGTTTATTTGGAGGGCAAAGAAGAATTTTACAGGGATATTGGAGAAAACCCCTTTTAGATAATAAAAATATGAGTTATAAAAAAATCCTCTTTTCTTAGGATTTGCTTTGGGGCAACTAAACTCTGGTGCATGAAAACTGGTTGGCTTGGAATTTTGCCATAATTGTTGAACATCAGTGAAGAAATTACTATCTTAAGCAGTAGATAATTCTTATTTTTGGCCATACAACTACATGTCTCTGGACCATTGAGCCACATCTTGGAATAAAGAAATACTTGATAGCTTTTAGAAATAAATGCTCATGAATAATTGGATTTGGTGGTGATGTAGCCATCTTAACAACTTTGTAATCTTTTGGCACAGATATGGTGCTTCCTTTCCTCTTGGGGAATGTTTCCACACAGGCACAGTCCATTTTCTTTATTCTCAATGAAAATCTTTTGTTGAATTGGTACTCTGGAATCAGACATGGGTTTAGTCATGATTTGGCTTTTACTAGCTGTTGGACTGCGGACAACTTATTCACCCTCTTAGAGTCTCAGTTTCCTGATCTGTGAAGTGGGGATAATACTGTTTTTGGCTTCATGTAGGTGTGGAGAATTAAATGAAGTATTCTGTGTCAAGGACTTAGAAGTCCTGGCCCATGATAAGTGCTCAGTAGATGTGAGCTGCCACTGCTCTTATTAATATCATCATCATCATCATCATCATCATCATCATCATCATCATCGGCGGCGGCAGCAGCAGCAACAGCATCTTTATGAATTTATTCATTATACATTTTTATAAGTCTATTCTTTTTAGAAGCTTCAGGATAATATTTCTAAAATAAGCATGTTGCTACCAAAGAAGGGAAAATTCTGCTTGGTCCTTAGGAATCAAATGAAAAGGTAACTTTCAGGTAATACAGGAAGTGAGGCCTCTGGAAGTGAAAAGTTATTAGGCTGAAGTTTTGTAGGTATTAGGAAAACTACCTTCCTTGGTTGTCATCAATTACTAGTTAATAGTCTTGAGAAATTAAGAGTCTACTGCTAGTTAGCTTCTTCAAGAATTTTTAAAGAAAGCCTTGGTAGTATAGAGGGAACCCCCCCACCAATTTTTTTTTTCTGTCGTGTATGTTTTTCCTTCCTAACAGCATCTTTATTTCTTTTTGAGGTAATTAGGCTAGTGGAACTGTAACCAGGGGCCCTACTCAGGGGCCTGCACCCTGCCTATGGATGGGTGTATGACCACAAGCTTGGCTAAGTAAATGCTCCTTCTTTGGAATTTGATTCTTTAGCTAAAGGATTCTCCCTTGTCCTAGGTGGGCATTCTGATCTGCCAACATGTACTATGAGACCACTGTTGCCTCCATGTCTGTCTTGGCTAGTAGTCATGGCCTCCAAACCTTATTTTCCATTCTGCCATGGATTGGCTGAGACTCCAGTATCCTTCCAATAATTCTTAAATTAGCCAATTTGTTTCTTCTGCTTGCAACTACAGAACCCTCATTGATAGTATAGTCTATTCATTAGTGAGCTAGATCTGGAATAAATATGGTATGTTTGGAGGTTTACAATTAAAATGCCACTCATTACTTTCTTTCATCATGTGTAAGTAGCTCAGTGTTTTGCAGTAGATTACAAAAAGTACAGAGTTCTTTATTAGACTCTCAAAAATGGGTTATTTTGCTGAACTTCCCAGTACTCCTGTGTTTGGTACAGAAAAGTCACTCTTGGCTGCTTCTCTTAGCTCTCAAAGAAGGTGTATGTATGTGGGCGTAGAGCTGGAAATGAGAAGAGAAGCGGAGAAGTCATCCCTCCCAATTTCTGGGGCCCTGGTCTCTTTGTGTCATGGGGATTGTTAAGGGACTGAGATTTTCTTCGGTTTACCCCCAGCAACCCCAAACACAACAGGTATATTCTTTAGACATTTGTCTACTTTTCCCTGAATTTTTATTTCTCATTTGAACACTGTTCTTACCCTACTGAGCACCTTCTTTTCAATGATGTGTAAAATGTGATTGAAAACTCAATTACTTCCAGTTCTGGCATTGCTTGTGGAATGTAGAATGAGAATGGAATGGGCAAGTTTTCTCTATTTCCCCTTGTGTCTTATTTGTTGACTACTTCTGTGCTCTGTGCAGTGCCTAGAACAAAACTTGTTAATTTTTTTTTAACAGGTATATCAATTTTGCACTCCTACTGTGAATAAATAGCATGACAGTATTATATGGAAGGAAGAGCCTTAGCTGGGGTATTAGGAAACATTCCTTCTAGTTTTGGCTCTGCCATTTGCTAGCTTTGTGACTCTGTGCAAGATTCCTAACTTTCTTTAAGATCTGAGGTTCCTCACCTGTAAAATGAGGATAACTTTTGCCCTATTTATTGCACAGGGCTGTTTTGAGGATCACATGAAGACAATATATATGAAAGTGCTTAGTAAATTTTAACAAATGCATAACATCAGTTTATTACTATCATGCCATGAATATTTCTTAAACAGATGAAAATTTGAGGGGCTTGTTTTAGGAGGCTGAGTAGGAAAAAGAGACAGATTAAACAACAACAACAACGACAACAGCAACAACCACCTTGTATAGTGCTTGTGCTGGGTATTCACATTTGTGCTTCCAGCTCCTCTCTCTTCTAAATGGCTCTGCACCATGGGCCTAACCTCTATCGCAGGCATTCTCTGGGCTCCCTTGTTTGCTGGCTTTCTGTTGTATTAGCCAGGGGAAGGAACTGGATGAAGACCTGGGAACACGAGGTTGAAATATTCTTCCCTACTTTCTTCCCTGCAGCATTGTGGGTTGGCAATGGCTGTATCCCTCTAAGGAAGGCCACAGTTCCGGTTGGGGGCCTCTCTTCAGCGGCTACAGCTTTTTCTACTGTCTGGTAACTGCCTCTTCCCTTTTCCCCTTTGAGTCTGGAGTGTTAATGGAATTTTTGCTAAGTCCAGCACACTAGACCATCCCTTAGTGGTCTTCCCTTAACCCTGCCTTCACCCCAGGTGAAGATGTCATCTCCTTCCTGCTGTGACCTTGATTGTACAAAGGAACTTTGTTCTTTATATATTTTTCCACCATCCTCAGCCCAATTCAGCAAATATCTTTTTAGGATTTAGAGTGTGCCAGGTAAAAAGTAAGTCTTTATTGTACACTTTTAAGAAATGGACATTTTGATTGCATAGTTGGAGATATTATATCTTTTTTTTTTAAAAGCAAGTTTTGGTAAATTGAAAAGCTTTATAGTAGCCTCAGTGTATAAAGAAATACCATATTGTACTTATATGCATTACAAATTACCTTTTACATTTTATTTTTATTTTTATCAAAGCAGTGTATCTACATTGTTTAAATAAAACAGCATTAAATAGCAAATATTTAAAAACTGCAACATCTATGCCTTCTTTCTACCTCTCTCTGGATTGCTTCCCAGAATTAGCAACTTTCTATTCTGATATTTCTGGTGTTCACCTCTCTCTTTCTAAATAATGTACTTATATTATTTTTTCCTAATTTATCAATTTTAGCAATAGCTCTCTGATCCTTTCCACTCTTACCACTTCTGGTCCCCACAGCCTCCTGACATAGTTATATTACAATTTTTATTTAAATCAACAGGTAATATTTACATTATCATGATTACGTAATTTTTTTCTGTTGCTAAGCCGAATGGTATTTGTTATGTTTTCTTTAATATAAAATTTTTTGTCTTTCTTGGAATTAATATGTGCTTTTAAAAAAATTTGCCTACTTTAGGCATCTACCTTATAAGGTAGGTAGTAATAGCATGTCAATTTCATAGGTGGGTCATATTAGTATTTCCATTTTATAGTTGTAGAAATTGAGACTTAAGGCTAAGTATTTTTTCCAAGGTCACATAGCTAGTAAGTGTTAGAACTGGGAGAAGACACCAGCCAGTCTGTTCACAGAGCCTGCATTCTTAATCATTATATTACTTACAAATACTGTCACTTCAGTTATCCTGATGGCTACTTAAAAAAAATTTCTGAGTTCTATCTTCAGAGATTCAAAATCAGTGGGGCTGAGGTGGAGAACCAAAAATCTGTATTGTAAAAAGCTCTAGGGGTGATTCCATTGATCAGCAGGTTTGAGAACTTCTGTTCCATATCCTATCATTACCGTAATTACCATCATCACAATCATGATCATCAACATCATTATCATCTTCATCATCATCACCACCACTACCATCAGCAATAACATGTCTTGCTCAGTGCTCTCAGTAATTGACTAGAAATCCTGGTGTCTGTTAAAGCAGCTACCTTTTGACTTCATAGGTGAGATCATCACACTAGTGGGTGATTCAGTAATAATTCATCTGGCCATTTTTTTTTCTTTTTTTTTGAGAAGTGCTTTGGGAGAAATTATGTCCCATAGAAGTAGACAAGCTTATTTTTTTTCAGCTCAGCCGGTTGTTGCTTTATCTGGTACAAAAGCAATGAGAACTTTGTCCCTGTACTTAACTCTGACCTTTAAGGGACTTTTTTTTTTCTTTCTTCCCTGAGAGTTCCCTAAATGACATCTGGGCAAATACAAAGTCCTAGTGAAAGAGAAACTTTGAAGTCTTTGTTCTGTTTGATTTCCACTTCCCCCACTATCACACCCCCCACTAACCACCCCCCTCGCCCCTTGCTTATGGCATTTCTTGTTTATCACGTATGAGAGAAGCAATAAAATTTGGCCTGGGGTTTTCTCATCCCTAGGTGTGAAATTATTTCAGAACTATAATAATAATACTTTGCATTTGTATAGTGCTTTTATTTGAAGATCTAAAAGTGTTCTTTTGGTGTTAATAGAGCTTCCCATCACCCTCTGAAGTAGGTAAGTATTATTAGAGGATATTTCCTTCAAGAACATTTTCACTTTACATACCATGTGTGACTTGAAAATGCTTTTGTATTATTTGGGAATCTCAACTCTTTAAAGTGCTATACATATAAGGCAATTCTTTTATTTATATTCAATCTTCATTAATGCCCAGAACATTGAGGGAAATGCAATTCCTCATAAATGAATGTGGCGTTATTTAGAAAGTATTAGGATAAAAGCCGTTTGGTATTGCCTTTTATTGGAATGTTTTGAAAATATTTAATAATGCTCATTAGCTACAGAACTACCTGTTGTACAGTTAGTTTTCCTTTTTTTTAAGGTAGCAGGATTTGCAGGAAGGAAAATATTAAATAACTAGTGGTGTCGGGTCTTAGAACCCAATCCCCCAAAGTATGGTACCTTAGCATCCTGAGTACTTTGAACTGAAGGAAATACATTGGAAAGCCCTCAGAACCAAGGTCTTTGTGGCAGTCTCCCATAATACTGTCTCCTACTTCTCTTCCTCCCCTTAAGCAAGTCGTATAAACCAGAATTCCTCTTCCCTAAGGTGGGTCATAGAAACTAGAATGTCTCTTCCCCACAGCAAGCCATTAAACCTAGAAAAGTCACTCTCTTCCTTCTCCTTTGAAGATCCTCATTCCATAGAGGCCCTGCTCCATACTGGGAAGAAAGAACGTTACACAGAGAGGCCAATAAGAATCTGAATAGTCAGGCCTTGCTGATCCCCACCACCACCCCCACCACCGCCAATCTATTTTCTATTTCCAGTAGAACACACCCCTTTTGTTCTACCACATTTCTACACAGCTGTGCATTCTTCACTGAACCTAAGCATAAAAACTATTTTCCTTTAGTCTTTGGGTCTTCATTTCGGAAGGCTGCTATGTCACATAAAACTTTGATTAAATACATTTGTTATGCTTTTCTCTTGCTGACCTGTCTTTTGTTATAGGAATGTTGGCTGTGACTCTTGTGAGAGGTGAGGAAAGGTATCACACCTTTCCATCCCTACAGTGGGAACTTGGCCTGGTATTGTGGAATCCTGTGGTTGCTCATGATGTGTCAAATCAACTAAAAATACAAACTGAGTGTGCACTCTGATTTAAAGATTTCATTCTGAAAAATTGTTTTGAATGCTGCATGAATTGCAAGCATGCATACATGCATAACTGGTTACTTTTTTTTTCTCTAAATGTTGGGAAGTTCTAAGTGGTGTTTGGAGTGTCTGCTCACTTAAGGTCATTGATGCAAAAATGCTGCAGGTCTGTTATAGCATAAAACATTTTTAAAAAGGCCCCCTGAACTTTAGTCCACTCTGGTCACCATGAGAGGCTTCTTGTCCATGCATTGTTGGGTAGTCCTGTTGTATCTGTGCAAAGAAGGCTGGGATTTTCGCTGTGGCTTCAAGGCCTTGGTAGTCATTTTCCCAGTATCCCATCACTATCCCGATCAAAAGTCCTGTCACCTCTCTAGAGTTCTGCCAGGAAGCAGGGTGCCAGCGTCCACTACTTTAAGGAACTGCTCCAGCTTCTCTCCAATACCAGGAAAGCCCAATCCTTACTGTACTCCAAGTGCCCACCTAAACAGATCAAAGAACAACACTTTTAAGCAAAACAAAACAACCCAAATTGTCTTTATTTTGGACCTTTCTGCTGGGATGTAACACATTCCCTTCAATGAATTTAGGCTTTTTTGAAAAAGAAAAGTCTTTAATGGAGACTGGATTTAGGGGATTGGTGGTTGTCTTTTAGCATCTTTTGCGTTTGAATATGTCTGGGAGACAAAGGGAAGAAGGCAAAGTCTTGAAGTTTTTGAGATGCGAAAGGGAACAGTATACACAGGAGGGATAACAAAGAGTACAAATTGATATTTTAAAATTATGCTGCCCCTAATTCAACACTGAGACAAGGTGATGCCTCACCATTTGTGTGGTACTTTATGACTCCCATGATAAGTGTCAGATGATCACATGATTAATCCTTTTTCTGGCATCTCAGTTGTCTTTTTTTTTGTAGAGAGAATTCACTGAAGACCCATCATCTAAAGATTTTGGGGAATGTGGGTGGAATTATGAATCTCTGCATCATTTTCTCCTGAGTCTTTGCTCAAAGGAGGCCACATAAATTTGCTGCTAATTATGTGAAGATGGATTTATCACCGAAGATGCCTTTGGCTGCAAATAATCAAAAAGTCAACTTGAAATGGTTCAAACAATAGGGGAATTAAAAGAAAAAAGCTCCCTGCCCTCTGCAAGTCTACCTGCTGCCCCAGGGATGTCATGATTGATGGGAAGGCATTATAGAATCCTGGCTCCAAATGTCTGGAATCTAACTGCAATCCACTTTTGCCAAGCAACTGGGGACCCACCAGGGTGCCTTTGATGGTTGTCACTGTGTAGCAGGGAGAGGATTTTGAGCACTCAGCTATTGACAGATTGCTAAGCACTGTCAATTATTTTGTGAATTGCTCTACCAAGTTACATTTGAAAATCCACCAAATAAAAACCCATCAGAATAAGAGAAATGAATTATCTCAGGGAATAAGACCTCCTGGGAGGGGTGCAGTTTCAAGTTTTGTTAATTCAGTGGCTCAACATTGTTACCAAAGTGTCTATTTCTTGCTCTTTTTCCTGTGCCATCTTCAGTGTGTTGACTTAGTTCTTAGACTGGCTGCCTTCATAGTTCTAAGATGGCTGGTTCCTTTTTGGGAGCTACAGGCAGACATGGCAACATCCACTGGCAAAATAAAATATCTGTTCTTATATGTCCCTTTTTAAAAGCAAGGAACTGTTCCTGTAACCCCTGAGCTGACTTCCCCTTAAGTCTCATTTAGTTGATTGCAGTCCCATGCTCCTTCCTAAATCAGACACTGGCACGCGGAATGGGGCTCATCCCTGGTGGCTTAGATTGGTGCTTCCCAACTTTGTTCTTGTTATGGTGCACATAGAAAATACAATTTGGCCGGCATGTTAAGCAATCAGAAGAGGCTGCTCACAGCTGGAGTGGCTGATGTGTGTGTGTAGGGCATGGGTGTGGGGTCTCTGGCTGCTCTGGGTCTGCCCAGCTGCCCTTGGAGCTAAAGGGATATCAGAGCAGCTGTTAACCCTTTCCCTGTTTTAAACTAATCGGGTTTTATCTCTTTTCTGGGATAATCTCACCTTCCCTTGAGTACATAGCTTTATGGAGGGAGGCCACCCTAATAAAACTGGGGCTTATACTAGTCAGGATTCTTCAGAGAAACAGAACCAAAAGGTTATTTATTGGTTTATTTACTTATTGTGAGGTATTGGCTTATGTGATTCTGGAAGCTGAGAAGTTCCATGATGTGCTGTCTGCAAGCTGGAGACCCAGGAAAGCCGGTGGTGTAATTCAGTCCAAGTCCTAAGGCCTGAGAACCAAGGGAGCCAATGGCATAATCCCAGTCTGAGGGCCGGCAAAGATGAGATCATGTATCCCAGCTCACACAGTGAAGCAGAAACAGGGCAAATTTCTCCATTCTCCTCCTTTTCTTCTGTTCAACAAACTGGGTGATGGCCTTCTGTTTAAATGCTAATCTCACCCAGAAACACCCTCACAGACACATCCAGAAATAATATTTAGTTTGGGCACCCCATGGCCCAGTTGAGTTGACACAGAAAATTAACCAGCACAGGGCTTTACCTGTGAGGTGAAACAGGAAAATTTCTTTTTTTATTTTATTTTTTTTTTATTATACTTTAAGTTTTAGGGTACATGTACGCAATGTGCAGGTTTGTTACATATGTATACATGTGCCATGTTGGTGTGCTGCCCCCATTAACTCGTCATTTAGCATTAGGTGTATCTCCTAATGCTATCCCTCTTCCCTCCCCCCACCCCACAACAAGCCCCAGTGGGTGATGTTCCCCTTCCTGTGTCCATGTGTTCTCATTGTTCAATTCCCAGCTATGAATGAGAACATGCGGTGTTTGGTGTTTTGTCCTTGTGATAGTTTGCTGAGAATGATGGTTTCCAGCTTCATCCATGTCCCTACAAAGGACATGAACTCATCATTTTTTATGGCTGCATAGTATTCCATGGTGTATATATGCCACATTTTCTTAATCCAGTCAATCATTGTTGGGCATTTGGGTCGGTTCCAAGTCTTTGCTATTGTGAATAGTGCCACAATAAACATACGTATGCATGTGTCTTTATAGCAGCATGATTTATAATCCTTTTAGTATATACCCAGTAATGAGATGGCTGGGTCAAATGGTAATTCTAGTTCTAGATCCCTGAGGAATCACCACACTGACTTCCACAATGGTTGAACTAGTTTACAGTCCCACCAACAGTGTAACAGTGTTCCTATTTCTCCACATCCTCTCTAGCACCTGTTGTTTCCTGACTTTTTAATGATCGCCATGCTACCTGGTGTGAGATGGTATCTCATTGTGGTTTTGATTTGCATGTCTCTGATGGCCAGTGATGATGAGCATTTTTTCATGTGTCTTTTGGCTGCATAAATGTCTTCTTTTGAGAAGTGTCTGTTCATATCCTTCACCCACTTGTTGATGGGGTTGTTTTTTTCTTGTAAATTTGTTTGAGTTCATTGTAGATTTGGCATATTAGCCCTTTGTCAGATGAGTAGATTGCAAAAATTTTCTCCCATTCTGTAGGTTGCCTGTTCACTCTGATGGTAGTTTCTTTTGCTGTGCAGAAGTGCTTTAGTTTAATTAGATCCCATTTGTCAATTTTGTCTTTTGTTGCCATTGCTTTTGGTGTTTTAGACATGAAGTCCTTGCCCATGCCTATGTCCTGAATGGTATTGCCTAGGTTTTCTTCTAGGGTTTTTATGGTTTTAGGTCTAACATTTAAGTCTTTAATCCATCTTGAATTAACTTTTGTATAAGGTGTAAGGAAGGGATCCAGTTTCAGCTTTCTACATATGGCTAGCCAGTTTTCCCAGCACCATTTATTAAATAGGGAATCCTTTCCCCATTGCTTGTTTTTCTCAGGTTTGTCAAAGATCAGATAGTTGTAGATATGTGGCATTATTTCTGAGGGCTCTGTTCTGTTCCATTGATCTATGTCTCTGTTTTGGTACCAGTACCATGCTGTTTTGGTTACTGTAGCCTTGTAGTATAGTTTGAAGTCAGGTAGCGTGATGCCTCCAGCTTTGTTCTTTTGGCTTAGGATTGACTTGGTGATGCGGGGTCGTTTTTGGTTCCATATGAACTTTAAAGTAGTTTATTCCAATTCTGTGAAGAAAGTCATTGGTAGCTTGATGGGGATGGCATTGAATCTACAAATTACCTTGGGCAGTATGGCCATTTTCACCATATTGATTCTTCCTACCCATGGGCATGGAATGTTCTTCCATTTGTTTGTATCCTCTTTTATTTCACTGAGCAGTGGTTTGTAGTTCTCCTTCAAGAGGTCCTTCCCATCTCTTGTAAGTTGGATTCCTAGGTATTTTATTCTCTTTGAAGCAATTGTGAATGGGAGTTCACTCATGATTTGGCTCTCTGTTTGTCTGTTATTGGTGTATAAGAATGCTTGTGATTTTTGCACGTTGATTTTGTATCCTGAGACTTAGCCGAAGTTACCTATCAGCTTAAGGAGATTTTGGGCTGAGACGTTGGGATTTTCTAGATATACATTCATGTCATCGGCAAACAGGGACAGTTTGACTTCCTCTTTTCCTAATTCAATACCCTTTATTTCCTTCTCCTGCCTGATCGCCCTGGCCAGAAATTCCAACACTGTGTTGAATAGGAGTGGTAAGAGAGGGCATCCCTGTCTTGTGCCAGTTTTCAAAGGGAATGCTTCCAGTTTTTGCCCATTCAGTATGATATTGACTGTGGGTTTGTCATAGATAGCTCTTATTATTTTGAGATATGTCCCATCAATACCTCATTTTTTGAGAGTTTTTAGCATGAAGGGTTGTTGAATTTTGTCAAAGGCCTTTTCTGCATCTATTGAGATAATCATGTGGTTTTTGTCTTTGGTTCTGTTTATATGCTGGATTACATTTATTGATTTGAGTGTATTGAACCAGCCTTGTATCCCAGGGATGAAGCCCACTTGATCATGGTGGATAAGCTTTTTGATGTGCTGCTGGATTCGGTTTGCCAGTATTTTATTGAGGATTTTTGCATCAATGTTCATCAAGGATATTGGTCTAAAATTCTCTTTTTTTGTTGTGTCTCTGCCCAGCTTTGGTATCAGGATGATGCTGGCCTCATAAAATGAGTTAGGGAGGATTCCCTCTTTTTCTATTGATTGGAATAGTTTCAGAAGGACTGGTACTAGCTCCTCCTTGTACCTCTGGTAGAATTCAGCTGTGAATCCCTCTGGTCCTGGACTTTTTTTGGTTGGTAAGCTATTACTTATTGCCTCAATTTCAGAGCCTGTTTTTGGTCTATTCAGAGATTCAACTTCTTTCTGGTTTAGTCTTGGGAGGTTGTATGTGTCCGGGAATTTATCAAATTCTTCTAGATTTTCTAGTTTATTTGCATAGAGGTGTTTATAGTATTCTCTGATGGTAGTTTGTATTTCCGTGGGATCGGTGGTGATATCCCCTTTATCATTTTTTACTGCATCTATTTGATTCTTCTCTCTTTTCTTCTTTATTAGTCTTGCTAGCGGTCTATCAATTTTGTTGATCTTTTCAAAAAACCAGCTCCTGGATTCATTAATTTTTCGAAGGGTTTTTTGTGTCTCTATTTCCTTCAGTTCTGCTCTGGTCTTAGTTATTGCTTGCCTTCTGCTAGCTTTTGAATGTGTTTGCTCTTGCTTCTCTAGTTCTTTAATTTGTGATGTTAGGGTGTCAATTTTAGATCTTTTCTGCTTTGTCTTATGGGCATTTAGTGCTGTAAATTTCCCTCTCCACACTGCTTTGAATGTGTCCCAGAGATTCTGGTATGTTGTGTCTTTGTTCTCATTGGTTTCAAAGAACATCTTTATTTCTACCTTCATTTCGTGATGTACTCAGTAGTCACTCAGGAGCAGGTTGTTCAGTTTCCATGTAATTGAGCGGTTTTGAGTGAGTTTCTTAATCCTCAGTTCTAGTTTGATTGCACTGTGGTCTGAGAGACAGTTTCTTCTAATTTCTGTTCTTTTACATTTGCTGAGGAGAGCTTTACTTCCAACTATGTGGTCAATTTTGGAATAGGTGTGGTGTGGTTCTGAAAAGAATGTATATTCTGTTGATTTGGGATGGAGAGTTCTGTAGATGTCTATTAGGTCCGCTTGCTGCAGAGCTGAGTTCAATTCCTGGATATCCTTGTTAACTTTCTGTCTCGTTGATCTGTGTGATGTTGACAGTGGGTTTTTAAAGTCTCCCATTATTATTGTGTGGGAGTCTAAATCTCTTTATAGGTCTCTAAGGGCTTGCTTTATGAATCTGGGTGCTCCTGTATTGGGTGCATATATATTTAGGATAGTTAGCTCTTCTTGTTGAATTCATCCCTTTACCATGGTGTAATGGCCTTCTTTGTCAAAGAGGGAAATTTCTGTGTGACAGGCCCTCAGCAGTGTCTGCTGTGTCTATGTTCTTGTCTTTGCATATGTACCTAATCTCCTTTTTGAATCATTAGTTCCTTAGTTCCTTATCAAGAAAGGACTAAGCCTTGCAGATTTCAAGTGCTCAATCATTATTTGTATATTGAGTGAATGAATATGCACTCACCTACATGACTGACTGATGCATTCAATACTATTGATCTTCTGTAATATGCTAGGAATGTGCTGTGTGAGGTACAAGGAACATGGGTCGGGCAGATTATTTTATGCCCTAGGGAAGGAGACAGATCAGAACTAGTAAACCAACAAAGCATATACAATTAAAAGTTATGTAAATCTTATTTAGGAAACATCAAGAGGCAAAACATAGCAGGCCTCCTCATTTGGAGCGGTCAGAGTTAATGACGTTTAAGTTAAGATCTGAAAAGAAGGACAGGAGGAGGGATTCAGCTTGTAAGGAGTGGGTGAAGAGAGTTCAGAGTTCTGAATCTTGCAACTATGTCTTAGAGATAATTTGTTTTCAAGAACCAATACAAAAGAAACAGTGACAAAAACGATGAAAGGTGAGGCTTCTACAAGGCCACAGGATAGCTTACTCATTTGACAAAAGGTTAGATGGTGAGCTTCCTGAAGCCTTAGGCCAGGAAGTGGTTGACCCTCAAAAACTAACCAGAGTGGGATGGGTAAATGGACAAACATATCTCTCAGCATCCCATCCTAAAGAGCAGGAGACTGTCTCAGGATCCTCATAGCCTCTCACCTCTTCTGTCTGCAGACTGGCTTCTTTGCATATCCAGCCAGCTATGGCTACCCGTGCAACTCCCTGTGCCTCATTCAAGGGGATGATAGAGACTAACTGTATTCCTCCTTCCTGGGGGAAAGAATCTGAATGGTTTGATGTAGGTCAGGCGCCCACCCTTGCCAGAGTCACCTGTGGCCCAGGGCACAAGGTCTACCTGGTTAGCTGCCGTCTTAATTCTACTTAATCTTGCTTGGCAGGACTGGGAGAGACTCTCTGGGTAAGTGGAGTACAGGGCAGGCAGCTGGATTAATGCCCCTGTTATTAATAAATGCTGCTTTTCAAGTTCTTCAACTTTAATAACACTGGAAGAGTCCCAGTGATGTAAATAACTTAGTTACCACCTGGTTTATTTTTGAGTACTTATACCCGCTACAGGGCATTGTGTACAGCAGATGCTTAAGAAGTAGTGATGGTGATAATAACAAAATTGAATGTGAAATATGATGTAGTTCTTTCCTAATGGTGCAGGTTAATTATATTGTTTTAATGAAAATGCTTCTTTGTTTTGTGGATAAAAATCTTTTTTGTAAGGTTCAGTCTATGTCTTTATTTTTTTCTTTAACTCCTGCATTTTGAGAATCACAGTCTATATATTTAAATCACTTTAGAATTACTTTATTACTATTATAAAAGTAATGCATTTGCATTTTAGAATATTTGGAAACCAGTTCAGCTAAGAGAAGAAAATAGAAATTGTGTATAATCCTACAGCCCAGAGATGACTCCAAGTGACATTTCTGGGTGTTTTTTTCCCAGTTAGTTCTTTATGTGGGCATGTATTTTAAGAAAATGGCACATACTGCTTTTTCCATTCAACATTATATTGTGAACATTAAGAATTATCCTACTGCATCCTCATCTCCTGCTGCAGTGTGTTCTCTCATGTGGATAGAAAGTACCGAAGTGGATGTACAGATTTGAAAAGCACCTCTGCTGCTGAATGGGATCCTTAGGCTGGGATGGATTGGAATGCTGACCCTGAGGTTTGTGTAGCAGTATAGATACTGCCTGACTGACTTCAGGAAGAGCAGTGTGATTGTGGAATTTGGTCAGAAATTAAGTTCGTATGATGATGATCACTTGTGTCTGCTTGGCCACTGCTTTCCTGAGGATAATCTGA
The DNA here is from genome assembly GCF_000001405.40 of Homo sapiens. Lineage (NCBI taxonomy): Eukaryota > Metazoa > Chordata > Mammalia > Primates > Hominidae > Homo > Homo sapiens. The sequence continues at coordinate 61,185,379 of NC_000003.12, read as the reverse complement.
ATGAAGCTCATTGACTATTTTGCAAGGAGGTTGGCTCAGCTTGAGCATCCCTGTAAGGAAAATAATCAGTGTCTCCCTCAGGGTTCTGGGAAGCTTCTTTGCTGCTCAGGTCGAGGTGGCCTCTGCAGTCTGTGCTTGCTTCTCCTGATAAAGCAAATTGCAAGCATGCCAAATTGCTTTGCTCCGGCTTAACCCTACTCCAGAATGAATCCATAAATGCTACAAAAGGAAAGCTTATGAACATATGCTACACAGAACTTAGAAAATGTCCTGCCTACTTAATCCTTTTCCTACTTCGTGGGGGGGAAAAAGTCTATTTATACTTGAACTGAGAATTGAGGGATCACAAAAGTGAAGATTGGATGCCGTGCTAGAAATCACCAGTTGTGTTTTCTCATTTCCCTTAGAGCCACAGATTGATTTTTCAATACAACTGTGTCAGTAGGGAAATGTGCCGTTCTTTCTAGAGTTCTTAGATTCACTCCTAAGTATGTGAATGTGTCTAACTGCCTTTTGAGAAAATGTGAGATCCCTTGTTTAAACACAGCGTGTTCATTAGAGTGGATTCTGAGGTCTAGAGGCCACCTCTTGAAGTCACTGCCTCTCACCTTCTCTCATGACTCTACATTTAGATGCTTGTAGATGGAGAAGGGCACTTCTCTGCTTGTGTGTTCTTGGACAGATTATTCCATGGAGAGATGTGTGGAATCACAATAGATGTGAGCTAGCTCAGAGGGTTGGGAACTTGCCCTGGCACTTAGAATGCATGCTGGCCCTTCTGGTTCAAGATGATTCCCCTGCAAAATAGTTGGTCTTTTTCCTTGCTGGCATATTTGTTCACAGACATCCGCAGAAGCTGTTCTGGAAAACTTTCTGACCCTGAAGCACCTCAAAAATTTTGATCCCGTGCTCCTTGCTGTGAGTCATCCCACACTGGAGCTCTGGAGGACTCTCTAGCAGGTCAGCTTTGGTTGGCTTCAGCCTCCCCATCTCAAGGAAGTCAGTGCAGTTTTCCTGCCTGTGTCTTATTTAATATATGTCTGTATCCTCTGGCTGTCTTGGAATGGGGGTCTAAGGGGCCATTCAGTTTGACACCAGAGGCACTGTCTGTGTATAGCCAGTCATAATGAATAACTGTAAACATGAGTAGATGCCTGCCCAAAGGGGATGTTAGCCGAGAGGTGTGTGAATCTGCTTGGAGGGGCAACAGCTGAAATGTCAGAGTAGTTTACTATCTCCTGGGTAGAGACACTGGGGGAATATTCTCTGTCTGAAAAATATTATAGGCATCAGGTCCCAGATTTCTCTTCCTGTGGCTGCACGTGCTCATCTTTCTGATTTAGAAACTAGCGAAGCTCCGTCAGTATTACAAGTATAGGAGATTCAGACTGAGAAAGAAGTAAAAAATGGAGGGCGCTTCAAAATGGAAATGAATTGTGGTCATCACCAACCCAGGATACATTTGAGAAGGAGCATTTATGAACAACAGTTGCCCATGATGCTTTGCCCATTAATGCCACCGAGACCTGCTAACCTGCTCCATTTTCTTTGTAAACGTGAAAAACCCTGATGCTGGCAAACAGGGAAGTCATGAGGACAGCAGAATGAAAGCATGTGGTGTGACATTGTGGACCATTATTCCATTGATATTTATCATGGCATTGTGATCTGGTCCAAAAATGTAGCTGGCTTTTTGGCTTTTGATATACTACAGTCACTTTTCTTGAAATCTCTCATTTAATCTTTATCACAATTCATGGGGCAGATATTGTTCTTCAATATTTAACAAGTAAGGGAACAGATGTTCAGAGAGGTTAGGTAAGTTGACCAAGATTGCACAGTTTGTAACAAGGAGGCATTTTAAGAGAGAGAGTGCAGCAAATCTTTTGATCAGGCAAGGGGAGAAGAACCTGTCATTTCTCTGAAAAGGCAGCAGGATGCTAATGAATTTGTGCTGTGTTCCCTGATAACTTTAGATGAGGTTGGGATAATTTGGGGATATACCTTAGGTAAGCAGGTGCTTCTTTCTGCAAAGCTGATCTGTTTTCATTCATTCATTCACTTGTGGTTGATTCATTCAGAGTCACTTACTCGCTTTTTCTATAAATTGGGCACTTGTTTTGCTGAGAGCTAGGTATTAAGAGCAATAGAAAGATGATGAGAGAATTGAGAATCTGATTGGAGAGAAGGATACCCAGAGAGAGCTAGAACATAACGGCACTCTGTGGCAAGTATGGCAAGAAGCAACAGAATTCAGGAGCATGTTCCAGGAGTCCTTGGAGTGACCTCTACTACTGTGTCTCCCCACATTGGGAATCCCAGTTAGTATTCCAGAAATCTGTATCTCAGCACAGGGACTGGCATTTGTTTTGCACTGTCAGCCACAATGAAGAGACCTATTAACAGCATGTGATTTCTTTGTGATGGATAATTTGTGAGCTCAGATGTGGATGTCTAAAAGAGATGGTGCATAGAAGTAGAAGGGCCTTCAAATCAAACAGTACAGAGGACTTCCTCTATGACACATTCAGGGACAGCCCCAGATATAAATAATCATGAAGTGGGCTACTGTCTGCTCTTTTGTACCCTTACTTCTCATAGCTTGTGACATCCAACCCCACCCCCCATACCCCCTATCCTGAATACATGCTCCTTCAGGTTCTCAGGGCCCTGCCTACCTCTTTTGGTGGTCCCTCAACCTTTAATCTCATTAATAGGACAGGATGGAGGGGTGTTGAGAATTCTATCATTCATTTACTCTCTAGTATGAATTTAAACCAGTTTGTTACAGTATTCCATGTGGTACATGAGATGAGATGAATGAATACATTTTTGGTTAGTCACATGAAATCTTTTCAGTTTCCTTCTATTTATGGCAAGTGATATTGGCTATATACAATATGTATACCAGTGACATTGGATATTTACAGTGGGGATATAAAATTGTCTTCTTCAAAAAGGTAATTTAGACTGGCAGAATTGAGTTGATTTAAAGAGAAATGTTGTATTAATATAGAACACTGGCTCATAGATATTATACAAATCATGAAAGGAGTATGTAAATAACTGAACTTTTGGAACAGTTGTGTCATTTTATCTGGTTATGTAGGCATTTCATACTTTAACCGTGGAATACAATGTTTTCTATCCTAATAAGAGAATTTAATTGATCAAGGTGGGGAGAGCATTTCTGAAATCCTCTTCAGAGATGGCCACCTGCCCATCAGGACTGTGATTCACCCATGTTACCCATGACTCATACCACACCAAGCTTTCTCTTTCAGTTAATGGTTACACTTCAGAGAAAGTTATTTCCCCTTCAGAGTATCCGATTTCACATGACTATGGAGCATGTAGCCCCAGGATCCTTTCTCATTAAATGCTTATGTTGGCATGGACTAATTCTGGTTAGAGTATTTAAACCAGACTTGGTATGTCCAGTAGCCAGAAAGAATAGTAACAGTCATCTAACCATACACTTATAGAACAGAAATGTAATAGAATAAATAGAATATTTATTTCATGTATGAAAAATAATACTAGAATCTATTCCTGAACCATTTTTTCTAAGGGATAGGAAAAATTGTCAAAACAAAGAGAGATTTTTCTCCAAGAATAGTAATTAGGCTAGGAAAGAGACATGTTACTGCAATTATAAGTGGGCCCTATGTGGCAAGATTCAGGGGCTTGCTAGCATTAGACGACTTGGACTACATGGTAGATTTTTTTGGTCTTTGGGTCTGTCTTTAGGCAGAGCCAGGAGAGGGAACCCAGGGAATATCAGAGCAGCCTGTGATGCTGGAATTAAATGAAACTTGTTAGTATTCTGGACATGACAGGCCAGGTGACATCCTGGGCTCTCTTCAGCCCTGTGATTCTGGATGACTGTTTTTTTCCCCACCAGTTCCATAATATATTTGTTTGTGTGCTTCCTTCAAGTACCAGAAGGAACACCCATTCTTAGAGGTCTGTTGTATTGTCTTTTCCTAAATACAGTGGAGGGATATTACTACACAAAGTTAATTTTTCATCCTTCTTGTAGATACAAATATTGATGTTTTCACAGTATATATTTGTATATTTATTTGCTATAGCCTCTTGATTGTTGATAATCAAGAGACAGGAAAAATATAATGTTACTATTATTGCCATTATTGGTCATTACTTGGCTGGGATTTTATCCAGTTTGGGAGCTAAATTCTTCTTTCCGTTGACAAAGAACAATTAATTGACTTCAGATAATTTAGGCTTCTCATGTCCCCAATATGTGATTTGTCAAGCTAAGAATATTACTTTAACTTCATTATGTTTACTTTCCTTGTATTTGGTATGAGTGAGGGAAAATAATCCAAACATTTGAATTCCTTGTCTTTATTTTTTAGTCGAAAAAGCAACGGAGATAAATGTACTTGAAATGCATATATTTAATAAAAATATTAAATTGATAATTTAAAGGAACTCAGGCCTAAAATGATTACTATCATTAACTATGCCCCACTCCACATAAAGATTGACTGGTAAAGCAAATCATTAAGCAGTTCCCATGCTCTTTCTATAATTTGGCTAGGTGCTGGGCATATACATATATATCTGTTAACATCATTGATAAGGTCCCTCCCCCATAGTTCTTGTCTAGCTTTAAATAAAAGCAGGGCAATTAAATCAATTAATACTTTGCTTGGTACTTTTTTGTGACTGAATCAACTTATTTTTTGAGGTAGCATCAGTTTTATTCAGACAGCTGCACAAACATAACCTCGGTATTTAGTCTTGGAAGACATGCAAAATACATTTCAAGTCTGTGCTTCCTAAACACAAAACTGGAGAAGAGAGACTGAGTTGGAACCCCCATGGTCTTCACATTTCTCATTCATGGAAACTGAAAACAAAACTAGGTCTAACCTAACTATTATTGAATTTATCGTTGAGAGGGAAGAAAGGAAAATCTGCTTAGCATATTATCTTCTGACTTCCTGTAAAGTGAAATAAACCTAATCAGTACTGGTGTTTCTAAAAACATATCAATTGTTTACATTTTAAACGCAATTGTTAATGAGCTGTTATTATGAAAGTTCACCACATTGCTCTAAATCACTTGCTGAGCCAGCCATCAGAGGCTTACATCCCAGCAAACATTTTCTGGAATTTGCAGGGCACAATTATGATTGACTACAGATCTCCTCACACTTTCATTACAAGAATTAATGTAGTGAATTGCTATATAAATTGATGCCGTGAGGGAAAGGCACGCTAAGAGGTTTTAACAAGACTGTCAGTAGCTCAATAGTTTGTAAAGTCAAACTTCTCAGTGTTTTCAGAGTGCCCACCCTCTTTCTCAGTGTATCTTTTCTTCTTGGTCTAGTTAGCAAACTGAAAGGGAGAGAATGGTTGTTTTATGTCAATTTTCTGTAGAAGCATAACATGCTATAGGATTTGTATACTTGTAAATCCAAGTTGTACATCTTGATGAATTTTCCCAAAGTCATCATGCCTAAGGAACCAGCATCTAGAATAAGAGGTAGAACATGACACTCTGATGCCATCTTCCACTCACTACCATGCTTGCTTCCACTGAGGCTGTCACTATCTTGACTCATCTGCGATTGGTTTTACCATGTTTTTGAATTTGTGTGTGTTTTTGGGTGGTTTTTTTTTTTTTTTTTTTTTTTTTTGAGATAGGGTCTTGCTCTGTCACCCAGACTGGAGTGCAGTGGCACAATTATAGCTCACAGCAGCCTTGACTTCCTGGGCTCAGGTGATCCTCCCGTCTTAGCCTCCCAAGTAGCTAGGGCCACAGGTATGCACCACCACACCTGGTTAATTTAGTTTTTTATAAGAGACAGAGTCTCATTATTGTTGCCCAGGCTGGTCTTGAACCCCTGCCCTCGAGCAATCCTCTCACCTTAGCCACCAAAGTGTTGGGATTACAGATGTGGGTCACTGTGCCTGGACTAATTTTATATAATAAATAGAATCATACGGTATGGGCTTCTTTGTGTGTGGCATATTTTGCTCAACATTGTTTGTGAAATTCGGAATGATCTTTTTGTGTTTAAGAAATAATGTAGGCTTGGCTGGGCATGGTGGCTCATGCCTGTAATCCCAGCACTTCGGGAGGCCGAGGTGGGCAGATAACGAGGTTAGGGGATCAAGACCATTCTGGCCAACATGGTGAAACCCCGTCTCTACTAAAAATACAAAAATTAGCCAGGCATGGTGGCACATGTGTGTAGTCCCAGCTACTTGGGAGGCTGAGACAGGAGAATTGCTTGAACAAGGAGGCAGAGGCTGCAGTGAGCCAAGATCGCACTGCTGCATTCCATCCTGGGCAACAGAGTGAGACTCTGTCTCAAAAAAAAAAAAAAAAAAAAGAAAAAGAAAAAGAAATAATGTAGGCTTGTGGATGTCAAACAAAATCACGTGGTGGACAAATACTTTGGAAACTTTATAGTGCCTTGCAAATCTAGCCATGGCATGGCTGACTGAGTAATCTGGGGTGTTTTCATGTTGGGGAAAAAATTGGTGTCATTGAATTATTACTGACTGTCAGCCACACCATTTGTTTGTGCAAATTTGACAGTGATTTATACCAGATAACTCATTTATATCCTAATAGATAAAATGGTAAGATTTTCAGATACTAGGGTTCCAAAGGTCATCTTAGAAATGTACTCCCTGAGGTTTATTCTTGTACAGGTTAGTGGACAATTTTTTATAATTGACTAATTAAATGGAGGCTAGAGTATATTTGAACCTAAGGCTATATCTTAAGGTTTCTACCTTTTTCTATTTAATTGCATTAACTGTGTGAATTAACCTATAATTACAACGTTTTTTTCTTCAGTGTCACACTATACATAAAATTTGGCTTACAGGCCAGACTACATACTAGATTACTATATTCTGGAAGGCCACATACGTAATGGTTTTCTTGAAAATAACACCTCTTATCCCCAATGCCCACCACCTCACCCTGTCAAATCCAAACTAACCACCTTCTCAGCAACACATTGCAGAGGTTAAGAGCATGAGGTGGCCTCTGTTGGGTGTGCAAGTGGATTCTTTAGCCTTGATAAGCCTCCCTTCCACCTCTGAAAATGAGGGTGAGAGTAGCACCTCTCATCAAGGTTGTTGGGAGTCCAGTAATGGTTTCATTCAACAGAATGAAACCCAGTGCCTGGCACAATCTAAACACTCAATAACTGCCGGTTACTATTGTTATTATCATTCCATTTTATAATTACCCCTCTTAACACATAGGGATTTCGTGATTAACGTTAAGCAGGTGGTCCTAAGAAGAATTCTTTCTTAAACTTTAAATCAAAACAAAACTTCCTTTGCCATCCTTCAAGTGGCACAGACTCATTTAAACACCATCCAGACCAATGGGATGCATCACTGATAGATTTTTAATTTTTATTTTTACAGAAGGAAAAAAAACCCAGAAAGTGGTGGTATTTTAATGCTGGAGCAAACCTGGTATCATTTTTTAATGTCTATCTGATGACAATCTGGTTATTAGGTTGTCAGAATTTTTTGACAAAATGTAGTGTTGGACTACCTAATTACATTGCTTCAGAGTCCAGTGGGGCTGCTGATCTGTTTTCTAATAATTTTTGGCCGGGGTTGTTTTGTTAAAGGCAAACGTATCAGTCATGTGAGATAGGTTTGCTTTTTATGTTTACTAGTCTAAACATGAAAAATCCATTTAGGCCTGCTATTGTGGAGAGCAGTAATAATACACCATTCTTCTCAGAACCCAGATGTCCCATTCATCTGAAAGTTTTAAGTCACTGGGGAGAAATGTCAGAGAGCCAAAAGTTCTGCAGGTTCTATTTTATTTTATATTTTGGTATTGGAAAATACATAATGAAATCAGCATTCTTAAAAATATACATTTAAAGTAACTTTTTACTACCCTCTCCCCAACCTTTATTTTTTATTTTTAAAGATCAGGAGTTTTTTTATAGATTGAAAACTTGCGCAGTGGAGAGTATAAACTAAGAAGTATTTTTACATGCCTTCCCTTGTATCAGGCAGACTCAGGTTTAGTGGAGTTGGAAGCTCATACAATTTGGGAGGTCCTCTTTAAGAAAAAGAGGAAAAGATTATGAATACAAAATTAGATGCAAAGGTGAGTATTTATTTCAAAATGATTCAGTGAAATGATTTGGTTCTCTTTCTTTTTCTTTTTTTTTTTTTTGAGATGGAGTCTTACTCTGTCGCCCAGGCTGAAGTGCAGGGGTGCAATCTCGGCTCACTGCAAGCTCCGCCTCCCAGGTTCACACCATTCTCCTGCCTCAGCCTCCCAAGTAGCTGGGACTACAGGCGCCCGCCGCCATGCCTGGCTAATTTATTTTGTATTTTTAGTAGAGACGGGGTTTCACCGTGTTAGCCAGGATGGTCTCGATCTCCTTACCTCGTGATCTGCCCGCCTCGGCCTCCCAAAGTTCTGGGGTTACAGGCGTGAGCCACCACGCCCGGCCGGTTCCCTTTCTTTCAAGATCTCTTTGCCACAAATGCTTACAGAGAAATGCCTCTTCATGTTTCCTCTCAGCTAGAACACGGACTCCCAAGGACTCTTGGCACTCTGAGGGCCCATGCAACAGGGACCCTGAAGTTTAAGCTTCATCAGCATCATGTCAGTTCTTCTCTGTCTCTTTGAATATGCTGCTGAATCAGTGAGAATATAACTGGTTAGATGGCATCTGGAAAGCTGGAGAAGACGTTTAGTTGGAATTAGCTGTGAAATTGAGTTTCAGGTTAACCTCGAGGTGGATATTGCAAATTCTTAAGTGAATTGGGAGAATAAAAAAAGCTTTATAAAGTATAAAGCTTTAAAAATGGTTATCAAAAAGTAGAATAATTCCAGGATACATAACTTCTCTGCATAAGTTGTTGCAGTGAAAGATTCATTAGAAAAATGTAACAATAAAAAGAAGAGGTATTGATGTTTTCCAGAAAGCTGTATTTCTTGAGGTGTTTAATTTTTTGTGTGTCTCACACAGCAAGTTTCCTGGTGGCAGAACAACATCTAGCCTTGACATGTGGTGTAAATCTTTATGCTCTCTTCAGAATAAAATGATTGCAGCACTTTTCTACTATCAGTGGGGCATGAATTGCTGATATGTTATTTGATGGATCCAAGCATATCAGTTGTCTTTGTCACCAAGAGCCTCAATGGCTCAAACTCTGGAGATAGTTATTCAAGGAAGAGTTTCAGTACTTGGCCATGGGATGCCCCACAACCCAGAGAAACCTGAAACCCACGTCAGCCTTTCGATTCTGTATGTTCATCAGTTATCTATTTACTTATTGCCACTTTGTTGAATGCTCTGAGATACTGATGTTTGTCAATTACGATTTGCTTATGCAAAGATGAGAAAAGATCTTGGCTACTGCTTTATCTGTCTACTTCCAAGGCATGTCAAAAGCCCACTAGTTTTGGAACTTAGATTAGTTATCCATTGTCTTAAGCTGTTTGTGCTGCTGTAGCAAAATATCACAGACTTGGTCATTTGTAAACCACAGAAATTTGTCACAGTTCTGGAGGCTGAGAAGTCCAAGATCAATGCACCAGTAGGACTGGTGTCTGTTGAGGGCTGCTCTCTAATTCCAAGATGGTGCTTTGTTGCTGCATCCTCTGGAGGGAAGTACACCATGTCCTCACATGGCAGGAGGGACACATGGGCAAGAGAGTACTCCTTTTGACCTCAAGCCCTTTTATAAGGGTGCTAATCCCAGTCATGAGAGCCTCGCCCTCATGACTTAATCGCTACCCAAGGGCCACATCTCCCAATACTGTTGCACTGGGGCTTAAGTTTCAACAATTTAATTAATTATTAATTAATTAAATTTAAGTTTGGAAGGGACACCATCATTCAAACCATAGCACCTATGTTGTAAGGTCAAGCTGAGTTGATAGTATATGTCATGTGTTCACTATTTAATGAAGACTTTCCTAGAGCTCAGTCTGGTGACTTTGATGGGGGAGGTGGTCAAGCTGGCATCTGGGTGGAAGATGGATGTTGAAAGTGGCAGAAATGGACAAAGGGATTTTAGGAGAGTTTGTGGTGGCTCGGGAGTATATTTTACCTATCTGGTATTTCTTCAGGAGAGAATACAGGTTTAAATTACTTGAACTACTGTTAATTATTTTTGGTTGCTTATTTTTGTTGTTTTTTGTTATTGTTTTTTAAATGTGTGCTTTGTGTGACAAACTGTGAGGTATTTATATGCATTTCTGCTTTTTTTTCCCTTCTGCCACAATAAGAGCATGTAAACCTTACCTTTGTCATGTTCTTTATTCTTTTCTTAACCTTTCGTGAGGGTTTCGCAGACGTCCTGTTAGGATCCAGGTCTTCTCTTCATTTAATAGATGAGGAAATGCAAACATAGGAAGATGTGCTTTGTGGTTTCCTCGAGATCATTGCATGCCATTCACCATGACTGGAACCCAGCTGACTGACTCCCATCTCTAAAGTTCTAGAAAGGCTGATGAATAGGACAGTTTGGATAATGGTACCCTCACAAGTATCCCATTGCAAGTATGTATTGTATAGAATTGCATGGTGACATCTTAATTGCCCATTTAATTTATGTAGCTACAACATTTTCAAGGCATTTGAAATATCAGAATAGCCTGAGAAATGTGTACAAATAATCTGCTGAAATTAATAAGTGGAAAAGATTTAAAGATATACTAGTGTCTTAACAACAATTGAAGACACAGATTGGCCTGGCTATAGCATGTGAAAAATACCTTTCTTACAGAAAATACATGCTGAATCAAGCATTTTCATTTGGAAGTTAATCAACAGTTGGGCCATAAAGATGGAATCATGAGGTCCCCCCCGCCCAGAGTAAACTCTGAATAGATCAAATTTGCCAACGCAGATGAACCATACAGATTTTGAAATCCTTTCCTGATGCTTTATATTTAATGACATGCCTATTTATTTAGAAATTTAAAATGATTATGCTTACTCACATAAATTATATCTGTAATTAAATGTCTCTTTCCTCAGCATTGCAGTATAATTGTTTTATCATGGTGGTTCTTGGTTTTGAGACTCTGTAAGAATTGTCAGTTGTTGCATTTACTTTAGACCATAAGCAATGGATGCAGATTTTATATGTAGTGCAAGATCTTGAGTTTCCTAATCAGTTTTTATGTTACTTAAGCAGAATAGAAAGCATAGCCATATGTAAAAACTGAGTCCATGTACTATAGGGGGAAGATGTATGTTGGTACCTTTCTAACACCTGCAGTTTCCATTATCCCTCTTCTGCAGCCAGGCTTTAGTAGTGGGATCCTCCCACACTCCCCTTAATATGAGTATCATGGGGTCCTTACATAAGTTCCCAATTACTGCAGGTCAAGATTCAATCAAAAGAGTTCTTTTTTCAATTGCAGTTCACTTAAATAAAGTAATCTCACATTCAAAGTCCAGAGTACTGCAGAGGGCATAGAGTGATAACAAACAGGATGACAAGTTAGAAGGGACATGCTGGCTGGGATGACTCAGTAGGTACTGGGCTTTAAGCAAAGAGTAGTGAAGATTTGATATTCAGACTGCTGTTAAGATGTGTGTATAAAGCTACTTCTCCTTAATCTGGCTGGGTGCCCAAACCTCCTGCTAGAAGAGTCACTTTTAAGTGTTAAATTTATCCCTCAATTTTCTTTTTTATAACCTAACAGTCTCTTTAGGTTCTCACAAAGTAGAGTGGTAGGAAATTTGTATTTTTTTCTATGAAACTTTCTTCCGCTGAAAGCTTGTTGGAAAATGAGAACTATGTTTTGCAAATAACCCCCAGAGTTTTGATGGACTGTATATGTATATTCTGTGAAATACAGTGAAATGCTATCCTTCAGAGATACCTCACAGTTCATACCACCAAAGACATCGAAAGCATTCTAACAATAATAAATACCACAGGTCTTTAGAAACAACACACACACATACAATGAGGTTATTTTTAGTTCTTAGGCAAGCACAGTGACTGTCAAATAAATTATACAGCACATTTTGGAGTGATAGATTAGTAAATTGTCGAATCTCCAAAATATAGCTGTTTGAGTTTTTTAAAAAGAGATTTTTTTTTTCTTTTCAGCAGCTCCAATGAGAAAATAACAAAAAGAGAAATGTTCATGGTTCCACACACGAAAGATGACAGGATGGATTATGAACTTCTAGGTTACATCTAGCTGCACATGTATTTTATTTGGTCTGTAAACTGTTTTTAAAAAATTAAAATATTAACATTTTTAAATCAAGGTATTTAAAATAAATTTAGCAGCTTCTGACATCCCTGGGAAGACATGGCAACATCTGGCCCTGTCTCCTCCATGGTAGTATTTCCTTGGAGCAGAATAGTTGCTGCCCTGTTTCATTGCAGGTGGAGGGGTAAAGGCTCACTTTGTTTTGGCTAGGCCTGCTTTACTCGTTTAGGATACCTGCCTGCCCCTGCTGGCCATTCTGACCCCTGACTAAGGAAAACCACAATAGCCTTCTGCAAATGTGTTCACAGCTGAGACAGGAAGAGGCTTAGTTTGTGTTGCAGAGAGAACTGGCATCAGTGGGGGCTCTCAGGGGTTGTGTGGGGGCAGTGAGGAGCATTCTAGGCACGTGGATTTAAGCTCCAGTGTCAGTGAATTTTAGACACAACTTCTCAGATCTGTAACTCACAGAAAGTGTTTGGACATAGTCACATAACCATCTATGAGGGAAAATGAAGAAGGGATTCCTTTATTATCTTAGTAACTGTATTTTATCTACTTTTTAGGAATTCTTCAATGCTTAGATTAAAATATTGTTTTAATTGGATAATACTATCACATAATTCAAAAGATGTTAAAAGATGCACAGTGGGATGTCAGTCTCCTTCCATTTCTGTCCCTCGTGCCTCAGCTCCCCTCTGGGCAGTAACCATTGTGTGTCTTTCTTGTGTGTCATTCCAGAGATGTTCTATGCATATGCACACTTATGTCCTTTTCCTTACATGAATAATAAGTCATTATATATGCTGTGCTGCCCTTGCATTTTTCCCCTTGCATATTTTAAGCTAAGTTTACATTAGAGATCACTGCATCTTGGTACATGAAAAATGACCTTGTTATTTTTAATGTCTTTATATATGCTCTTGCATAGTTGTGTCATGGTTTATTTAACCATTACTGTATTGAGTACATATACTATATATATAATTGAGATTGTTTTCTGTCTTCCAGTGATAAAATTCTATGTATTCACAATTTTCTTCTTTCTGCACCCTCTCCTTTTTCCCCATGACTTTGATTTTGCTCACAAAACAAAATGATTGACATGAAACTTTAGGTCCACCCCTAGGCAAAAAATGCAGCAACTTTGGTCACAACAAAATTTCTTTTCCCCCGTCCATCTCTATCAGCAAAACCACTACGTTTAGTTTCATAAAAAAGAGATGAATAAGGGAATATGCTAAAAATTCTGGCAGTAGTTATGTTTTCACACACTTCTGGATCCATGGTTTTCAAACTTTCATGTACATAAGAATTTTCTGGGGATCTTGGTACAATGTAGATTCAGCAGGTGGGGCCTGAGGGTCTGCATTTATAACAAGTGCCAGGTGATGCCCAGATTGCTGGGTTGGGCCACCACACTTTGAGTAAAAAGACTTGTGGAAATTTGTTGCCATTTCATTTTAATGTAGTGAGTGGTGATGTTTAGATTTCACAAATACCCATAATCATCCTGTTTCACAGGCTGGGAGTAGTGAGGTTGGTGGCCAATAGTGGTGTCTTTTGCTTATATGAAAGTTGAATAAATAGTCTATGTTTAGTTTCTGTTTTAGTGTATTTTATAAAATCCTTGATTTAGGTGTGTGATACACTTTAGTTGGTATATTTTCAAATTAATATTTTAGTCTATAAATTAAGATTATAGAGATAATGAAAGAGCTTCTGCATAACAAAAGGAACTATCAGCAGACTAAACAGACAACCTATAGAATGGAAGAACATTTTTGCGAACTATGCATTTGACAGAAGTCTAATATCCAGCATCTATAAGGAACTTAACAAATTTACAAGGAAAAAATGAACCCCATAAAAAAGTGGGCAAAGGACTTGATAGACACTTTTCAAAAGAAGACATACATGCGGCCAAAAATCGTGTGCAAAAAAGCTCAACATCACTGATCATTAGAGAAATGCAAATCAACACCGCAATGAGATACCATCTCACACCAGTCAGAATGGCTACTATTAACAAGCTAAAAAAGTAACAGACGCTAGTGAGGTTGTGGAGAAAAAAGAATGTTTATACACCTTTGGTGGGAGTGTAAATTAGTTCAACCATTATGGAAGATAGTGTAGTGATTCCTCAAAGACCTAAAGACAGAAATATCATTTGGTCCAGTAATCTGATAATCCCATTGGTATTTTTTGGGTATATAATACCAATGGGATTTTTTTGGGTATCTAATACCAGTGGGATTATGGAAAAATCTTGGCTATATACCTGAAGGAGTATAAATCATTGTGTTATAAACACACATGCATGCATATGTTCATTGCAACACTATTCACAATAGCAAAGATATGGAATCAACCTAAATGCCTATCAATGATAGACTGGGTAAAGAAAAGGTGGTACATATACACCATTAAATACTATGCAGCCAAAAAAAGAACAAGATCATGTCCTTTGCAGGAACACGGATGGAGATGGAGGCCATTATCCTTAGCAAACTAACACATGAACAGAAAACCAAATGCTGCATATTCTCATTTATAAGTGGGAGCAAAATGATGAGAACACATGGACACATAGAGGGGAACAACACACACTAGGGCCTATTGGAGGGTGGGAGAGAGGAGGGAGAGGATCAGGAAAAATAACTAATGGGTACTAGGTTTAACATGTGGGTAATGAAATAATCTGTACAACAAACCCTCATGACACATGTTTACCTCTGTAACAAGCCTGCATATGTACCCCTGAAGTTAAAATAAAGGTTAAAATAAAGATTACAGAGATAGAAATAACTTTAACTTCTCATTTTATTTGTTTTCTTTAAAGAGATTATTTACATATAGATTCATATGGGAATAAAATTTAATTGCAAAGTAAAACCAAGGTAATTTGACCAGGTTGTGGTGACTTAATTATCTCTTTTCAGTGGATTGTAAATTCCTTGAGGACAAGATTTATTGAATTGAATTGTCCTTTTATAAATTTGCTATTACCTATGATGAAGATTTTCTCCTTGCCCAAACTTTAATTATACTCCTCTGAGCCCTTTTCTCAACTAGCGACCTTGGCCCCAGACCTCATTCCTGTATTTGATCTTTCTAGCCTGGCTTTAGCAATAATCTTTTTAAGTGATAGCTGGTCACCGTGATGTCTAATCAAGTTTCTCACCCCACCCTTGATGTCTAAGTCATTGGCCTGCCTTTAGCAAGAATCCTGTTAGGAATTAATTTAGCAAGAATTCCCTTACTCCTCTTAGTAGTTTTCTACCCACTGAACCCCTTATCTGCTCTAACACTGGCTATAAATCCCTGACTATCTATCTTTGTTGTATTTGGAGTTGAACCTGATCTCTCTCCCCTGTTGCAATACTGCTATTGCAATAGTCCTTAATAAAGTCTTCCTTACCATTTTAACACATGTCAGAATAATTTTTGTTTAACATTTGTTTCTTGCCCCTCTGCACAATTTTTGTCTTGTATCATTTTAAAAGCAATAAAAGGGAACAAAGAAGTTCACTTCTCATCACATTTCATTTTTCTATATGATTTAAACTAACTTAATATTACTTCCAACTAAATTCATATTAAAGGTGAAATCACTCAAAATTTAAAGTTTTTAAAGATAGATTTTGAAATAAATCTGAATTCTTACTAATCTTTTGGGTCATTAAAATATAATTTTCAGTAAAAGGTAAAGTTATGACTCATATAGGTATAAAAATGAACACATGCTAAAGATTTTATTTTACTTATATGATTTGAGAGAACCAGGCAGATGTTATAACTGGCTCAAAGGAAAAGTCAAAATGGCACAAATTTATATGGACTAAAAGAGAGTTAAGATGAGTTGCAAATTGAGATAAAACTGTTTTCTCCACAGTAGGAAGTCAATTAAAATCACAGCCTGTAAGACAGAATTTATATATATCTATCAGTTATCTACAACTTACGAAGTGGTGCAAAATAGCTCAAAGACATTGTACAAGGCTAGAGTCAGACAGCTGGAAAGAGTGTGTTTATAGATGATGTGTAGGTTTTCGTTGAAATGTAATAATTTTTTTCCTTCAAGGTGGAGGCCATCTTTGACTTAGGTGTACGCCCTAAGTATTGACTTAGAATTTAACTTTGAAAAGTACAAAATAACCCACTAATTGGGGATGACCACACACAAGTAAATGGCAAAGACATAGAGATCAATATGTGTGCTACAAAACATGGGAAAAACTAGGGACATTTTATAACACATAGCTTCTGGCTTTCAACCTTGTAGCCTGAAGACTGAAAAGAAAAAGAAATACCTTTCCCTGTACTGGCAAATTTGAGCTTCATGGTGTGAGTTAACTATCCGCCCAGATCAGGTTGTTTGTAAGAATTCATTTTCATAATTGAGCGTATGCACTTGAACCAGAAAATATTTAGAGAAGACAATATAGTGGGAAATCAACAAAAACAGCTTGAAACCGTGCCTTGAACTAAATTCGCATTCTTCAGAAACCAAGTTGAGCCAGTGAATGCAGGAGTGGAGACATTGTGTGGCCTCCATTCTGAGAGTGCTGGTGGGAACACAGCATTGCTCAAGTTAAGACGTGATAAATCCCTGTCACAAGGTTGACTTGGGTCTTCCTCACTGGGACACAGGGCCAGAAAAATGAAACCTTCAGGTGAAATTGAGAAAGTTGTGCCTCAGGCAACTGCCATTAGGTTAAATTCTTTCAGGTGCATTTTATAGCCATTTTTTGCATACTTTTGTCACTCATTTTTGAAGTCACATTTCTGAGAGTGTTTGTTACTTTTATTTCTATGGATCCTTTTCTCTACCTCAGGGGTTAGCAAACTTCTTTTGTAAAGGGCCAGACAGTAAGTATTTTAGGCCTTGGGACCCTACTGATTCTTTCACAACTGCTCAACACCATCTTGCAATTTGAAAGCAGCTCTAGACAGTAGGTAAATGTGGCTGTGTACCAATGGCATTTTATTTATTGGTATGGAAATCTGAGTTTTATAAAACTTTCATGTGTCATGAAACATAATTCTTTTGAATTTTTTCAGTGCTTTTAAAATGTAAAAATCATTCTTAATTTGTGGTGGTATCAAGAGGCTGCTGTCCAAGTCTGGCCCTGTGGGCTGTGGTGTGCCAATTCTTGCTTTATAGAATGGATGGGATATAGTTACTGGATATAGATCAGATTTTTATGTTGTGGTTTTGTCACTTACCAGCTGAGAGATCTTGGACAAATAATCTCACCTCACTGAAATTGGGTTTCCTTTGTTGTAAAATGTGGATGATCCCTAAATACAGAGTTGTTTTATGGACTAAATAAATTATGCCAAAACCCTGTGCTTGGGCCTCCAAAAACATTGAATAACTGTTTTCTTTCTCCCTGTTCCTTTCCACCTCTTGGTACCTTCTTTTCTTTTTTCTTTTCTTTTCCTTTCCTTTCCTGTCCTGTCCTTTCTTTTCCTTTTCTTTTATTCTCTTTTCTCTTTTCTTTTCTTTCTTTTTTTTTTTTTTTTTTGAGACACAGTTTCACTCTGCTGCCCAGGCTGGAGTGCAGTGGTGCAGTCTCAGCTCACTGCAACCTCTGCCTCCCAGGTTCAAGTGATTCTCCTGCCTCAGCCTTCCAAGTATCTGGGACTACAGGCACATGCCCGACTAATTTTTGTATTTTTAGTAGAGATGGAGTTTTGCCATGTTGGCCAGGCTGGTCTCGAACTCCTGACCTCAATTGATCTGCCCGCCTCAGCCTCCCTAAGTGTTGGGATTACAGGCATGAGCCACAGCACCCAGCCCCGTATTTCTTTTAACGTCTGTATATGCAAGTTTTTGGCAGTAGCTGTTTCATTTTGTTATTAATTGAATTTTTATAAATGGCATCCAACTTTTATATTTATATTAAATATAGTATATATTTAATAGGGATATAAATATAAAATGTATTTGTATTAGGAAAGTGCTCAAGAAAAATCCTGTATCGAATTCTCATGTTAAAGTAGATAATCCGTTTCTAAATCACCCATTCTGTCAACTCATATTTCCACTTACCGGATTTTCACATTAGATTTTCTGTGTCAAGATATGCTTGTTTGTGTTTTTATCTGAAGAGTGAGAAGTGGACCTTGGACCACCCTGTCTGGAGTCATTCCCTGGGCTTCTCCAGCCCCTGAAGAAAATGTGAGTGACTACTTCATCATTTTACCTGTTGAGGCTTTGCAATGGCACTTACTCTAACCTGTGGCTATTTTCTTTTATTTGTTGATTTTTTTATTGCCAGACTCCCTCACACTTCCAGGATGGAAAGCACCACACCTGTCTTACTTAAGACACCACACCTGTGTGCCCATTGCCTCACATAGTGCCTAGCAATGAGTAGGTGCTTTATGAACACTCAGTGCTAGAATGAATGGACAACATTTATGAAAGTGACTGTATTTTGGAAGCAGGAAAGACGATCTGCAGTTTTCTGTGTTACAAGTGGATATTTGGAAAGTTGGTTTTTAGAAAGATTGGTGTTGAACAGATTTGAGTTAATCTTGAACTGTGTGTATTAAAAATCAAACAAACATACAGCAGAAGGGACCAATTATTGCTAATAAGGAAGGTGTTAAAAAAATACAGCCTGCTTCTGTAAATGTGAGGTTTGTAAGTAGAGACAATAAGAACCACATTCCAGGATCCAAGAAGAACTCTAAAGGATGTCAGGTCTATTTTACTCTACAGTGTGTCTGGTGAGTGTTTGTTTCCTTGGCAAGGTGGTATAATGAAAACAGAAGTATAGACGAGGAGTAGAGAAGAAAGCACTAGGTTTGGAATCAAAATACCTGGATTCAAGTCTGGCTCTTCAGATGACTGTGAGGACTGGCAATGTGACTTTGGGCAAGTCCACTAACTTCTCTGAATTAAATAACTACTCTCAGGTTGTTTGTGAAGATCAGATAGCATGTGTGCTAAGTGCTTGTGTAACCTCTTAAATTCTGTACCTATCTAAGTTAGTATATTTTAGTATAAATGACTGACAAAAAACGGTGGCATCAGCTAGAAGACAGTAATGGTGCACAAATTTGGATTCCTCCTGCCCAATTCCTAAGAGCCCTATGCACGCTTTGCTGATGTATGAGGCAAAAGGACAACAGTTTCTTCCAACCCTGGGTTCCAGGCCTTAAGAATCTAGACAAGGTGATGGTAATGGTGATGATGGTGCTGCTGCTGCTGCTACTGACATGAATGATAAATTCAATAGCAGCTATTATTTCATTAGTATCCATTCTTTGTCAACCAATTTTCTCTCTCTTCTTCTTTCTTTCTCTTTTTTTTTCAGAGTCTCACTCTTGTCACCCAGGCTGGAGTGCAATGGCTCGATCTCAGCTCACTGCAACCTCTGACTCCTGGGTTCAAGATATTCTCCTGCCTCAGTCTCCCGAGTAGCTGGTATTACAGGCATGCGCCACCACACCTGGCTAATTTTTGTATTTTTAGTAGAGACAGAGATTCACCATGTTGGCCAGGCTGGTCTTGAACTGCTGACCTTGGGTGATCTGTCCACCTCAGCCTCCCAAAGTGCTGGGATTACAGGTATGAGCCACTGTGCCCAGCCTGTCAGTCAATTTTCTAGGCAATTTATAGACATTACTCAAAATTTTTTGAACAGGCAAAAAACAAGTAACTCTATTAAAAGATGGGCAAAAGATATGAACAGACACTTCCCAAAAGAAGACATACAAGTGGCCAACAAACATATGAGAAAATGCTCATCATCACTAATCATCAGAGAAATGCAAATCAAAACCACAGTGAGATACCATCTCACACTGTCAGAATGGCTATTATTAAAAAGTCTAAAAACAACACATGTTGGTGAGGCTGTGGGGAAAAAGGATGCTTATAAACTGTTGTCGAGAATGTAAATTAGGTCAGCCACTGTGGAAAGCAGTTTGGAGATTTCTCAAAGAACTTAAAACAGGACTACTATTCAACCTAGCAATCACATTACTGAGGATATATGCAAAAGAAAACAAATCATTTTATCAAAAAGACACATGCATGTATATGTTCATGCAGCACTATTCACAATAGCAAAGACATGGAATCAACCTAGGTGCCTATGAATGGTGGATTGGATATAGAAAATGTGGTACATATATACCATGGAATACAATACAGTCATAAAAAAAGAACAAAAGCATGTCCTTTGTGGCAACATGGATGCAACTGGAGGCCATTATCCTAAGTGCATTAATGCAGGAACAGAAAACCAAATGTTCTTACTTGTAAGTGGGAGCTAAATGTTGGGTACTCATAGACATAAAGATGGCAACAATTGATACTGGGGACTACTGGAGGAGTGAGTGAGGGAGGGAAGCAAGGGTTGAAAAGCTAACTGTTGAGTACTATTCTCAGTACCTGGATGACAGGATCATTTGTACTCCAAACCTCAGCATCATACAATATACTCAGGTAACAAACTTGCCTATATACCCCCTGAATCTAAAATAAAAGTTGAAACAAAAAAAAAAAATTCTTACCACATTTCTGTGGGATAGTTTTTGTTGTTATTATCCCCATTTTTCCTCATAAGTAAACTCAGGCTTAGAGAACTTAAATAACTTGCTCAGTGTTTCACAGCTATTTACAGTGGAGTCTGGTGATTCCATCTTTGTTGAGGCCCATCTTTGTTCTATGCCAATGAGTCTCTAACAAGCATCAGTTTCACCTGAAGCGATTGTTGATACCTAGATGGCTGGTCCCTCTTCCAGAGTTTCTGATTTCATCAGTAGGTCTGAGATGAGGCCTGAGAGTTTCCAAGAGGTACTGCTGGTCTGGGAACCACACTTTGAGAAGCCTTCTTCTATACCATGCTTTTTGTGCTTTGCCTTTGTTCAGGTTCAAAATACCCAGAAATCCTAGGTTCTTTTGGATTTTAGGACTCTTTGGAGAAGATGAGAGGACTTTCAGAGACTTTATATTTTTATCTAGGTCTTTTCTAGAATCTGGAATACCATTGGACCTTGTAGTAGGTGATCGATCTCCATGGTTTTTCAAATCAGTAACACTTACATCAAAATGCAGTCTCTCCTTTTCCTTCTCCTTTGGTCAGCTTTGGTCTAGATCTGTTTTTCTGATTTATAATAGGAATATTCATAGCCCAATTTGTTCACTGATCCATGGATCTACTGTGTTGCTGATGTACGCAACTGCAAGGGAGAAGAAAATATTTTTCTTTTCCATTGCCAGGTTAATGGCTGAGGCCCCTATAACAAAAGAAAGATTAATAAGAGAAAGGGACATAAATTTATTTAGTATAAGTTTTATGTGACATGGAGAAAGGAAGACTCAAAGAAACAGGGAAACTTGTATATTTTTATGCTAAATTTGATGAAGAGCAGACAGTTGTGTAGAAGTATGATTGGACATAGGGGGTGTGATCTAAAGATAATAAACTGGGGGGAACTTAGCAAGCCTTCTTTATTCAGATTTTTCTCTTTATCTCTGTGCCTTCAGAGATAATGACATTCCTTTCCTCCAGGCATAGGAAGGGTGCCTCTTGAATAAGGCCTATGACCCACTTTAGAGGAAGGCTAGAGATTTCTTTTATGGCCTGCTTCAGGGGAAAAGTGTGGGAGAAGGTCAGAGAGACTTTCCTGCTTCCACTGTTTTGTCAAATGCCGACATGCCATATTTTGGGGTAGTGTGTCAAGAACCCCATCACAACAAATATTGTTTCAGCCTTCTGTGTGCCAGACACCTAACTGGGTGCAATGGTATGTAAAACCGGATATGGTCCCTACCATCAGCGAGCATTATTCTAGTGAGGAAAAGAGACATTAGTCAGAAAATCCAGACAGATAAATGTCAATGGTGTTAAGTGCAAGAACTATAACAGGGAGATCTAAACTTCTTGGCAGAGAGGAGGGGTAGTTAGGCAATGCTTGTTTATGGAGGCTATAATTGTGCCCAAATCTGAGTGAAGATTAGGAATTAACTAGGTCCAGAAGCTGGAGTGGGGAGGAGGGAAGAACATTCCAGGCTGGGAAATGGCATGTGCAGAGAGTGTGAGAGACAGGAGTACAGCACAGTCCTACAAGTGAAGTCTCGAAATTGATAGCCTTAGTCCAAGATCTATACATGTATTAAAGAATAATTCTCAAATAAAGGTGAAATCATGACTCTCATACTGATATAAAATGAAAACATGTTAAAGATTAGGTCAACTTATAATGAGAGAACCAGCCAAATATTATAACTAGTCTAAAGAGAATCCAAAAAGCCCAGACACATTTATATATCAGGAATACTGAAAAGAATGTTACAAATGGAGGGCAAAACTGGTTTCTGAGGGTGGGGTAGGGGGATTAATTGAACCTCCAGAGAACAGAACACAATTTGCTTGCCTATAGGCAAGAATTATTTTGCATTGTTATCATTTATCTATAATTTACAGAGTTGAAAATTAGTCCTCATAGAATCAGAATCTGATAATATGGTAATTGGGAAATGGGATCCTTTATATTCTAGATGAAGCAAAGTTTTATACTGAAGCACAATTTTTTTCCTGCAAATGCTTGAATCATAATATATGTTTATGGTTTAGAGCTAGTTGGATTTGGTTTTAAGGGCTTGATAGCATAGATGTTACCCCAAGAAGTATGGGGTGGAATTCACTGCTAAACCATTTATACACTACCTTGAGTATGATCCACCATGTTGAGTAAAATATCCAGCTGGCCATACCTTGGTACTTCCCTTTAAACACAAGTTTAACAGATGGCCTATGACTACCTTTTTCCTTCTCCTGGTAGGAAGCAAGAAAAAAACCTGAGAAGAAGCAATCAGAAAGTCAGACTAGAACTTGGCTTTCATTCAGGAGCCCCTCTTAGAACAAAGAGGGGCTTTCCAGTGAATCTGAAAACCAAAGTGGTTTGCCAAGGTGAGGTGTGCCACAGACTCCAGAGGGTTTACAACAGAGAAAAAAATTTCTTCAAGTGTGTCAGGTAGAGTCTTAACTAAAAGAAGGATAATCATTTGGTCAATTAACAGGATGACTGTTGCTGATGAGTTTTAATTGATGATTTGCTTTGTTGAAATGTTAAACCAGCGTTGACAGGTACTACAACTCTTTAACTGGCACTCCCACTCAGGAGTCATGTGTTAAACACTTACCTAATATTTGAGAGAATCAAAAAATCATCCCGTTTTTTCTCTTGTAAACTGGATGTGTTCAGTGTAGACACCTTGTTTTCCATATCAGGGTCGTATTGTACAAGGAGACAGAATTAGAATGGCACTTTTAATTCTATTTGTAGCAAGTTAGAGTTCCAAATGGCAATTTCACGACTGTTTGATAAAAAATGTCACTGGTTTTGATTGAGTTGTGTTATTAACCTCTAGCTAGAGAGTCTTTTTATTTTTATTTTTTGATTTAGTGCAAATGTGTCTGACTTCTCAGTAATGCATGCTGTCTCTTGTTTCTGCTAGAGAACGCTGGCCAGTAGAATAATGCATTTCATTGGCTGGTTCAGTGCAAAGACTTTAAATAAAGAAATGGCAAGATAAGAAAGTTGCCTATAGGCGATAGCAGTGCTGATGTTTTTTTCTTCTCCAAATGTAGTACAAGATATTAAAACTGTCTCTTAAAAATAGCAATTTGTGGCTGGGTGCAGTGGCTCATGCCTGTAATCCCAGCACTTTGGGAGGCCAAGGTGGGCGGATCACGAAATCAGGAGATCGAGACCATCCTGGCTAACATGGTGAAACCCCCGTCTCTACTAAAAATACAAAAAATGAGCCGGGCGTGGTGGCATGCACCTGTAGTCCCAGCTACCTGGGAGGCTGAGGCAAGAGAATCACTTGGATCTGGAGGTGGAGGTTGCAGTGAGCCGAGATTGCGCCACTGCACTCCAGCCTGGGCGACAAAGCAAACCTCCATCTAAAAAAAAAAAAAGCAATTTGTTTTCTTCTGCTCTAATCATGGGTGAAAGTGCTGTGAAATCTGTATCTTTTTTTTTTTTTTTTAACTGTGGATGATTCAGTTAAAAGGAAAAAGTTAAAAAATAAAAAATCCCAACCCAGCAAAAGCAGGCTTACTGTTTGCTAAATCAGGCCTCTAATAGTAAACAGCTCAAAAAGCCTTCCATAATATTTATGAACAATTTCTCAATTTTATACCCAGATATTTCTATTACACTCTGCAAAGGAGATAATCTGAGCTGAACAAAAGAGAAGAGCCTTTTTTAGATTGAATAGACTGGACAATTCAGTAGCAAAGTGCGTGATTACCAATCTTTCAAGCAAAGCTTTTATGTAAGGCAACTTTATAACTTCATCCATTCCAAAGAGAAATGCATTAAAGACCATAGGGAAAATAAAAGGCAAAAGAGAAATGTAGAGAAATAGCCCATTCTTTACATCTCTATAGCCACTTGTTTCATGGCTATCCTCACTGAGTTAACCCAATTTAAAGCCACAGTGTAACTTTAAAAAAGGCATTTCACTGTTCCCCATGGTAGTCAGTCTACACAAATAATGAGAGGACATGACTACCATTATTTTTCTTCCTTCTGTTGTTTTAAAATATACTTATCTCTTCCACTGTATGTTCCTGTGTTTTATTGCATGGGAAAAGGTAATAAGTGTCATCAATAACAGCCATCTTAACATGCTGCAGGAACTGTCAAGTAACAGTGATTATTGTAAAAAACGAGCTTTCTAATTTCCTTGTCGCTTACAGAGTAATCTAAGTGAAAATTTCCAACGTCCTATCTTTACAAAGAAACAAATACATTTATTTTTTCCTCTAATGGAAGAACTTATGTACATGATTCCTACTTGATGGTAGATCATGGCACGTTTTTCAAAGCTTGGGTCTCTCACCATTGCCTCAGAATCACATGAGGCACTTGTAAAAAGTGCAGATATCTGAGTTCTCTTCCAGAGTGATGAAATCTGATTCTTGGGGCTAAGGAGGTGGGGGTGGGGGTGTTGGAGAGGAATGTGTAGTTTTCTCAAATTCTCCAGCTAAATTATTAGCACATTTGAAGTCTGAACATTGCTTTATGGGAATGAAAAGCCTGGTGATTGTAATAAACTGTTGAATGTGATATAGAAAGAAAATATGCAGTAGTTGTGGCAGATGTTGTATATTCTTTATCTCATACTTTCCTTCATTCCCTAGTGTCAAAAACTCAAGGCACAGTCTTTTTAACTTGGCATCAAAGTTCTCAGGTACCGATCCTCACAGAAAGAGGCATGTGCACATAGGCATCCCATTTTGCACATGATTTCAGGGGGCTGATGACCCCAAAGAGCCTGACTTAAGAAAAGGAATTCTATAGATGAAAACAAATGCTGAATTAGGGAAAATGAGAACTAGTAAATTTGACTTAAGTTGGTATCCTACTGCTAATTCCAAGTCAAAACAAACAAACCAAAAATTGAAATATTACTCTAATCACAGACTTCATATTATAGACAGAAGAAATCATGTCTTATATTGTGTACAAGTATTGAGAATTAGCAAAGTAAACATTTAATAATGTTAAATGAATTCATCCCCTTGAAATCCATCCATGGACTTTGATGGCTGCTCCTTGTATCCAGGAACTTTTCAACTAATGGGATTATTTTAAGGGGAAGGGGATGTGAAGACACCAAGTGGGCAAGGAAGAAACATGGCATGTGTATCCAGGCCGCCCCTACAGTTGAGTCTTCTGTGCACTGAATGAAGATGCATATCTGAGGTGTGGGTGGGGGTTGAAATGCAGCTTGTGCACCCTATTGTGGGACTTCGTCTCTGCAGGGAGGGGAACTTTTATAATTTGCCTTTTATTTACAGATTGTATCAAACGCACACCTAACATATTCTACCTATTTTCAGCCATGAGACAGGCTAAGTTCCTGAATGTTCTCTCTCATTGGATAAAAAACTCCATGGATACCAGATAGAAAATGTTAGTCCTATTGATCTCAAATAGCATTACTTTGGATCATATGGGAGGTGACCAAAATTATTTTTAAATTATTTATTAGAATAAACTACAAGTCAGGACTGCACCAAAGCTAGAGAGAAATTAAGTATTTGTTAGAATAAGCTATTTTTTCCCCACTAATGGTAACAATTTAATATTGGGCAATCACATTTCAGTCTAAAAAAATTAGCAGCAGTGCTGGATTTTGGTCTAATATCATGGGACTTTTCCCAGTCTACATGTAAATCATCCCACCTTTGTTGCAGCAGTGGAGAAGGGCTTGTCACTAGGTCTTCTAATGGACTGCTAGAGTTTAATTATATGTTGTTTTATGGTGTCTGGCAATGTGATTCCCCTGCCTGACATAGTTTATGAGCTTTTTAAAAATAAAGATCATGTGACTTTGTGTTCTCATTTGCTAAAAAGCATTCATTCTTTGGGTTCTTGTAGATCCTATTGCTGTAGTGAACTTGGACCTGGTGTTGTTATTTTGTAAAAATGTCCTCAAAATCAAATGTCACTGAATATAAAGACAGTTCTAATTAATTAATGCAATGGAAAAGGTAAAAGGAGGGAGCATGTGAGGACTCTGCCAGGTGCTCTGGCCTTTCTGTCAGAGATGAAACCATATTCGTAATGTGAAGTAGGGGTACAAGGACTGCCTCCATTAAAGAGCAAGAGATGAAATGCCCATGTGAGTGCAGCACTGTACATTTAGTTAGACAAATCTCCCTTTAATTTACAGCTTCCTAGAGAGAGTTATATTCTGCTTCTGGTGGCCTGCGGTTTTATTTGGTTACCAATTATGGAAGCTAGTTGTGTTTCAGGAAGCCCTCTGAAAGGTGTGCATAGACAATAAATCCTGTGCCTTGCTAGACGTATTGATGGTTCTGTTGATGAGAGGTTGCACAAAGTCAATAGTTGATTCTACTGCGTGGTGACATTTGCATTTAATAAAAAGTCTTGTTTATTGTAGCTTCTGTATAAACACAACTGGCACCTACTGTGTCACAGTGGAAAATGCTAAGTAGAAAAGAAAATGTATGGCTGAGAAGGAAACGTAAATATGAATGATTATTGTTATTTTTTGTTTGTTTTAAAATAATGTGGACCTCAGGTCACAGAGGTAGATTAATTATAAGTTTGGTTCATGACTCACTGTCATCCATGGTAAATTCTGTTTTATTTTATAATATTTATTTCATAATATAACAGGCATAAACCCAACAAGTAAATATTACCAATAACTTACAAATTTGTGCCCCCTTTTATCCCATCTCTACCTCTTCGTAAGAGGTAACCAACTACTAACCTCATGTTCATCATTCCCTGTCCTTTTTAAGTTTTATATGTACTCCTATCAATAGCCATTTAGTTAAATTTTTAAATTTTCTTCTATGAATGGTGCTGCTATGAATGTTCTTATACACATTTCCTGGTACATATGTGAGAAAGTAAAACATGGCTCTACTGGCAACTAGAACATAAACAATACTCAGAACAAGGCATAAACAAAGCCATTCTGTGACCCTACAAATGACTAAACACCCCTTTCTTCTGACTATCACTGTCTTTCTCAGAGTGACTGCTGCTTCTGGGCAAACTTCAGTTTGTTTCAATTCCCCAAACCCTAGAGGAAGCCACTGATAATTCCCCTTTACTAAGATGCTCCCAAGGTTCCTCTGGGGTACTTTCTCCTTTGCTACAGTAAGGTGAACCACTTAACTTTGACTACCAGGGTGTTCCTGGTGGCCTTTCACTGATGGAGTTTGACATATGTGCTCAAGTTTCTCTTGGGTATTAATATATACTCAGAAGTGAATTTGCAGGATGGTAGATTATATGAAAACGCAAAGCTTATAATCTTTAAAAATCTTGCCAATCCCCATTCAAGTGTGTCTCATCACATCTTACTTTCATCCACCATGAAAAAAATAATCTACTTGACCCATTTCTGCGCACACATTAAATGTGCAAGACAATCTGTATATATATATAGATGTATCCCTTACAACATATGGACAACTCACTTCTTTTCTTTAAAGGAATATATGTTTATTCTCTCTGTTGTCGTATGGTATTTTCAGTAGTTGAATATGCTTAGCAAAATTTATGTTTAGTCTGTGGTTTATTTATCTTTTTAAAAATTCAGGTGAAGAATCATATCCATGAGGTTTTCTTTAATTATAGCTGCCTTTTCATTTTTTGAGTGACCCAAAACAGTGGTTTTCCAAACTTTAGTAGGCATGTAAGAATCATCTCAAGAGTCTGTATTTGCAGGAGAATCTCTAGAGGATTGTAAGGTGGAAAGAGGGTCCTATAATGTGATGCAAATAGATGAATTAGTCACCAGTGTCAAGAGGAAAGCCCCCTTGCAGAGTCATGCTTTGTCTCACCTAAAAGGTGAAGCATTGGCATGATGTTGCTAATTACAGAAAGATGTTAATGAAGTGGATATTAAACTGAACTGGGACACAGTATAGATTATACCATAAGTGAGTGGTATTTGGTGAATGAATGAGTGTAATGCAAGGGAAATTATATAAACTTTACCTCTTAAACTTGGAGGAGGGGTATGGTATTTTCTTGAATCTATTTAAAATTTTAAATGTATACCATGTGTACCATGCTAGGTATACATGGCAAACCAAACAGACAAAATTCCTGTCTCAGGGACTTTGGGTTCTTGGTGGAGAGATAGACCACAAACAAATGATTTCAACATTATTTAGGGACCGTTTCGATAAATGTTATGAAGAGGAAGTTCAGGGTGCTGTGAGAATGGATAACCGGGGCCTCCCTTAGTTTGGCATCTCCCCAAGGTCACCAATGTTTCTGTGAAAAAGTGAGGTTTAAGTAGACTTAAAAAATGGTAGGTATATGAGTTAGGGGTTCCAAGACCATTACCAGGTTCAATGATTTGCTAGGAATACTCACAGGACTCAACATATAGTTGTACTTGCAGCCATGATTTATTACAGCAGGATAAAAAGCAAAATCAGCAAAGGGAAAAAGCGTATGGGGTGAACTTCAGAGGAAACTTGATGCAAGGTTCTGAGAGACCTCTTTGAGTGGAGTCACATAGGACATGCCTAATTCCTTCAGCAATGAGTTGTGACAACACATGTGAAATGTTGTCCAACAGAGAAGCTTGTTAGGGCATCAGCACCCAAGGCTGTTATTGGGGGCTGGTCACGTAGATACTCTCTGGCTAGCACATACCAACATTTTAGACTCCCAGAAGGAAAGCAGGCATTTAGCATTTCATTATTTGAACAAACAGTTCGGGCACAGTGAGCCACTCTTATCAGTTCTGGGAATGATGGCAACCTTCCCAAATCCATGTTCCCAGATGCCAGCCAAGAGTCAACTTTGCAAGCAGGTCTATTTCTCTTATGTCTCTTTTATCATCATAAAGTGAAGTCTGTAGATATTACCTACCTACCTGCAAACTTTTTTAAATTCTAAAAATAGCAACCTCAGGCCTTCTATGGTAACTCTTTTCTGCACAGCATAATCACTGACAAAAGTAGGAATGAAGTAGCATGCTGTCTTAGTCTTGCTTTAAAATATTTCAACGAAGAAGAAAAAAAGGAGAAGATGAATGAAGCAAATGTGGGAAAATCTTGATCATTGTTCAACCTGGGTGGATAGGTACTTGGAGCTTCATTATACTGGTCTCTCATTTTATTTGAAAACTTTTATAATAAAAAGGAAAAAAAAGAAACAAGAAAGAATAGTAGGTGTTGACTAGGCATGGAGAGGGCTAGAGTTTGTTTATTTCTGTTCTATTTGATTCAGTTTAATTAAAAAAATTAATCTACCTCCTTCAGTTTAATTCAATCAATTATTATTTAGCATCTGTTTTTTTAGGGCTGTAGCAAAGTCCTGTGAAAGTTACAAAGGTCAGCACCACATTGAATCTCTGTGTCTGCGGGCTCATCCATGAAATGGGTGTGCTCATAAGTTCCCCTCTCTTATGAGGGGACTTTGAATATCCAAAGAATTGTTGGAAAGTGAAAGAAACCAGCTGCTCCAAGTTTCATTAGCAGCCATGAATGTTATAATAAATGTAGATTGCTGCCTTGGGGAGGCATGAGATTCTCTTACTGGCTTGGAAGAATATTCAATGAGGCAGAACCTTCCTGAAGAGAGCGGAAATGATGGCAGGGATATTGCCTGGGAGTATTGCCTTTGGCAGTGCCTTGGCAGGGGAAGAGGGCCTGTCGGGTCCTCCCTTTGAGGGGGTGAGATGATGTGAACTAGCTTTTATTTAAAAGGGAATAGATAAGCTATTGAATTGGAGCGCATCTGAGGGCTTTATTTGAAAATGCTTTCAAAAGCTGTTTTGACAAGAACAGGGAGGAGGCAGTGGTATCATTAAATAAGCTGGCAACTTTTGTAACCAGCATTTTGGTTTTCCACCTCAAGGGAGAGTCAATAAACTTTGATTCCCAGCATTAATGTAATTATTTTGATTTTTCTGGCTCATTCCAGGGAAGGCTGCAGAGCTGCAATATCAGATGGCCGAAAGCAATGCAGAAATCCCATGTCCCCAAGGACACGCGCTGCCGTTCAGAAGTAGCAGGAGAGGGGGTGGAATAAATCATTTCCTCTGATCTTGTTAGTGTTGAGAATATTTTAGGGGGTAGCAAATGCATTGCAGGTCTAATACCAGAAGGCTACTGCAGGCAGAAGGAAAAAAAATAACAAAATTTCTCTGTTTTTCCTTTAAATATGATTTCCTCTTTATATATTTTTAAAATTGTTTTATGAGGGGTTTTTCCCCCCTTTCTGATTCTGCAGGTTCTTCCTTCTACATTATCATGTTTTCTGTCATCCAGGGATTCTTCCTGATACTGCCCCTGGCAGCTGTAATATACTTAATGTCAATTGTTACTCCAGTAATATGTTCGGTTCATTTAGTGTAAATGGTCCTATCATTCTGGGAGGTTTCCCTGAGCCAAGTGAGAAATGGCTTTCATGAATATCCAGGCTTGCATGGCTAGAGGAATCTGCCACGTGCGAGCCTGGTAATTATTTTTTCTTTCTAGAAAATATACTGTATTTAATTTTTAAAATGCCAGCGATTTGGGGTTTTTTAAGACAATGGGCAGTTGTGGAAAGAATAGAGCAGTTGAAATTTCTTCAAGTTGGGAGCAGAGGCACAGAATGTATTCATCTTGAGGAGTTAAACTTTGATGTGAGGAGATATACATAGTTGCAAACTGTGTTTTTTCCCTTGTCCCCTAAGAAATAAAATTAAAAGGTGATATGTATGTGTTTACATATTTCATTTTTTACAAAATAATATCAAGACTTGCTAACAATAATTTAAGGCTGGGCCCCTCTTACTGTAAATTGTAAACATACCTCGAGGCCTAGGCTATGGACATTGGCTATAAATCACCATTTTCATAATAACAGCAACAACCTGGCCATGACTTTCAGAATGCTGTGAACATTGTCTTCTGTAAGCAAACTTCCACTTACAAGTTTTAGGCCTCTGATATTAGAAGGTCAGCATTCCTTACTCAGGTATATCTTTACCTGAGAAAGGATTTTTGATTTTACTTTCTCCAGTAACCTTGTCAATTTGAGCTCCATCTATATCACCAAAATGATCTGTCATGTCACTCAAAGACAAAAAGTGAATAAAGCCCAAGACATTAGATGTTTAGCAGTTTGAGGCCAAAGAAATCTGGCAATTTTGACTTTTTCCAACTGGGGGTTCACTATCATCAGTCATTTGTTTAGTGTCTACACACTCTTTTCTACCCTTTAAAAATTGTATTTCCTCTATTTAAAGAAGCATGGATTTTCCATATTTTAATGTTTCTGAAGCAATATCTTACAATTGATATGCTCACTTAGCATCTATTTCTTCATGTTATCAGCCAAGCTATCATTAAGCCAACTATTTTTCAATTTATGGCAACTTGGATTTCAGGAGATGTTATCTCTCAATTTCCTCTTCCTTTCTTCATCTCTGCTGCTATCACTTGAACTTGGACCACTATTGTCTTTTTTTTTTTTTTTTTTTGAGATGGAGTCTTGCTCTGGCACCCAGGCTGGAGTACAGTAGCGTGATCTTGGCTCACTGCAGCCTCCGCCTCCCAGGTTCAAGCAATTCACCTGCCTCAGCCTCCTGAGTAGTTGAGACTACAGGTGCGTGTCACCACGCCCGGCTGATTTTTTGTATTTTTAGTAGAGATGGGATTTCACCGTGTTAGCCAGGATGGTCTCGATCTCCTGATCTTGTGATCCTCCCATCTCAGCCTCCCAAAGTGCTGGGATTACAGGTGTGAGCCACCGCACCCAGCCCCACCATTGTCTTTGAATTAAACATTTGGAAAAGTTGGCTAACTCGTCTACCCACAGCCATCTTTCCTACCTCCAATCCATTTCTCATTAGATGCCATACTGATCTTATAAAACACAGCTATGATCTTCTCATTCCTCTGTTTGAAGTCCTTTCGTGGCTTTTCATTGCTTTTAAGACAAAGACCTGAATAATTACAGTGGTTTGTAGGACTTTGCCTGACCAAGCCCTTGCTTTCTCATCTCATCTCTAGCTCTACCTCTTTCTCCAACCTCCATGCTAATAGGTCAGAGCACCCCAACTTCAGTCATTCAGAAGCCATGTATTTACCATATTCATGTCCTATTTGTACCAACACTTACTATTAAAAAAAGCTTATTTTTGCTAATATTTAAGTTAATTGTACAAGGAAATTGTTTTGCCACCTTAAATGGAAACTACTGTTCTTCTAATATGTATTTCAAAACACTTGAATCTATTAAAATTAAAAAGTTAGCCTTTTTATCAGCAAAAGTTCAGCTGTGTGCTTCCAGGGGTTCACTTACCACTTTTTGGCAACCAGTTCTCTAGCTGAAGCTCTCTGCTCTGTTATCTCTGAGGATTCTTCTGCCTTCAAGGGTTTGGCCTCTTTTTCTATCTCCCTGATCTACTTTCCCTTCACTTAGCTAACTCTTACCCATTCGTTAAGTTTCAGCCTAAAGAGTCTCTGCCCCAAATTAGATTCCAGTCAACTGTTTAATCCTATCAGATTAACTGCCCTCTTTTGAACTTTATAGAAATTACCTACCCACCCATATACTTAAAAAAATGGTATGATGGTTAACTACAATATAAAGAAGAAAGAAAAGGGAAGTGGCTTACAATAAGCTAAGTATTCCAATGTAAAGGCTTGGGCACAACTCTACTTGAAGACATAATGAATTAATCAAATGCTTATATCTACTTGATATGAGTGAAATTGGATTTAAGAAAAGAATATCAGGCCGAGAGTGGTGGTTTATGCCTATAATCCCAGTACTTTGGGAGGCCTAGGTGGGCGGGTTTTATTTTCTCCTCACAGTTGAGCTCAGGAGCTCGAGACCAGCCTGGCCAACATGGTGAAAACCCGTCTCTACTGAAAATACAAAAATCAGCCAAGCTTGGCCGCATGTGCCTGTAATCCCAGCTATGGCTAAAGCAGGAGAATCACTTGAACCCAGGAGGGAGAGGTTGCAATGAGCCAAGATCACGTCACTGCACTCCAGCCTGGGTGGCAGAGTGAGACTCCATCTCAAAAAAAAAAAAAAAAGAAAAGAAAAGAATATCACAAGCCATTCTGTGAAATGAGTACAAGAAATGAAAGATGAGAGGTTTGAGGGATACTAGAATAAAAGCTAACCTTTGGATACATATTAATAGTAATATACATGATGAGAAAAAGAGGGAAATAACCTTAGTTGAAGTAGAGCTAACATGCTAAGATAAATAATGCAGTTTTGAGGTAGAGAACATAGGCAAGTATGCCATTCCTGGAAATGAGTGGGACTTACTTAAAAGGGTAGCTGCAGAGTCATTCCCTATATTATGAAAAGGGACTGAGTGGTGTTGAAGAATCACAGGAAGAATACCTCTCATCTTGAAATCATGTCTTATGTTGATGCATACATTTGGTCTCTAGTTCTTAAAAAGCACTTCGGTAGGCCACAGGGAATAGGGAATGGATTGGAAAAAGAAGCAGTAATATAAGAAGCCATAAAGAAGTTGTGTGGGAGACCTCTAGGGACAGTTTCACTGTAAGACTGAGAAACAAGAAGCAAATCCAAAGTAAGTAAATAATTTTAATCAGTAATTTTCACAGTGTAGATTTCTCATCATTGTGCTACAGATTTTTTTTAAAGGTATGTACTGTGGCAGTAAAATGAAATATAAAAAAAATGCTTTCCATGAATGCAATTTGGTGGTATCCTTGACTTTCATGTCCCATGGCCAATTTAATAATATTTGGTGCTAGGCCTATTTCTCTCTTACGTATTTGCATTTGACAGATAAGAATGCAAACTAATACAGTTGTGTTATATTGGTAGACTGGGTACCAAAAGCCCCATTGCTGTCGGTGGTGGGATTTTCTGAAATAGTGAACAACTGGTAAAGTGTTGAACAAAACAAAATACATTATTCCTTCAGTTTAAATGCTAGTTGCATTTCTGAAAAATTCAGTGAAAATTAAAATGTGCAAAAGATACTTTAAGCTATTATGTAAAATAGACAATAATATTTTTTTTCTTTACCTAAGTGAATGTCTGGTGGAACATTTGAAAGTTATGAGGGATACAGGATCATTTTTCATCATGTGGGCCTGTCCTACATAAGAACATTTGGTGGCCTTGTTGCCCCTCAGAAAATATGAGTTAAATGGCTGGGCATGGTGGCTCACACCTGTAATCCTAGCACTTTGGGAGGCTGAGGTGGGAGGATCACTTGAGCTCAAGAGGAGGTGGAGACCAGACCAGCCTGGGCAATATAGGGAGACTCCATCTCTTAAAAAAGAAGGAACATAGAGAGCTCCCCACCGCTCCTCACATTTCCAAAAAAAAATCTCTCTAGGGGACAATACAAACCCCATTGATCACTACCATGTAAAAGCCTCTCAGTGGGCTCTGTATCTTCCTTCACATTTAGCACACTTTTAGTAACTTGTTCTTTGGCTGTCTTCTCTGACAGTTTGAAGGTTCCATGAGTCCAAGGAAAGTTGGACTCATTTATCATTATATCTCTCTGCCTGGGACAGTGCCAAACATATGGAAGATTTTCAACAATTACTTGTTGAATGAAGAAAAGGACAGGGGCAGTGCCTTAGGCTCCATTTATAGGTACCTTGGTAAATTAACTGGAGAGGGTTGGAGGTGACACTTGACTAGTGTACCCATGCATCTGAGTTTGCTCAGGATAGCCCTAGTTTTTACCAGTTTTCTCTGCATCTTGTCCAGTTTAGCATTTTTTTATATATACATTTTTTTGAGATAGGGTCTCAGGCTGCAGTGCAGTGGCACAATCATGGCCCATTGCAGCCTCTAACTCCTGGGCTCAAGCAATCCTCCCCCATCAGCCTCCCGAGTAGCTGAGGCTACAGGTGCGCACCACCACATATGGCTAATATTTTTGTATTTTTTGTAGAGACTGGATCTCACTATGTTGCTGAGGCTGGTCTCAAACTCCTGGGCTCAAGCCATCCTCCCATCTGTGCCTCCCAAAATGATGGGATTACAGGTGTGAGTCATGGCACCTGGCCCAGTTAAGCATTTTTTAAAAATAAAAATAATTTTACTTTGGGAAATCATTTTAGAATAGGACTGTATTTCAACTGTCAACCAGTAAAATAAAACCAATTTTTCAGTCAACAGGTGGATATTTAAAAAATTAAATTATTTTTAATAATATAAATAAAACAATTTTTATTTATTAAACTTATTAATTTTTATTTATTACTTTTATTTAATTTTATTACCCTGCTTCAGTCTCAGAAGTGTCTCATTTTGGATAATAAATTATTTATAGTCACCCTAGGCATGATCCTTAGCAACATATCAGAAGGTTGTCCTTGTCATTGTACCCAAAGTAAACCCTTCTCTTCTTTTCCCCTGGC
The DNA here is from genome assembly GCF_000001405.40 of Homo sapiens. Classification (NCBI taxonomy): domain Eukaryota; kingdom Metazoa; phylum Chordata; class Mammalia; order Primates; family Hominidae; genus Homo; species Homo sapiens. The sequence goes on along the minus strand of NC_000003.12, from coordinate 61,149,241 downwards.
ATGGGGTAGATGTCATGGAAATACCATCTATTACTCTGCCATCCACTGGTCCAATTTCAATGGTTTCTCACTTCTCTGAATGTTTTCTGTGACTGGTGATGACCTTTCAGCCCTGAAATATTTGCCTCTTAATTATTTGAGAGGTTTACTTTTAGTTTCATCAATTAGTTTTCTTTCTCTACTATACTTTCAGTTAAACGTAAGTTTTAATTGTTAAAACTAACAGATTGAGAGTGTTTCTATGGAAAACTTTATGCCTTTGAGAATCTTTCCATTGTGGCATGAAGATCCAGAAGAAGCAGTCCCCACTGGGGCATATAACTTCTTTCTCTTCTTTTGAACTCTTCATCTAGGAGTATGAGATTTTACAAATTTATGCTCTGAATTTTGTTCATTACATTTTCCTTAGATTGAAACCAATAAGTTATGAATTTTTAAATATACTGTTAAAATAAAATAACCATAAAAGGAAATATTAGACCTTGCCTTAAAGTTAAAAACTGTATGTCGTATATTTTCCCTTGTATTAATTCAAGAGAAATTATTGCATATGCTCATGAAAAAGACATATACAAGAATGTTCATGGAAGTTTTATTTATAATAGCCAAGCACTTGAGAAAATCCAAATGTCTATCCTTAGACATCATTGTAAACAAATTGTGACATAGTCATACAATGAGGTGGTACTCACCAACAAAAAGGAACAAACAACAAATATATACAATATGGATGCATCTTGAAAGCATTATGTTGCCAAAAGAAGCCACAAACAAAAGAATGCATACTGTATGCTTCCATTTGTGTAAAATTCAATAGCTGACAAAAGGAATCAATGATACTAGAAGCCAGAAAAATAGGGAGCTAGGAGACTATTGCTAGAAAGGATCAGGAGGTAATTTTCTGGAAATAACTGCATACTTTGTTTTAGGTGGAAGATTCTTGGGTTTATACATATGAAATGCCATGGAGCCATATACTTAAGATTTGTGTATTTTACTATATATAAGTTATCCCTCTAAATATACCATAGAGAGAAAATAATTCATATAGAATTTCTTTTTCATTAAAAGATGATGTGTGTTTGTTTCGAACATTAATAAAAATTAAAAGAAAATAAATCATCGATAGTCTCATCACATAAATAACTTTCTTCCAGTCTTTTGTCTGGGCATAGTTTTTTGTTTTTTTTTTTAAACTTTTCTCCCTTCTATCCTTCTTTCTATATGTATTTAACTGGACTTTTGAATCCTAGAATAATTCTTTCTGAAGTTAAAATAAGAAGTTCATTTTTGAAATTACATTTATGATGGATCGCCTTCACATTAGAACATTTATCATGAATATACTGGCCAAATGATAATGTCAATTGTAGCTAGAAAGAACTTGGAATTTGTTTGTAGTTTTTTCCAAGGGTGAAAAAGGAACTGGCTTTCCTGTAAATGAATAAGTTGCCATGATTCTCCCTAAATCTTTACTTCATTTATTTTTCTGCTCCCTGATCTCATATTGTATTTTCATACAGGGTTGCCACTGTAGGGGAATCATTTTAAACCCATGGATGTAACTATTATTTTTTTATATTTTCATACATTTATAAGTCTTCTATAAATCTTGATCGAATTTTTTTTGTTATCTTCGGGGAATAGCCATGAAGGTCTCAATACTGGGAAATTTGGGGATATCATGCAGCCTGACAATTCATCACACACTGTTCTTAAAATTCATATTGCAGCATATTAAAATTGGATCCCAAGATTCCTTGCAGAAGAACCTTGGCACTCTGACTCACCTTATAGTGAGCCAACATGACAGAAAAATACATCATTTTTTTCTACCGTCAAAGGAAACAAGTATGAAAATAATGGAAAAACGTGTAGTCTAAAACAAAGCAACATAATTTGCAGTGTGAGTTGCCTAATGTATTATATAGTTATTATCTCGCCTAAGCTCCCTAGGTAATATAACTGCTAATATTAAAAATCTGTTTTGTTTTGTCGCCTCAACAGAACGTTTTGCCTTGAGACTTAATTAATACATTTCTGTCTTAGGCATGTATTTTAGACACACTGGGTGTACCCTTAAATAACCTTCAGGAACAATACTCATTTCTGCACTGTTTTGAGAGGTAGAAAACAACAACAAAAAGAACTTGGTACTCTGTGTTCTCTCTGTAACCAGAAGAGTTTTGTTGGAAGCATCTTTATTAGAGGCAGCTGTCAGTATGGGATTTATTTCCACTGGGTGGAAACAAAAGGTGCTACAGAGGAATGTACATAAAGATATCACCCATGAGGCATTTGGATAAATAAAAGTGGGCAATATTAATGATGCTCATTAGCAGATGTCACTGTTGGGGATGAAGTAAATTCCACACCAAAGTGTTTCATATATTACACTTTTCAAAACTGTCAACTTTTTGACTTTGATGTATGTCCATGTGAATAGTTTTAATAAGTTCCTACAGTAGTTTCTTTGCATATACCCTGAGGAATTCTATGGAACTGCTGGCAGCAATATCACAAAGACATTTTTTGCCTAATGATTGGTGCTTCACTTGGAAATGTGAAGGCTCAGATCATTACATTCCTACTTATTCATGGTGCAAATATTTGTCTAAGAATTAGTTAAAAAATATTGTATGACCAAGCAGATTCTGTAGTTTAAAGCAATCTTCTATGGGCTGTTGCCTGTATAACAGAATTACGTATGCATAAAACTGCTTTTACTGTAGAAGCCAAAATGCAGAATAATAGCTTGTCAAACTGTCGTTTGCAAGTGAGATCATAGATTTTATAGTCCAAATTAGGTTGTGTTCTTTTCCTTTTTGTCAGGTCATATTCTAATAACCATATTGTGCACTAAACCCTGTGATTATCCCAACACTTGACAGATGGTAGGCTGTTAATTTGTATGTAAGAGACAGTGATTGCCAGAGCCCTAACAGTATTCAGCAAAATATGAAATGTCAAAATCCACTTTTGGTTCCATTTTGCTTGATTTCATTTTAGCAAGGTAATGCTAGGCAGAAGAGTTTCAGTAGCTCAGCATATGTTTCATTTTACTACTCTGTATGGTTTTACTAACCACTAGAAATAGAAAGGATTAAGAAAGAAGTAATTTGTTTTATGTCGTGCTTTCTCCTTTCCTGTGGAGAGTGATCATCAGCCTGAAGGGTTAATTGAAGGGACTGAATGAGAGCTTAGGGCAGACAGGATTTAATTGCTCAATATTGTGGATAATTGTGGTACAGTAGTAGCATACACTGATGTTTATAAGTATGATGGGGACAAAATAATTTAAAAGTTTAAGTTAAAAGTGCACTGGCAAATTCACTAAAAAACTATTGGAACTACTAAACGAGTTCAGCAATGTGGCAAGATACAAGATCAATATACAAAAATAAATCTTATTTCTATATACTAGCAATGAACAGTCTGGAAAAGAGATTAAGAAAATAATCTTATTTATAATAGCAGCCAAAAAATAAAATATCTAAGAATAAACTTAACAGAAGTATAAGATGTGAAAACTAGAAAGTAGTTGAAAGATATTAAAGAATAAATAAATGGAAAGATATGCCATGTTATTGGATCAGAAAACTTAACATTTTTAAGATTGCAATACTGGCCAAAATGATCTATGTATTTAATGGAATCCCTTTAAAAATCCCAGCTGTTTTTTTATTTTTTTCCCCAGAAAGTGACAAGCTGATCCTAAATTGCATGTGGAACTGCAAATATCCAGAATAGCCAAAACAATCTTGAAAAAGAAGAAAGAAGTTTGAAGACTCACACTTACTAGTTTCAAAACTTACTACAAAGCTATAGCAATTAAGGCTGTGTGGTACTAACAAAAAAGGTAGATCAATAGAATAGACATAAACCCTCGCATTTATGGTCAATTGATTTTTAACTAAAGAACCAAGACAATTCAATAGGAGAAATATTAGTCTTTTCAATAAATGTTGTTAGGACAACTGGGGATGTCTACATGCAAAGAATGAATTAGGACTTGTACCTCACACCATACACAACAATTAGCTCAATATGGATCATAGACCTAAATTTAAAAGGTAACAGTATAAAATCCCTTGGCAAAACCATATGAATTAATCTTTGTCATCTTGAGTTAGGTTTCTTAGATACAATACCAAAAGCACAGGTGACAAAATTTAAAAAATAGATAATTTAGACTTTGTTAAAACTTAAAACTTTTGTGTGTCAAATGACACCATCACAAAAGTAAAAAGATATACCCAAAGATGGGAGAAAATTTTGCATCTGTTGATGGACTAGTATCTAGACTATATTAAGAACTTCTGCAACTCAACTGTAAAACAACAAATAACACAATTTAAAAATGTGCAAAGTATCTGAATAGGCATTTTCCCAAAGAAGATATACAAATGGTTAATAGCACACGAAGAGATGCTTAGTATCACTCATTACTAGGGAAGTCAAATTAGATCAAACCAAAACCACAGTGAGATACCACTTCATGCACACTAGAATGGCTAAAATAGAAAAGACAATAACAAGCGTTGGTGAGGATAAGGAGAAATTAAAACCCTCATATGTTTTGGTGGGATTGTAGGATGGTGCAACCACTTGGGGAAAAAGTTTGACAGTTCTTCAAAATGTTAAATATAGAGTTACCATATAACCCAGCAATTCTATACCTTCCTAGGTATGTACCCAAGAGAATTAAAAACATATCCACACAAAAACTTGTACATGAATGTTCATAGTAGCATTATTCATAATTGCCAAAAAGTGGAAACAGTTCAAATATCTATCTACAATGAATGGATAAACAAAAATGGCATATTCCTATAATGGAATGTTACTTGGCCATAATTAGTAATGAAGTGCTGAAACATGCTACAATGTGAATGAACCTTGAAAACATTATGTTAAGTGAAAGAAGCTAGTCGCAAAAGGACACATACTGTATGATTCCATTTATGTGACATTTCCAACAGAGACAAATCCATATGCATAGTAGATTAGTGGATTAATAGGGCTGCAGGGGTAGCGGGGAAATTGGAGTGACTGCTAATGCACATGGGCTTTCTTTTTGGGATGAGGAAATGTTATAAAATTGATTGTGTTCTTGGTTGCACAACTCTGAATATACTAAAAATGAATGAATCGTACAGTTTAAATGGGTGAATTTTATGGTTTGTAAATGTATCTAAATAAAGCTATAAAAAAGCACATTGGCAATAGAATAGTAAAGGTAATTCATTTATTATGTTAGCATGACAATAATTGCCTGGACTGTCAATATTACACTACTAGAGACAAAAGAATGCAATTTTTCACTTTAAAACTCCAAAAACAGATCTGCAGTTTTGTTTGTTTGTTTGTTTGTTTTAGACAGAGTCTTGCTCTGTCACCCAATCTGGAGTGTAGTGGCACAATCTCAGCACACTGCAACCTCTGCCTCCTGGGTTCAAGCAATTCTCCTGTCTCAGTCTCCCGAGTAGTTGGGACTACAGGCGCCTGCCACCATGCCCGGCTAATTTTTGTATTTTTAGTAGAGATGGGGTTTCACCTTATTGGTGAGGCTGGTCTTGAACTCCTGACCTCAGGTGATCCACCCGCCTCGGCCTCCCAGAGCGTTGGGATTACAGGCGTGAGCCACTGTGCCCAGCCAGAAAATTTTTTTTAGGTATTAATTTTCTTGACACATCTGAATGCTAAATAACGACAAGACCAAGGCTAGTCAAAGGCTGGTCAAAAGCTTTCCTCTGCAGCACCATAACTGTTTAGAAATGCCAAATGACCAGTGGTTTTCCAATAGTGTAAGCAACTATCTCTCAAAAACAATCACGTAACACAAAACACATAATATGCATGCACTCTAAATATTATATGCTATGTATATTATAATGTATTATACATACATATAAACATACACTATACATAAACATTAGAAACTTATACCAAGTTGTACTCATGACTGTTTTTTTCTTTCCCAGTAATCCTTCCTAAGGATTATGTCACCATCTTATTTTTCCCTGTTAATTGGTTGGATGATTTCTGTTGTAAAACATTTCTTTTAAATAAAATGAAATGGTGATATCATGTATTATTGTAATTTAAAAAGCAGTTGGTATCTTTTCCCTCAAACTTGTATCTTCACAATTTGTAAGGCTATTATTAATTTTGTCATATTGTGGTAAGGGAAGGGTAACATTCCATGCAGGTAAGAAACAAATCTGAAATTTACTAAAGATAAAAAAAAATTCCCTGGTAAAGAAACACAATTTTAAAATACACTGTAAGGTACATATTAACGATCTTCACTAAGATAGTGAAAAAAAGCTTTAAGTCTACCTTTTTAAAGGATTTTGTAGGTTAATATTTTCCCTTTCTTTCTTTCTATGTGTCAGACTTCTAGCTTTTCCCCTAAAATATGTTCATTACAGGCTAACAGCCTAATTTTAAATATTAACAGATACTCTTGATATGTTTGAATTGCCCCTTTTGATAATGGCATGGCTTAAGAGGTCCTAATGAAAAATGTTAATGTACAGATAATTTGTGGAATAATTTTTTATTAAATATTATAACAATTATTTTTTCTTTTTCTATGTCATTTTTGTAATGATCACTTTTAATGGTTGCATGGTTTTCCATCCTATTGTTATGCCATGAGGTAGCGAAGCACACTAAATTTTAGACATGAGCTGGAGCACTTCCAGCCCACTCATTTAAAAGAGGAGGTAAGGTGATCACAGCAGGTTAGCAGTCTAAAGTAGAACCCTGGTATCTTTTTCCCACCTCAGTGATTAGAGTCACATTCAAATACATCATTGACTTGATTTATTTTGCATGCAGTTCTCAGCAGCACTTCTGTAGTACAAAATGATGCATAATCACATTGTTCTTAGATATTGGGAGAAAAAAGATAAAAGATGGAATTTAATACCAAAGCTTACTTTTGACTCAGCAGACTAAAGTTTTAGTCCCTGGGAGAAAAGGGAATCAGAGGAGAGAGCAACCTGATATTTTCTATACTTAAGAGTGAAACCAAAATTGGAAAAAAGATATAATCAGAACCCACCACCATCCTATTTCAGCACAGCATGCAATTCTCAGATAAAAAAAAAATTTTTTTTAAGAGAAAGCATTTTAAGATAATATCTCCATGAGCCATTTCTGTAAAAAGCAAGTGAAGCTTTGACTCCCCCTGAGAAATTGCTTTGCAATTGTGAAGGTGCAGAGCCATGGCTCTGGGAGGCAGATTGGTCCTGTAGGCTTGTGTGAATGAGATGATCTGCATGAAACTTGAGTAGTAAATGAGAACCCATTGTAGGGCCTGGGTGAACTGCAGTCATCCCGGTGATGCAGATTTCCCAAAGAAAGAAGCCCTGAGTAACCAAGTATTCTATTGCTGGGAACTGGTACGAACTTGGTAACTGATTTTGAGAAATGTCATTGCCATTACAATCCTGAGAAAGCTGGAGCCTCCTCTGGGTCAGCCAATTGAAGAAGCTATAAATGACCTCCGTTTTTCACTGAATCAGGGAAACACAAAGCAGAGAACATTGGTTCTTGATTTCTTTCTTTCTCTCCTTCCTCAACCCAACCCACTCAGGCTAGAAAAAAGAAGTGGAAGCTACATCGTAAGAGATAGTTTCTGTGTCCTGTTTCTGAGACACATTCTCATTGCTTGGGTGGAGTGGCTGGGAAGGATGTTTAGTATTGACTTTCAAATGAACGGATCAAATATCTCTCTGGGCTACAGAATTTCTTTATCTGATATTGCCACAACAGGCAGCTCAGAGGTATTTGTCTGTATCCCTCTGGGCCTTTCTTATTCTGACTGTTGAATGAAAGGAGCGGATGACTAAGACTTCTCTTTGAAAAGAAGTCCATTATCAGTGTCTTTGAAGCTCCGAAGACTGAGTACATTCTACTTGGATAAAGCACCACAATAGGTGGAAGGAAGCAAAGACAGCCTTATAAATTTCCCTGTGAGCAAGCAGACCTATTGCTGTCTTTATTAAAAAGATGCCACCAAGCAGGTGGTCCTGTTCTGAGTGATACCCCCGAGAGTCGGCTTGAAAGAAATCACCGGAAACTTCACATCTCCCTAAAACAGCTTAGGCTGTCTTGAGAAATGTGAAAGGTGATCAGATGACTGTGCCAAGTGTTCTGGGTGTGTTGAACATATGTATCCTCAAATTGTAAAACTTGAAACTTTGGCAATTATGTTAATAAAGGTAAGCAAACTAGTTGACATCAACACATGCATTCTGTTTCTTCTTTGTACATCCGTGTACCTCCCAGCGAGGACTGTGAACCAGATTCCGTATGTATTCAAGACTTTCATTAGATAAGAATGGCATATACTTATCATTAGAGCATACTAATTAAAGCAGAAAGTGACATTTCAAAGTAATGATGCTCCCTAGTGTCTCAATGTAAAATACTCCCTAGTCTATTTTTAATGAACTGGTATGCTATGTATGTTTAAAATATTATTTTGTTATTTTGTTTTCATTATTTCAGTGGTGGCTATGACCAGGAAGGTAGGACGTTCTTCTAGATATAAGGAAAGAGGCCAGTGAAACCTACCAAGAGCTTCGGGCTTTGATTGTAGTCATATTCAGGGTGTATCCAGGCATTCTTGCATTCATTTGGTGCTTTGACTGTATGCTTGCTACTTGATACTGTCTGTGCTAGGTTAATAGGACCCAGATAGTTCCTGCCCTCAAGGAGATTACCCACGCCCTTTGATTATGATCAAAGCAAAGCCGTTCTTTATATTTCCTCTTTTGCATACTCTCTAATAGCAAAAAGGATGATATGTTCAGTGCTGGTTATATATACACCCTTGCCAGTTACTACAAACTCTTAGGTATTCTTAGTGGATAAGGATAGCTAAAGAGTCTCCTTACTTATTCTATATTTTTTTCCTTATATTTGTTACTGAATGCATTTTCCTCATAGTAAAAGCAGACATCATCGTCATCATCATATTCATTGTTTATTAAGTATAGAAATCCAATAAGATAGGTATCACTATTATTTAAATGTTTTATGGAAGACTGAATAAGTTCAGAGTGTTTAGGCAACTTGCCCAAAGCTACAGAGCTGGTAAATGACACAGTCAGGACTTCTTGACCTAGGGCTGGCTGCCCCCAAAGTGCTCTTGACCTTTATGCTTTAATGCCTCTCATTGTTTCTTATTTTTTTTTTTTTTTTGCTTTCTCTTGCATGGACAGCTGTTAAAAGTCGTTATCCTCATAGATGATGATGAGTTAAATACTTAGGTTGTCTTTGATCTGTGAGTGAACGTTGCCAGTTTTTGAATCTTTTTTTCTGATGAATTTTCTAAAAGTGAATTTCAGGCTTTCAAATGACTGTGCTCAGTGATGGTGACTGATTTTAGACCGCTCTTGCTATTCAAATTCACTTAAAGTACCAGCATTCCTTAAAGTGATGTGTACCGCAAACCCTACTTGTAAGATTATAGTACCACATATACATGAGCCAAGATTCACCATTTGAAAATGAGATTGGTCTTCATGCTACAGCAAAATTTATTGAAGCGTCTATTACATGCATACTCTGCTATTCAAATTCATAGAGGAAATTCTATTTATTTATTTATTTTCCAGCCTACTTCTACAAAGGATTTGAGGCAAGCAAAAAACTACAATAAGTGTAGTTTACTTATCACCGAGAGCTAAAAATTCAAAGGCAGACTATTTTTGTGAAAGAGAATGATGTGAGATCTTGATACTGGTCCTGGAATTGATGTCCCATCTCTAAAAACAAGGTCCCACTTCCTAATTCCATCACATTGGGGGTTAGGATTTCTGCATATGAATTTTGAGGGGACACAGACATTCAGTTCATAGCAAAGATGTACTGGTCTACAATTCTTGTTTTTTGTTAAAGAGATTATACTGCAATAAAAAATAAGTTTGATCTTTAGGAGGCCGAGGCGGGCAGATCACGAGGTCAGGAGATGGAGACCATCCTGGCTAACACAGTGAAATCCCGTCTCTACTAAAAATACAAAAAATTAGCCAGGCATGGTGGCACATGCCTATAGTCCCAGCTACTCAGGAGGCTGAGGCAGGAGAATGGCGTGAACCCAGGAGGCGGAGGTTGCAGTGAGCCGAGATCGCACCACTGCACTCCAGCCTTGGTGACAGAGTGAGACTCTGTCTCAAAAAAAAAAAAAAAAAGTTTGATATAGAGTTGCATACGGGGCTTTATTTATGGGCTAGTAAGGGCCCACAGCTGTGGTTCTTCTTTATTTTTTTATTATTTAAAGATGCAGGACCTTCAGCTGATTTCATTTGGTTGGAAATTCTAGAGCAGCAGCATAACATTTTGAAGTCAAATGGTTAATTTTCTTTGGAGGCCTTTCCTCCTTTGGTTATTGGATGCTGTGTCTATGTTCTTTACACTCTGGCAGTGAGGAGGAAGCCCTTGTGTGACAATGGATTTAGTGGGGTATAAATCTACCTAACTAGCAGTTGGATGGGATCTGATGAGGGTTGGCCCCAGAGCCAAGCCACATTAGCCGAGTTAGAAGGATGTGCTGATTTCAACTTCAAGCCACGGGGCCCAGCAGAGAACTGCTGGGAAGCAATAGCATGGCCTGTTGTGCCACCGTCATTTTTGTCAGCGCCACCATCATCACCATTAAGCCTTTATTAAGTGCCAGTGTGTGGAGCTCCCTTAGGTGTCATTGCAGTCTGACAGGCAGCTGTGTGTTTTAAATACGAGCCTTGCTCAGGGCCATGAGGTGAAAAGGCCCAGCTGTAATCCTAGGCAGGCCCACAAGCATGGCTGCATGGTTAGTTAGTGGCTGTAGCAGGTTTTTGTTTCTGGTGTCTGCTCAGCCCATGGCCCCTTTCTCTAAGAACTGTCACTTTATCTTCAAGGATGGGCCCTGGTGATCAGGTTTTTAACTTGGCTCCCAGGCTGTGGCTCAGTAGATCAAAGATCCACAGCTGACTCAAGCTGGACCAGCCAGGTTGTCTTTCTCAGAAGTGTGGTCTTGGACTAAGACATATTTGTAGATAGACTAGGTAGATGTGTAAACTTGGGAGCAGTGGGAAGCCATGTCTTAGATTAATTCAATAATCCTTGTAATACTCCTATGAGGTGGGACCTCTTCTTATTCCCATTTTGTAGAAGAGGAAACTGAGTCACAGAGCGGTTAAGTAATTTATCCAAGGTCATATAGTTGGTTAATGGCAGAGCCAGGCATGAACACAGGTAGTATGAGCTCATACTTGTAGCCACTGTATAACTGTCTTTCGGAGCAAGAGAGAGGGAGAAAGAAAGAGAGAGGAATACAACAGGCCTCTGGAGATATGCAGATTAAAAGACTGTGTGAGGCTGCAGGGAGAGAGGTGGGTATGGGGAGAGAGTAAGACTGATTGACTAAGAGAGTAGCTGCCTTGATTCTGTAGGCTTTCTAGCTCCAGGATCCAGACCTCAGTGTCTGCACTTTCTAACCTTGGGCTCTGAGAAGTATCTCTATGTCCTTATAAATAAATTTCCCTTTTGTGCTCAAAGCAGTTTCAATGGATGTCTGTTACTTGCAACCAAAAGAGTCTTGACTAAGTGACCACACTGTCACAGTTTGGTAAAAAAGACAGTGGGTCATCCACTGGCCTTTGTAGCCCCAGGTATCTTTACATTATCTGTAGGTAGCATCCAGGCTAGTAGAGGAGAAAGGCAAGTACACCAGTGATTGCAGCATAGTGAGACAGGGCTCTGAAAGAGGTAAGCGCATAAGTTGCTATAGAAACTTAGAGACGTGGCCAAAAATTGAGACTGGGATAGGGTGTGGGGAATCAGGTCAGCTTCTCAGAGGGGAAATATTTGAGTTGTGTTTTGAAGAATGGGTAGGATTTAGCCATATGAAGAAGGGACGGAAACAAGGGCATTACAAATAGTGAGAAGAGTGTGTACCAAAAAAAAAAAAAAAAAAAAAAAGAGTGAAACCTATGATACGTTTTAGAAAAGGCAAACTATTCAGTGTGATGGGGAAGAAGGAAGGAGCAGGGATATGATATAAAACTGGAGTTCTTGGGGACTGTGCCACAAAGAGTCTGCAGTGCTAAGCAATGGAGTTTGAACCTTTGCCTGTAAGCTATCAGTTCATTGAGTATCCAGTTCCTTCCCTCCCTCCAACATGGAAGCATCTCTAGATTCTGAAATTACAAAGATTATATTCTGACAACATTAAATGCAGTTTTAGAAACAACAACAATACATGCAGAATCCTAACACCTGACACCAGTGTTTTCATTTTTGCCACCTTATCTTCTAGTTGTCCTCAAACACACCTGTTTTTGCACATGGTTGCAATCCATTGACATATCATTTTCACTTTCCAGTAGATTAAAAAGGTTTTCCATGTTTCTATGTTGTCCTCTCCTAATTATTATAACAGCATGATAGTCCTTCATTCGACAGAAGGTTTTCCTGAGTACCAACACTGCTCCAGGCAATGTGTTAGGCTCCGGTGAAGCAAAAGTGAATGACTTGGACACTCCTGCCTTTGAGGAACTCAGGATCTGGTATCCCAGTCTCTGCTGAAGCACTTAGCCGTACGTATTTTAAGCATGTGGTTTTAATATTGTCATTTTATTTAAAAAGATATTCAGTTCTTTGAGGGTCAATTTCAAATCCTTTTCTTGTATAGTCACTGTCCTCCTACCTCCAACCCCCATTGTAAGTACTCTGTGACTAAAACATAGCCACATTTTCCTCTGATTCTGTGTTCATGCACTACTTACCTAGTTTTTTGCATATCTTATGCTTCAAGCACCCCGAAAGCTGTTTGATGACTAACCATAAACAGGTTCCAAATCAAGTTTTTGAGCCAAGTTAATTTGATTATGAAACATTATCTTGGTTGTGGCAAATGCCCAGTGGTCATTATTTTAATGATACAAGCCTCTACAGCCTAAACTAATTACAAACCAGCTTTATTCTGGGAGTGGCGGGTGGGTCGGGTGAGGGGGGTGGGGGCGTGGTGACGGTGGTGGTGGTGGCATTGCCTAACCAGCCTCCCTGAGGCTAATCCAAGTGTCTGGGGATATGGGATATGATCACTCTCTGCTTTTCCTTCACCTGGTCCTCCGTGGATGTTGTCTACCTCATTCCCTCTCCCTCCTTGTTCTTGTGTTAAAGAAAATAGCGATGGTTGGCCAAAATTCTCCTTAAATTAAATTTTGCCTCCTACCTCCAGCATGATCATGAGCCTCCAAATTAAAGATGCAGACAAGTTTTCAATCAGATTTGCCTTTTGTTCTGTATTTAGATGCTTTTAGTTTTTCCCTTTATGATGCTTTTTTTGACTTCAACTAGCTCTGTGCTTTTGGTGGTATTTTGTAGCTGGTTTTTGCTCAGTTTTCTATATCTAAACATCTTTATTTTCTGTATTTCTAGTCCACGTATTTGATGAAAACACATTGATCAATTGGTATAAATTTTTTAAAATTTAAATAAATGTATTCATTAAAGAGTCTAGAAGTGCTTCATTATCCATGTAATGAAGAAATAGACAGGGAAGATAAATAAACTAAATTCTCTAGTAAAACCAGAAATTCCTCATATCTGATTTTACTGTGTGTATGTGTGTGTGTGTGTATGTGTGTGTGTGTGTGTTCGAACACAAGGATGCAAGTGTGGGTTATTGACATACACTTAAAATGAAATAGGTTGTTACCTCATAGATCTTAAAAGCTTTAAAAACTCTCTAAGCCTCAGTTCCTTCCTTTATAAAATGGGAACAACAATACTAATGAGTATATACAGTTGCAGGGATGATTTATTTGATGATGACTATAAAGTGCCTGGCACATAGTAAGTGCTCAATAAATATCAGTGGTTAATATGCCCTTGACCTAGAGGAGTACAACGCCTTCTCTATGATCTTAACTTTGAGCTATTAGTAAGTCCCTAAGTTCATATTTTTATGCAGAGGCCAAAAATCATTGAAAGAAAGCTTAGACCTTAGAAAACTTCCCAAGCCACTTTCTCTTAGCATTCTTTTTTTTTCTCCTTAACTAGCCTGGGCTGAATGATTAGCCATTTCCACCTAGTTCTCACCAACACTACCTTTGTGGCAGATGCCCCTGTGGCCATTTTCACAGTCCCTCTGTGAAATTATCTCTGATTTCAGCAACAACTGTGGTGACCAGTTTTGTCCAAGTCAGCTTCCCACCTCTAGCCCCTACTTTTCTGCTTTTCTGCTTTCTTCCCCAAGGGCATCTCTTATGCTGGGAGTCTGCATGGCCTGGGCTGAAGAGGAGCCTGGACGTCTGTGGGAATAAATGCCCTCAGAGGCTACTCTCAGCCACTGGGCATTTGAACATGTGAATAAGTGCTCCGGCCTTTGCGATTCAGGTGAACAGTTCTGGAGGCAAGCTGTGTACTTCTCTGGAGGTTCTGGCCAAACCAGCCTCTTGCTGGTTTGGCAAGTGGTAAACTTGATAATGTACCCTTAGTTGGCTTTTGCTCTTCCCTTTTTACACCCTATTTCCTCATCTCTGCTTCCTGGAGTCATCTCTCACATAAACTCCTGCACCTAAGTCCTTGTCTCAGGTTTTGCCTTCAGGGCAACCCAACTCATGACAACCCTAAAATTTTCTGTCTTCTTGATACTTCTAGGACTCTGCCCATATAATCTTTAGCCCCAGATCATTTCTCCTTCCTTTGAAGAGATGTCTCATAGCTTTTTGAAGTCAGACTCTTTTTCTTTGATCTTGATCCTATCTGCTCTTAAATCCTGTGGGCCCACAGACCATTATATCCTGTTTACTGCTATACTTCCAATATAGAATGCTTGGACCATAGTAGAAGCTCAACAAATACTTATTGAATGAATAATTATTTTCTTGCATGTTTTTTAGTTTCCTTCTGTGCACACCTGCTGTTTTCATCACTGTTTTCAGCTTTTCTTTGGGAGTTTGGGATCTCTTGCTTTAGAAATAGACACTGCCTGAATCCCAGTGCCCACCACTTTCTGAGGCTTATGAGCCAACCCCCTACCCTTGGTAATATTGGGCCCCACTAAGCACTTTCTCTTTCTTGAGCTCTACCTCCCTTGACCTCTTTGTGTGTGTGTGTGTGTGTGTGTGTGTGTGTATGTGTGTGTGTGAGACAGAGTCTCACTCTGTCGCCCAGGCTGGAGTGCAGTGGCGCGATCTCAGCTCACTGCAACCTCCGCCTCCCGAGTTCAAAGCAATTCTCCTGCCTCAGCCTCCTGAGTAGCTGGGATTACAGGTGCCTGCCACCACGCCTGGCTAAATTTTTGTACTTTTAGTAGAGATGGGGTTTCACCGTGTTAGCTAGGCTGGTCTTGAACTCCTGACCTCAGTTAATCCACCTATCTCGGCCTCCCAAAGTGCTGGCATTATTACAGGCATGAGCCACTGTGCCTGGCTCCTTGACCTCTTAAAATACAACCCTCTCATGGTTGTTCTCCTGGCTCTCAGACTTTCTTTCCCAGTATTTTTGCTGTATTATTTAGTTTGCTTGGATTCTACCTCTGGCTTTCTTCAGGGCTCCATCTTTGAGCCTCTTTTCTTCTGGAGTCATATACTTAACCCGAGTAAAGCAGTGACTCTCCTCTCTTCCACTACATAGATGATTCCTAAATCTATAATCTCTGGATTGACTGCTGAGTTTCAAGCTATTTGAAATCTCCATCTGGAATTCTTGAAGATTTTTCCAATTTACCTTGTTTATTCTGGAATTCATTTTCTTCTCCCTATTTTCCCCTTTTCCTCTTTTTCTATGTTCTGTCTTAGTTAATGGGATCACCAGCTACCTGGCATTGCAGTATAGAAGTCTTTATGTGATCCTTAAGTGCCTTCCCTTATTGCTTCCAAAATATAGTTTTTGAGTTCCTACTAAAAGCTAGATACTAGGAATACAGGAACCACAAAACAGACATGGTTGTACCCTCAAGAGGTTCACAATCTGGTAGCAGATACAGAGATTAATTTTATTTATTACAGAAATATAGCATTATAAACTGAGGTCAATGCTGTGGAGGAAAAGTCCAATGTGCTTTGTGAGCATGTCCAGAAGGACCTAATTTATTCTTGGGGTTTGAGACGTCTTCCTTTAGAAAGTGGCATTTGATCTGAGATGTAAAGGATGAATATGAATGAATTAGGAGACAGGAACTCTTTCCTCTTCATCACTATGCACTATAGTCGCCAACTACCATTGATTTTTGCCTGTGAAATGCCTGTTTTCTATATTCTGTTCTCATCCTGGGCCACTGCAATTTCTGCTTCTACTCCCTACACCCCATTTCTATCCATTAGTTTTCAATTTCTGCCAGAGTTCTTTCACTGAACACAAATCTACCACATTTTTTTTTCTTTTACTTCTGGCTTAAAACCATCGATAGCTCCCTTGTGCTTCCAGAGTAAGATCTTAACGTTCTGGAATGGCTTCAAAGACTTTTCAAATTTTGGCTCTGACATTTATCAGTAGCCTCATCTTCTGCACTCTTAACCATGTTGCCTGTGCTGTGGTCACTGTGGACTCTTTACAGTTTGCTCAAGTCACTGTGCCCTTCATTCAACACCCTTGGGTTTCTCTATCCTTCTTTTGCACTTGTCAGCTCCTCCTAATCCTAAGAGGCCCTATGTAAATGTCACATTTTCCATAAGGCATTCCCTCACTCCTTATCGGCATCCCCATGTTTGCATTTGTATGTTTCTCTCATAGAGCTCCCATCCATTTGCCTTATATTAACTTAGTTGTCTGTCTAGGACATGTGTTTATCTGGCACCAAGATTATGTTGTGCTCATCTCTTCCTTCCCAGGGCTTGAAATACAGCAGGTGTTCAGTAAATATTTGTAATTGAATTGTCTATGGATGAATAAGGTAAGGGAGACAAGAAATGGAAACTGGGGAACTGAAACAGAACAGCCAGACCTTTTCTGAGAACTGGTGATCTCATGTAGGGCTCAACTAAGACATGTGGGTGGCCCATGCAGACTAATTCAGTATTCCTTCAGCAATCAAGTGAAGTAACAGATTTGAGTAGTGCTGCTTGTGGAGGAAGATGACAACAGATTACAGTGTCCTGGCCTCCATACTCAGCTTAGCAAAATGAAAGCCCTTTGATTGTTGGAACCACCCTACATGAAAGCATTATATTGGCCTTGTTTTTAGTTTTTTCAAAGCATATCATCCCTATTCTACCTCAATTGTTTTATCGAAGTATTTCTTACAATGAAACCCAGTTCCCTTCTTGAAGAAAGTTCTGATAAATGCTGTTTTCTTCATTGTGTTAGTTTTCTGGGGCTATTTTAGTACCCTCTTAGATTGGTACCCTGGGCATCTGTTGGCCAGTCTTCCTGTTAATCCCGTTCTGACACCAAGGAAGGAAGACTGGGATGTGTAAAGCTCTTATCCAGTATTGCACCACTAACCTTTAAAGAATTCCTTTTCAGTCCTGCCTGGCTTATACCCAATAAACAACGAAACCTTTTTTGAGTTTCAGAATTGTCAGGATGTTGCTGTGAGGTGCACAGCAGACTGGGCTCATGTTCTGGTCTGTGCTCTTACAAATGACAGGCAAATGGCAGTGGCCTGGGGCCAAGAGTGGGCCACTACTCTCCAAGCTTGACAAGACTGCTATGTACCTGGGCCACTTTGCATGTCCAGTGCCCATCCACGCAGTCCTCTCCTGACCAAGGCTGCGAAGAATGTTTAATGATACAAGAGTGGTGGAAGTATGGGGAGACTTTCGGCCCAGACAGTCCACTTATGGCCTTCACTTGAGTGTGCTGAGGAAGGAGAATATTTTGATAACAACCAAAGATGGATGCTAGCCCATCCACCTTTTTGCCAATTTGACTTTGTTCCTTGGGATGGCAACTTACTGATGCTGATGTCCACTAAAAATGCAGCAGAAAATTAGTAGTTGCTAAGAGATAGGAAGGTAGAGTAGGAGAAAGATGAGTTTTGCTTCTAGAGTACTGAGTACTCACTCTGTGCAAAGCACTGTGTAGATGCTGGAGGAACAAAGGGGAATATGATATGGTATTTATTGTGGAGGAAGTATTATTTTTACCTGTTGAGTTGTTTAAATCCTTTTTTACTTCTAAGGGATAGTAGAGGTAACAATTTGGGATTGGTCATTTGGAAAATTCAGATTTATGTCCTGAGTCAACTAATCTTTCATTAGAACTTTGGCCAACTACTTTAACCCTATGTGTTTTATAAAATACATTATGAACTGTTTTGTAAAATGCTTTCAAATATATTATCTCATTTGAATTTCATACAGGCCTAGGATCATTATTTTATTTTAATAATGAGAATCATGAAACCCAAAGGGTTAAGTGTCTTATTCCAGTTCTCCCAGCTTCTCAAAGACAGAATCCTCTGTCACCACTGGTCTCCTGGTTCTTTTCGTCTGTACTCAACAACCTCCCTGCCTAGAAGAGTTATCGTAAATGCAGATTTTTATATAGCCTCAGCTTTTATGTATTTCAAACTCACTTTGACCCTACACAGCCTTCTCTTTAGCTCTTGTGTATTGAGTGTTAAATGTGTGTGGCATGCTCCTGTGTTCGTGTGCCTCTTATCCTTCTTCCTAACCTAGAGCTTCTTTATTTTGTCCAAAATTTTTATTTTTTTGAGAGGGCCTGGGGGAACATTTATCTTTTTCCAGTCTTATAGTTTTCCATTTCCCCAATTTCTGTGAACAATGATAATGGTAAGTAACTAATGATCAAATGATTTCTTTATGTTTACCCTGTTAGGAGGTGTACCGGAATTCAGAATTGCTGAATCTTTGGGGAAA
The DNA here is from genome assembly GCF_000001405.40 of Homo sapiens. NCBI lineage: Eukaryota > Metazoa > Chordata > Mammalia > Primates > Hominidae > Homo > Homo sapiens. The sequence continues at coordinate 61,130,411 of NC_000003.12, read as the reverse complement.
TTGTAAGAATGTGGATTTGGGAATTTTGTACAAGTTAAACGAAGCACTGAGATCTTAGTATAGGGAAATCTTTTCGGCACTGAGCAGAGGACTCATAAGTAACACAACACGTGGAGTTGTATGGTCAAGGAAATGGCAGAAACAGGTTCTTTTTGCAAAGGAAGTTTTCCCTGGACATTCTTAGGTAGCAGACGTTTCTTTTTCTTGGACCTCCTATAGCATTTATTCAGACCTTTTTTATGACTTGCATTACTTCTTGTACTATATTTTAGTACTTTTATTGTTATCATCTCTCTTACTAGACTCTGGTCTTTTTGAGGACAGGAATGTTTTCAGATTTACTTTGCCAACTCTGTGGCACCTCTAGCACACAGCCTAGAATGTAGTGGTTAACAAATACACATTTTCTGGAATTTCTAGAGACTTATACTTTCTCCTTGATGTGATACTATCTCATTTGAATATTTTACAGTAAGCAGGTATTACCATGCAATCAGGAGAAAAAGTGAAGATATAAATTTCTTTTGAATGATTAAATGGATAAGTGAATGATTAAGAATTCAGTGCTGCTAGGGAAATTCAGAAACAAGGTATCATTTACTGAACATTTAAGCACTGGTTTTCCAAGAAGTGTAACATTTTTCATACTTATTACCCTAAGTACTTTTTCAGCATCTTGATGAAATTGGATGGACATAGGTGTATAGTAGCTGAAATAGTCAATGTTCAAGATTTTCACCTCCTGATTCAATTCAGTTTCTCTAAGCTTCGAAGATCTTGCTTTGAATTTGTATTTTGTTCAGGTGTTCCCAAGTGATTTTAAGGCAGCAGAGAGGTTATTAACCAAATTGATCCCTGGGGTGTGAAAAAGTGAATTCAGCATCTCTCCTGGGCTCCATCTCCAGAGTGGAGCCATTTCATCAGGAGAGTCTGGTTCATTCATTCCTGAGTTCAACCATGTTCCAACTATTCATCCATTTACAGTCCTCCATCCCTGTGCAATCTGTCACCAAGCAGTTGCACACTCTCCTTATTTCAGGTTGCACAGAACCAGAGCAAAAACCAGACGGGATAAAAATTATGCATGTATTTAGATGCCACAAATTGCTTTCTCATTTTCTCATGTCGACAATTAGGATGATTTCAACCTTATGTCATATGGACTGAATGTCTCTGTGTTTGTGTCTTACATTGGGACTGGCATGCTGTTGATGAACACATGAAACATTTCTAGAAAATACAAAGTAGGCAATGCTTTCCAAGTTAATACTTTGATTGTGGGATGTCATAGTCTTTTTGGACTCAAGGACATTGTTTATTTACAATTATTGAGGCCTTTGAGACTTTGAGGGAGCTGCACATCAGCTTGTATGGCGTGACATATACAATTCAGTAATGCCTTGCTTGCCCTCCTTACGTTGCACCTTAGAATTTATGTAGGTCACAGTTACTGGAGCTTGGCATTTTTCCTAAGTAAGAACATATTTCACGTAGGAAGCATGTATAGGGTCCAGGCTTATGTATGCCAGTGAACCTTTTGAACAACTTTCGAGTTGAGCATTGGAGAGGAAGAAAAACAGGTAGTAGATAACCTTGAATCTTCCAGAATGAACATTGAGAATTAAGAAAAAAAAAAACAACCTTGTTTTTTCACAAGATAAGTGTTTCCCTTTTGAGAGCCTGCTGTATTTATTATTCTTTTCAATCTTAAAGCTTTAGTTTAAATCCCAGTAGTAACAGAGTTTGAAATCAACGAACTAGAGAGGTCTCAAATGATGGCTGCTGCTTTTGGGGGATAATCATTTCTTTGGCACACAAAGAGAACACCAAACTAGGACGGGCCCACATATAACCCCTGTGGATGGGACATCATCATGAAGACTGTGTAGCTGACGGAAGCGCATTTCAGCTCTGAAAATGTTGTCGCCTATATTGTAATTGCAGGTTAGATTAAAAAAAATTAGGGAAGAATGCTAAGCTATATTGAATCCCTATTATCTTCTAAGTTATATAATTTGACCCTGCTGACATGTTTTAAGAGATACTTTTATATTTCATTTGTAATTGAAGAAATAGAGGATCGGGGATGTTAAGTAATATGCCTGGTCCTACAATAAGTCATCAAAGTTGTAGGTTTTTCATTTATTCCCTGGCCTTGCACTGTATTCTGTGAATCTTATATTTAACAAACAGGTCCTATGTGGTCTTTATGTTTTCAGCTGGAGTTTATCTCTTTCTTTTTTCATTATTGTTTATGTTGTCCTTGCACTAAATAACTTTGTTTACTGATTTTTCTCTTCAGATCCCTAATATCTGGCATTGTACCTTGTCTGTAGAAAGTGTTCAATAAATACTTGCAAAAGAGAATTTGAAATCTAGTGTATTGTCACACAGACTTGGTTCTATTTTTTACCCGTTTAATACTTTCGTTTTAACAAAGCCTCTTTTAAAATCAACAAACCATAAATATTTAAAATACCTTCTATGTGTAGATGTGTAGAGCAAAGTAGGAAATACAAAGTTCTTCTTCTTCTTTTTTTTTCAGACAGAGTCTTGCTCTGTTGCCCAGACTGGAGTGCAGTGGCATGATCTCGACTCACTGCAGTCTCCGCCTCCTGGTTTCAAGTGATTCTCCTGTCTCAGCCTCCTGAGTATCTGGGATTACAGGCCACACCCTGTAATACAAAAAAAAATATTTTTTGTATCTTTAGTAGAGATGGGGTTTCACCATATTGGTCAGGCTGGTCTCGAACTCCTGACCTCAGGTGATCTACCCACCTCGGCCTCCCAAAGTGCTGGGATTACAGGTGTGAGCCATCACACCTGGCCAAGTTACTCTTAAGAGGAAAGCTTAATATTTAACTGTGAGAGATGAAAACTGTCAGGGGGGGTTTGTTTTCTGCTTCTATTTTTAGGTGATCAATCCTTTGCCTATTTTAATTATTTCAAGCACATCTTCTTGGCATTTTATTTGCCAATTAACATTTGATTTTCTCTGCTGTTTAAGAATTGGAGATCTTATCTCACCTGTATCGATCTTTTATATAAAATTCCTCCTGTGAGTTTGTGTCATGCCAAACAACTGAGTGGCAGAACAAACTGCATAGCCATGGCAGTGTCTAGTCTTACATCCAGCATCCAACCATGCCTCATCACCTCCACCACTATGGCTTGGGCCCAAGCTACTGTCACCTGTCACTTGGATTATTGTGGCAGGCTCATAAGGGGTCTTTCTTCACATCTTTTGGTTGATTCTCAGTACCGAAGTCAAATGATTCTGTTACAGCGTAAGTTGGGGAGAGATCCCTCCTTGGTTCACAACCTGCTCACTTGCCTTGGAGAAGAGATGGCAACTATGATGGTGGCTTACAAGGCCCTGCATCATCTGCCACCGCGCTTGTGGTTCTCTGACCTCCCTTCCTCCTGCTTTTTTCTTGGTCATTCCACTCCAGGCTCTCTACTTTTCTTCTAGCCTTTTAGGGTTGCTCTGCCCTTCATTTCCCTCAGCCCTATGTGCTTTACTTCCAGGAACTTGTACAGTAGGGCTTGCTCTCTCATCTTCTTGGGGTTTTTACAAGATTTCCATGAGGCCCACACCATTCAAGTTGGAACCTCCTCCACCACCCACCCTGGTACTCTCCCCACGCTCCTTCCGGGCTTTGTTTTCTCTACAGCACCTATCACCAGCTAACATGCTAAATACTTTACTAGTTTATTTTGTTTTATTGTTGATATGGTTCGGCTCTGTGTTCCCACCTAAATCTGATCTTGAATTGTAATCCTTATAATCCCCATGTGTTGAGGGAGATACCAGTTGGGAGGGGATTGGATCATGGGAGTGGTTCCCCCATGCCATTTTCCTGATAGGGAGTGAGTTCTCACAAGATCTGATGGTTTTATAAGGCAGTTTTCCCTGCCCTTACCTGCTCTCTCTAGCCTGCCACCATGTAAGATGTGCCTCTTCCCCTTCCGCCATGACTGTAATTTTCCTGAGGCCTCCCCAACCATGTGGAACTGTGAGTCAATTAAACCTCTTTTCTTTATAAATTACCCAGTGTCAGGCATTTATTTATAGCAGTATGAAAATGGACTAATACAATTGTCTTTCTCTCTCAACTACAAAGAAGACCCCAAAGGCATGAAGACAAGTTTTTTTTTTACTTTTGTTTTCTGTCTTGTTTCCTATTGGGCCCTGCTGCCTAGGATGGTGTCTGGCTCAAGTAGATGCCTGATAAATATTTGACTGAAAATGAGTGAAAATATAGCTGTCAGACTCATAGATGCCATAGATACCAACCAGAAGCTGCAGTATGAAGTCAAGTGGCTGGGGCTTTGGACCACAGAGGTCCCAACCCAGCCCCAGCTCCACACTGTTGAAGACAAGACTTAGCTAAGCACTGGATCTTGGTCACTTACTTAATACCCTGAGCAGCAACTCACCATCCTGTTACCTATCTATAAAATTGGATAGGTAATACCTACTTCACAGTGTATATGGACTGGAGAAGATTCTATATGTCAAGGGCATACTATAATGATTGATACTCCAGAAATATTCAATATTGATACTGTCATTTAAAAAAATTTCCTTGAATGATTACTCCTCCTCCCATCCTTTTCCTGTTTCCCCATCTGACTACCTGAGAAAATTCTAACTGCTCCATCATTGTCCCACTTAGACTCTGATGTAAAAGGGGACACTTGAGCACATAGTTTTAGACAGTTTAAACCTAATTGTTTCATTGTTTACATCTTGAAGAAAAGACAGTTGTTTGCCAGATGATTTTCATAAAACTTTGCAATGTAATACCCAGTTTTAAGCCATCTATTAAGAATTGAGTGATTTGATTTGCAAAGTTTCTGGGACATTTACTTCTAGAGAGTTCCTGCTACCTGCCTGGAAATTTTCAGATCATCCATCAGGTTATTTATGAACTTTTTATGGAGAACAATTAGGTATTTATAAGAAAAATTGAGTTAAAAACAAAACAAAGAACTTTTTCTTGATCCTTCCTTTTGCTTTGCTATTGACTAAAATGATTTCAAATATCTATTCTATCATAAGTTTTCAAGTATGCATATGCCTAACATAAGGTAGTTTTAGCTTCCTTCTCTTGTGGTAAAAATATTTTGATTCAATAGGTAAAACACAAACTTGTTCATGTACTCAAATGTATTAATTTTTTGCTTTGTGTTTAGTAAAAAAGTGCCAGTTGAAATAATCCTTAAATACAAGTGATTTCTTGTTCCTGCGTGTAAACCATTCTTCCGTGAATCATTTTTTTCAGTTTTTTGATGATTCTAAGGGAAAAACCTTTCTTTTGTACTACATTAACCTCACACTGTATTTACATTAAATAATATTCTTTGGAGAAAAAATGATTTGGTATACTTAGTGAATTATGTAACCTCCTAGAGGCACTGCAGACTGTTAATGCTCAGTGGAACCCAGCAGTTGTAACTGATGAAACATCAGCATGGAGGCTATAAAATAAAAAAGAAGTAATTGGGGACATGTTGGGAGCTGGCAAATGGAAAACACTAGCAGATGTAGCCCTGAAAAGAGGAGAGAAAGTTTAAAAAATCACATTTACTAGAAGAGTAACTGCACAGATGGATGATCGAAGTTAACATTTCATTCAGTTAGAAAAGGGATTAGAGATTATATTTCCATTTCTAGTACTTAAAAGAAGTAATACTTAAACTCTCACAATGAACCATATAAAAATTACTTTACAGCAACCATATATATCGCGAAAGAGTATTTGTCCATGAGGTTTTCATCTCTTGGAAACATAGTATAGACATTTTTGGAGCTAGCTTGTACTTATTTTTAAGAGCTGATTATAAGCTTCTCTTCCCAACTCCCTAATCAGTGATATCATGTTGGTAGCCTGAAACCAGCCACCATGAGAATATGTATTAATATTTACACCATGAAAACTGACAAACACTACAATTAGAACACCCCCATCCCACCACCAGCCGTTGTTAAGCATTTACCACCACACAGGCAGATATGTGCATTAACTGCCCTCCGTTAATGGAGGATGATGGAGAATGAGCAGAGTTCGGGCATTCAAAGAAAGCCTCTCTGCCTGGTTGGTGTGATGGAAGTCCTACACCACAGAGAGTTTTGGCTATTTCTTAATACTGAACTCATGCATAGGCAATCATACACTCATGATACATATGCAAGAATCATGCCAATTGGTTTTAAAATATAAAATTCTGATTCTAAAACACGTTTTGCTCTAATAGCCGTCCTCAACCCAGACTTGTTATGTCTGTGTGCCATGTTGCCTATCGTACAGGAAAAAATACAATTCTTTCTCTTCAGTGGTAATGATACTATTTTCTATCCCCTGCCTTCATAACTTTTGCTTTCAGTTCATATATTTCTCCATGCTCCCAATAGTGAACCTGACAAGAATGGGCTGATGGCTCAAGAAGAGACTAGATGCTTTTGATACTATGTTATTCACATACCTTTTCTTTTCCTGGGCTCAAGAGTATCCATGTTGTACGTATTTGTAAGAGCTGATTATAAGCTTCTCTTCCCAACTCCCTTTTCAGTGATATCATGTTGGTATCTTGAAGCCAGCCATGGTGAGAGTATGTATTTACACCATGAAAATTGGCAAACACTACAATTAGAACACCCCCACCACCCAGTTGCTGAACATTTATTACTACACTAAGGGAGTAAATGTTGCCATTAACAGAGCAAGCATAATGTGGGGGATAGAACAAGAAGAAGTAGGTTAAAGAGACCCTACTGCATGCCTACCTTTGATTTCTGCTTCTTCTAATGTATTTTGGTCATCTTAATAATTTTTATGTTAACATCTTATCACTTAATACAATTTTTGAAAAAATGCCACCTTTTTTTGTTCTTCTCCTTTTTTTTTATTATACTTTAAGCTCTGGGATACATGTGCAGAATGTGCAGGTTTGTTACATAGGTATACATGTGCCATGGTGGTTTGCTGCACCCATCAACCTGTCATCTACATTAGGTATTTCTCCTAATGCTATCCTTACCCTAGCGCCCCAGCCACTGAAAGGCCCCAGTGTGTGATGTTCCCCTCCCTGTGTCCATGTGTTCTCATTGTTCAATTCCCACTTATGAGTGAAAATTTGCAGTGTTTGGTTTTCTGTTCCTGTGTTAGTTTGCTGAGAATGATGGTTTTTAGCTTCATCCATGTCCCTGCAAAGGACATAAACTCATCCTTTTTTATGGCTGCATCGTATTCCATGGTGTATATGTGCCACATTTTCTTTATCCAGTCTATCATTAATGGGCGTTTGGGTTGGTTCCAAGTCTTGCTATTGTGAACAGCTGCAATTGAACATACATGTGCATATGTCTTTATAGTAGAATGATTTATAATCCTTTGGGTATATACCCAGTAATGGGATTGCTGGGTCAGATGGTATTTCTGGTTCTAGATCCTTGAGGAATCGCCACACTGTCTTCCACAATGGTTGAACTAATTTACACTCCCACGAACAGTGTAAAAGCATTCCTATTTCTCCACATCCTCTCCAGCATTTGTTGTTTCCTGACTTTTTAATGATAGCCATTCTAACTGGTGTGAGATGGTATCTCATTGTGGTTTTGGTTTGCATTTTTCTAATGACGAGTGATGATGAGGTTTTTTTTCATATGTTTGTTGTCCACATAAATGTCTTCTTTTGAGAAGTGACTGTTCATATCCTTCGCCCACTTTTTGATGGGGTTGTTTTCTTCTTGTAAATTTGTTTAAGTTCTTTGTAGATTCTGGATATTAGCCCATTGTCAGATGGATAGATTGCAAAAACTTTCTCCCATTCTGTAGGTTGCCTGTTCACTCTGATCGTAGTTTCTTTTGCTGTGCAGAAGCTCTTTAGTTTAATTGGATCCCAATTGTCAATTTTGGCTTTTGTTGCCATTGCTTTTAGTGTTTTAGTCATGAAGTCTTTGCCCATGTTTATGTCCTGAATGGTATTGCCTAGGTTTTCTTCTAGGGTTTCTATGGTTTTAGGTCTAACATTTAAGTCTGTAATCCATCTTGAGTTAATTTTTGTATAAGGTGTAAGGAAGGGGTCCAGTTTCAGTTTGCTGCATATGGCTAGCCAGTTTTTCCAACACCATTTATTAAATAGAGAATCCTTTCCCCATTGCTTGTTTTTGTCAGGGTTGTCAAAGATCTGATGGTTGTAGATGTGTGGTATTATTTCTGAGGGCTCTGTTCTGTTCCATTGGTCTATATCTCTGTTTTGGTACCAGTACCATGCTGTTTTGGTTACTGTAGCCTTGTAGTATAGTTTGAAGTCAGGTAGCGTGATGCCTCCAGCTTTGTTCTTTTGGCTTAGGATTGTCTTGGTCAGTGTCATAGTTAGCTTTTCTTGTTGCATCGATCCCTTTACCATTATGTAATGCCCTTCTTTGTCTTTTTTAATCTTTGTTGGTTTAAAGTCTGTTTTATCAGAGACTAGGATTGCAACCCCTGCTTTTTTTTGCTTTCCATTTGCTTGGTAAATATTCCTCCATACGTTTATTTTGAGCCTATGTGTCTCTTTGCATGTGAGATGGGTCTCACACCTCTGAGTCTTAACTGTTTTTCCAATTTGCCAGTCTGTGTCTTTTAATTGTGGCATTTAGCCTGTTTACAGTTAAGTTTAATATTGTTGTGTGTGAATTTGATCCTGTCTTTATGATGCAAGCTGGTTATTTTGCCCGTTAGTTGATGCGGATTCTTCATAGTGTCAATGGTCTTTACAATTTGGTATGTTTTTGCAGTAGCTCCTGGTAACAGTTTTTCCTTTCCATATTTAGTGCTTCCTTCAGGAGCTCTTGTAAGGTAGGCCTGGTGGTGACAACATTTCTCAGCATTTGCTTGTCCATAAAGGATTTTATTTCTCCTGTGCTTATGAAACATAGTTTGGCTGGATATGAAATTCTGGGTAGAAAATTCTTTAAGAATGTTAAATGTTGGCCCCCATTCTCTTCTGGCTTGTAGGGTTTCTGCAGAAAGATCTGCTGTTGGTCTGATGGGCTTCCCTTTGTGGATAACCCGACCTTTCTCTCTGACTGCCCTTAACATTTTTCTTTCATTTCAACTTTGGTGAATCTGACGATTATGTGTCTTGGGTTTGCTCTTCTCGAGGAATATATTTGTGGCGTTCTCTGTATTTCCTGAATTTGAATGTTGACCTGCCTTGCTAGGTTGAGGAAGTTCTCCTGGATAATATCCTGAAGAGTGTTTTTCAACTTGGTTCCATTCTCCTGTCACTTTCAGGTACACCAATCAGTTGTAGGTTTGGTCTTTTCACATAGTTCCATATTCCTTGGAGGCTTTGTTCCTCCCTTTTCATTCTTTTTTCTCTAATCTTGTCTTCACACTTTATTTCATTAAGTTGATCTTCAATCTCTGATACCCTTTCTTCTGCTTGATTGATTTGACTATGATACTTGTGTATGCTTTACGAAGTTCTCATGCTGTGTTTTTCAGCTCCATCAGGTCATTTATGTTTTTCTCTAAACTGGTTATTCTAGTTAGCAATTCCTCTAACCTTTTTTCAAGTTTCTTAGCTTCCTTGCATTGGATTAGAACATGCTCCTTTAGCTCAGAGGAGTTTGTCATTACCCACCTTCTGAAGCCTACTTCTGTCAATTCGTCAAACTCATTCTTGGTCCAGTTTTGTTCCCTTGCTGGGGAGGAGTTGTGATCCTTTGGAGGAGAAGAGACATTCTGGTTTTTGGATTTTTTAGCCTGCAAAAGTGCCACCTTTGAAGACTGAAGCTTGGGGACCTACCAGTGGTTGGTTGGGGATTTCTAAAGGCATTTCTGTAAACGAGAAAAGTCTTCTGACACTTTAGGTAGGGTTAGCTTGCTGAGACTGCCAAGGGATGATGTACACTCCAACCTGTGATTTCTGATTTGTTCTTGAATGAAAATTGTTCTGTAACCTTTTGAGGTTAAGACTCAGTATTCAAATATAATGTTTGCTTCATTGAAAAGCTTGGCATATAGATTGCCTTTCTGTAGTGACCATCTAATATAAAAAGATTTCTGGAACATACATGCCCAAGACATGTCTAAATATAGTAGCTAATGTTTATTGAATGTTTGTTATATAAGTGACAACATGCTAAGAGTTTTACAGAGTCACCCATAGTGATCTTATATAATCCTTATCATAGTCCTTAGTCCTTTGGATTTGTTACCACTCTATTAACCCTATATCTAGATGGTGAACTTAGCCTTAGTGTATAAAGTAACATGCCCTGGTTCACTAGTGACAGTGAAGAATTGAACCCAGGTCATTCAAGTTTTGAGCTCATGCTCTCAGCTGCTATATTTAATTATCTCTTGTAACTCAGAGGTTGTGTTAATCAAGGTTATCCAGAGAAAAAGAATCAATAAAAAGAGATTTATTATGAGGAATTAACTCATTTGATTATGGAGGTGGAGAAGTCCCATGATCTGCCGTCTGCAAGCTGGAGATTCAGAAAAGCTGGCGGTATAGTCTCAGCCTGAGTCTGAAGGGCTGAAAACCAGGAGACCTGATGATGTGAGTTCTAGTTAAAGTCTGAAAGCCTGAAAACCAGAGAACTGAAGGTGTAAGTCCCAGCCCAAGGGCGGGAGAAGGCTGATGTCCCTGCTCCATAAGAGAGAGCAAATTCACCCTTCCTCTGCCTTTTGTTTTATTTGCGCCCTCAGTGGATTGGATGATGGCCACATGCATTTGTGAGGACAGTTATCTTTACTCAATCTACTGAGGTTCAAATACTAATCTCTTCCAAAAACACCCTCACAGGGTGTTTCACAGACACACCCAGAAGCAATGTTTTACCAGCTACCTGGGAATCTCTTAGCTCAGTCAAGTTGACAGTAAAATTAACTATAACAGGCTGGGCACGGTGGCTTGTGCCTGTAATCCCAGCACTTTGGGAGACTAATGTGGGCAGATCACTTGAGGTTAGGAGTTCAAGACAAGCCTGGCCAACATGTTGAAACCCCGTCTCTACTAAAAATACAAAAAAAATTAGCTGGGCATGGTGGCTGTAATCCCAGCTGCTCAGGAGGCTGAAGCAGGGAATCGCTTGACCCTGGGAGGTGGAGGTTGCAGTGAGCTGAGATCACACCAGTGCACTCCAGCCTGGGCGACAGAGCTAGACTCCATCTCGAAAAAAAAAAAATTACTATCACAGTATCTATGAAGCTAAGCTCTTATGAATGACCTGGCTGAAGTGAGGAGAGCCCACTGTGAGGGAAGGCTATTGTAGGATCACTGCAGTGCAGATTAGTAAATTGCAGCCATCAATTGATTAAATATAAAAACAGGTGTATGCTTGGGGATGGTGACTTCAGTGACCTCTAAGGGGCTATACCACTCTTCCGTGCAAAACTGAAATGATGGTGCCCAGTAAAATGTCTTCCCTGATCATCATTCACCTTCTGTTGGCTTGTTTCACAAATAGTGAAATTTGATCTCCCTCAATGCCATGATGGGTCCAGTGGGACTAGGATCAAAGTTATAAATAACAGGGATAAGTCCTGCTTGCAAATGGGATATCAGAGACGATCATGATAATGCTAATTAATATTAATAAATAAATAACTTTATGGAGAACTTACCATGTGTGAGATAAAGTTCCTTCTACTTTACATTCAATTCTTACAACAACACTCCAGTAGGTACAATGAGCCCTATTTCACAAATAAGGGAACTGACACACTGACAATCTAAGTTACATGCTCAAAGTTACAAAGTGGAAAGTGATGAAGTTGAGGGTTGAGCCCAGGTAATCTGGAGCCAGGGCCCACATCTGTAACCCTACAGGTGTGGAATGAGGTCCAGGTGCTATGAAAAATGATGTCTTTGAAATGGAAATACAAACCAGTTTGTATGCCAGAAACTTTTCCCTCTTGGCTTTAATTCTGGATAGAGGGTAACTTGTAGATGATCTAAGTTTAAATTCTAGACCCCAGTGTTAGGATTGTCTTTCGTTACAGCTCCAAAAAGATCCTCCAGTGAACATGGGTCCTTCTTGCTCTGCTCACATCTCAGACTGCGGGTAGTGTCCACTGAGGCCAACTACTCTGGGAATCTTCAGGAAATAGAGATAACCAGGGGAAAATGAACAGTAATTACCTGGCATTAAGTTGAGACCTTTTGTGTGAAAGGCACGTGAAGATAGGCCTTTCAGCGACTTAATGAGCCTTATCACGGGCCTTCAGCTTTTCTGAATAAATTTGGAGGTAATAAAATGTTGGACCTTGCTTTCAAACCAAATTATACTACAACATTATTTTGAAAGACCTTTGGAACAAGTGACTGAAAGTGTTTTTTCCCCTCCTTCCTGAAGATAGAATCAGTTTCTCCTTATTAATGAGAACCCAGAGTAATTTCAGAAGACAATGAGTAAATAAAAGTATTTAATAAAATGAAATAGAATCTGATTTGTATAAATGAACTCAAAAGAGTGCCCCATCCTGTTTGCCACTCGCAGCTTTGTTCATTCGTTCGGTAAATATATTATAGTATCTTCTCACTATGGGCCAGACACTGAGCTAGGCACTGGTAATGACAAAGGGAACATAGGCAATTAGCAAGTGGAAAACTAAAGAGAAAATAATTAGAGCCTTTTTAAAGTGCTAGGAAGAAAATAATGGGAGCTGTATTGGGGAGTAATGATCTACTCTAGCTAGGTCCAAGACACAAGCTCAGGGGAGATGACATTGCACTGAGGCCACCTCAAAACCACTCGTCAGATAAAAATTAGCAATCAGTAAATGTATATGTTTATAGAAGAGTAAGTATCGCTTTTAGTGGTGATGCATTTAATCTTTTTGTATAGTTCTGCCCCTGTTTGCATTCCTTTGTCCTTTTATAGCCTCTCTTTGGCATCTAGGGCCATCCAGAGCCTTTTTATTACAAAACATACAGACACTGTTTTCAGACTGTGTACTTACTCTTCCAAATCAATTTCTGGCACCGTATCTCATGGCTCATTTGCTACAAAAGTAAGGTGATTTTAGTTAACATAGGAAGAATTTCAGGACAGGAATATGCCCCATTTTCTATTCCGTGGTACATTTGATTGAGTAAACTGAATTTAAACAGAAGGCACCTGCCCGGCAAGCAAGGTGACCTCTCTTGGGTGAATTAAATCATGTCTCATGTTGCTTAAAAGATGTGACTCTAGAGAAAGGTTGAGAGGGACAGAAGTCATTGCACAGTTTACTCTTCCATTTTCTATTTGTATTAATCTTTTAAGATAATACAACAGAATCCTTAACTAAATAAAATTATTGGAAGGCCTTAATAAAATTATTGGAAGCTTTCTTTAAAGTTGGCTCATTATATTTTTTGTACTGTAAACTAGTTGGTAAATGTAATTTCATTATAATTTTGTTTAATGACTGGGTTGATATTATGATTCATCACTCATTTACTTAATTAGTAACACTTGACTTTATGTACCAAAAATGTTCAATTTGCACACTGATATTTTTCAGTTAAATAAAATTATGTTTGGGGAAGATGAAGCTTTTTTTCTATTTTTGAAGCATGCTTTTCAGTATTGTTCTTGATTATCACCAAATATAAGCCATCAGCAAGAGTAGTAAGATGAGTTTGCTGCTAATATGTAGCAGAGAGGACAATAGTAGTTTGGCTTGGACTAGAACTGTCTGGCTTCAAATTATGGTGCTTTGAAAGATACTTTAACTTTCTGTGTTTGTATCCTCATCTTTATCTTTAAATTGATACCTCTCTCATACTATGTACCATAGTAACTACCTCTAGTGTGAGAGAATGAATTTAAAATCCACTTAGTGTGATTTTAATATTAATGTTATTATTACCACTTATTTTAGAATTTGTAGGAACGAAGAGTGATTTTTAGAGGTCATGACTCTAGTCTTCTGCTCTAAGGAAAAACTTCCCTAGTCCATTTCTGATTAATTTCATGGTTCTCAACTTAGTTAATGAGTTCAACCCTGCATGCAAAGCTGTGGACAAGGGCATTCCCAAAGTCACAGGCTAATAATGGAGGCACATTTGTGGCACATCATTTTTGCTTCAGTATTTGGGAGAATTAAAAGTGTGTGTACGTATTAAAAGCAGCATAATGATATTATGCAGTAACATGCAAAATTTGCATGAATTTTTAAAGTACTAGACGAGGCTTTAAAAATCATTTACATTTACAGAGGGAAACTTAAGATGGCACCACCAAGACCCGAGGATCATTTGCTTTTGTCATTCTAGAGACTTAACTGGAAATGTCTGAGAAATACTAGAGAAACTGATGGGCTAGTTACCTGTTGTAAATGTTGTTTCTGTAAGAAAATTCCAGGATTTTCCTCAGCCGTCCCTTTTATCTTCTAGCATTTTTAGGTAGTGAGGGTGGAGGAGTTAATGATATTATGTAAGCCATCTGGTGCAGCTAATAAAATTCTAAGGTGACTGCAAGTTGGTTTGAGGTTCAGAGTCATCTGGCTGTTTGGGAGACGGTCTCAGTCCTGGCTTGTGGAATGCCACTATTGCTTCATTCTTGCATCTCTCATATGAACAGCGTGTCACCTTTTTCTTTTTTCAATACTCTTCTTCCCAGGCCCTATACTTTCCTACAAGCTGCAATGGCCAGCCGGAGTGTTTCTCTGAACCTTATGCACAACTGTATACATGCAGTTGTCTCATCATATCCTCTCAACTGTCTCAAGGTATCTTTAAGAATAAAATTAATAAATGGCACTTCCATCCTTTTATTTCCACACTCCACAAATCTCAGAGTCATTCTGGCTACCTGCCACACCCTCAGGACTTCCCTTCCCTGTCATCCATTTTATCAGCAGCTTATTTCTATTTTATCTGCTGAATATATCTGGCATTTGTTCATTTTCCTTCCTTCCTGCTGTCACCCCTCCTTGCCTATCTCCCATCATTTCCTCCCCTTCCTCCCACTGGACAGTTGGGCTCTACCTATTGCTCCAGCCTCCTTGTGCTTGGCCTTTACTCTTGGCGCTCCTGCCTCTTATCAGGCTTTCAGATCCATTCTATGCCAGGCTCTCTCTAGACACAGTGATACCTCCTTCACATGGTGAACTCTTAGCCCTCCTCTGGGCTTTTGGCATTTTCTCTTCCAGTCCAAGGATGGTTATCTTGCTTTTCACTTATTTCCAATTATAATTATCCACTGATTATACACAATGGCACCATTTAATTATTGTCTCTTTCTTTCACTAGGCTGTGGATTCCATAAAATCAAGTCTTCTTTTTCACAGTTATAGCCCCAACACCTAGAACAACAGTTATTTCTGACTAAATGAACAGATGATTTACCATATTATCTGTTCCGGATGGAAAGGGAAGTAAAATATTAGCATATCCTCCACTAGTCTACTGGACTGAATTTCTGTTCTTAAGTGGAAAAAGCATCTTTTGGCCCTGATGTCAAGCTCAAAGTTGCTTGGATCAAATGATGTTGGGTATTGAGTGGCAAGCTAAGGAGTTTAAACTTTGTACTGGAAGCATTGGGGAGCTACTGTAGGTGGGAAGCCCCCAGCTTAATGGTCTCAAACCTTCACTTCCCTGGCAGGATAAAGGTAAATGTGTGTTGCATACTTTGCCAAGACCAGGAAGTCCACCGGGTCCTTGAGAGAGGGAGGGACTGCTCGGGGATGGGAACACGTAAAAAAAAATTCACTCACTACAATTGCATTAACAGGACAGGGTCAAAGGTCATATTTCCAGGTTCCATGGCCAACGCTAGGTTCTTTTTACTCACAGCTGACTAAATAATAATTAGGAGGAAGCTGATGAAAATAAGCACCAATGATTGTTTTTTTTTCCCCTCTGTGCCAGATTCTATGCCAAGCACTTATGTGAAGTAGATAGTATTACTAATCCTATTTTATGCATGAAGAAAGAGGTTGAGGTTACATAACTTGGTGGAGGCCCTACAAGAACTAAGTGGCTCAATTCAGGTCTGACTAATCCTAAAGCTTGGGCTTCTGGCTGCCAATAAATCACAGTAGGACAAATGTTAATAAGACAAAATGTTATTAATAATAGCATCTTTTTTATATGCTAGACAACAGCTCAGGGATGCACATTTGTTTTCTCCTTTTGCTCCTAAGAGCCAGGTAAGAAAACACTAGTTGCTAGGTTCCTCAGAGGACTGAGAATTCTGTAGCTCCACTGGCCAACATCCCTTGGGTCCTAAATGTTCAGTTATAATAATAATAAACTGGAAACAATATAAATAGAGAATGGAAAGGGACCCTGAGGAAAGATTGGGCATGATTTCATTGTACTCCTAAAACTTTTCTCATATGCTTTTGTGCCCAGTAGTGTTTATTCTGTAATGAGTCCTTAATATACCTCAATAGTCATAGAGAAACCCCTTTTGCTCTCTAGTGGCTGTATGGGACCGTGGTAATAATAGTTGCTCTTGTTTATTTCCTGTTTGATGTGTTTTGATGCAACAGACTATTCAGCTCAGACAGAGACCGTGTGCTGCAGGTGAGGAACACAGGCTTTGGAGTCTGAATTCAAATGCAACTTCTACTGCTTACAGCGATAGCAACCCAGGGATGTTTCTTCGACTTGCTTCCTTCATTTATTCCTCAAATGTTTATCGAGCATCCGCTGTATATCATGTGTTATGTTAGAGGCTGGGGTTACAATGGGGGCAAAGATAGACATGGTCCTGGCTCTAGTGACTCTTACAGTTCAATTCAAGAGAGATGTCAAATAAACAAATGAGTTTGTGGTAAGCTTAATGACAGAGAGGTACCTAGAACATAGAACTAGGAAATAACCCAGGTGTGGGGGGCTTTCTAAGGTAACCTAACTAAGAGTTAGGAACAAAGCTCTCAGCATGGTGCTTAGCACATACTAAGTAAATGATAGTTACTACATGGTAAATTTTCCCAGAGAAAGAACCATAGACACAACTTTATTTAGTGGAAAGTGACTAATATGGTTGACTTTTGTCAGTATTTGGATTTTATATTGTATAATATAACTCTATGATCTTGTTTATTTATTTTTCCTAGAAAGAAATGAAGTCAAAATAGTTGCTTGGAAGAATTGTTCAAAGATGCCAGACATGGTGGCTCATACCTATAATTCCAGCACTTTGGGATGCCCAGGTGGCAAGATCACTTGAGCCCAGGAGTTTGAGAGCAGCCTGGGCAACACAGTGAGACCCCATCTCTACAAAAATTAAAAATAAAAACATTAGTCAGTCTTGGTGGTGCACGCCTGTAGTCCCAGTTACTTGGGGTGCTGAGATGGGAGGATCTCTTGAGCTTGGGAAGTCAAGGCAGCAGTAAGCCATGATCATACCACTGCACTCCAGCCCAGATAAGAGAGAAAGACTCTGTCTCAAACAAACAAACAAACAAATAAACACACACAGTGTTCAAAGATAGGCCATGAATGAAGACATCTAAACACAGCCATCTTGTTCCATAGTTAGTTCCAAGATAAAGTCAAACAGAAACAACTAGAAGCCTTGGAGGCACTGTTTGTTTGGTAAATTTTGATTCATGGTCTCATTAATGCCTCATCAGCCTCTTGACCGTTAGTCTGTTCAGGTAGCTCTGTGTGGGGATCTTCATTCTCTGGTAGCCAAGATAGGATTGTCCTAATGATGACTGGTTTTAGTGTCTCCATAACCACTGGTCCCTGAATATAAAGCGCTATGCATAGCTAAACAAATTCTTATTGCCTTCAGCCTGTGTGCAATTTAGCAGCAAGATATTTCATATCTCACAGCATTCACTAGTCCTACTCAATTAGGAACTGCTTGCAAATCAGAACAGCTGATGATCATAATGACTCAAGTGGACATGTTTGCCCTGAAAAGGAAAAGAAAATATTGAAAAGACATTTCAATTGTCATTGAATAACTCAGAAAGGGACCAGGGTGTTGTCAGGGGAAATATATTGTCATTGGCCTTCCTGACTGCGGAACTTCCCTATAGGTTATGACAATACAGCTGGGACACACCAGAAGGGCCAATGTGAGAAATAAGAACTTGAAACTGGGGCCGCCTGTCTTTCTGGGGGTGGTCTCCTGTCCCATTTTTAGTTATACCCATATTCCCAGGCACAGATTTTCATTTTAGAAAAAAAAAAAAAAATTAAGGCAGTGGTGATAGAGTGCTAAAGCAGCTTTTTATTGAACAAAAATAAAAGCACCCGAATTATTCCGCATACCTTCAGTGATAAGCTTACATGAATGTACTGCATAATATATACTGCTTAAGGGCATGGACTTTGAAGTCAGACAGTGAAATTTTGGCCCCGCCACCTCCTAGCTGTTAACTTGAAGCAAGTTACTTAACTGCTCTGAGTCTGTGTTTCCTGATCTATAAAAAGGGGTATCTGTGGTTACCTCAAAGGCTGTTGAAAAACTGAATGTGCCCATGCCTGCAAAGCACCACGCATAGAGGCTGGCAAGTACTGAGTGCTAAGTAACTGTTGACTGATTTGTGAGTTCAGTTTTGACTCAGTTTCTGACTTCTGCTGGCTAGAACTTATAACTACATTAAGACACCCACCTGGTTAAAAAGGTAGAAGACTCAAATTATATACGTGCACATACGTACATATGTATCTGCTTAGGATATAGTAAGACCTCAATCAATATTAGTTTCTTTCCAGTTCCAGTCATGTTGGTATTAAATTAGTATGACAACCAAGGCTGAACTGGGCAAATGTGAAATAGATCTATCACAGTAATTATTATCATTTGTATTACTTTAGAATTTAAAAAGCTCTTTCAACATGCATTGCTTTAGTAAGTCCTTACAACAGCTGGGGAGGTGTGGAAGTGTTTTTTTATTTGTCCATATATTCTTTCCTCCACGCAGCAAATGCACGTGAGTGCCTGTGATGTGTCAGGTACTCTGCTCATCCTGGGAAACCAAATAGATGTCCTCACAGCCCTGTCTTGGTGATCCTCCAAATGTATGTCCTAAGATACCAAAAGGTGGTATAGACAAGGTAGTTATTTCCAGTGATTAATGTTTTATAGATGAAAAAAAATGAGATTCAGTGTGGCTTGTAAGTGACAGAGCCAGATCTCAAGCTCCAAATCCCAAGTCTTTTCCACTGGATCCCATGCCTGCCTGCCTGAATGTATCATTTGGAATAAATGCTAGAGAGAGCCTGGTGTAGCCATTCATTTTACAGATTAAAGGCACCGAGGCTTAAAGTGGGTAAATGATATGCTCAAGACCATCTCTGCTTTAGGGGTAGCTATCAGTTCCAATGAGGAAACCTTTTGACAGCATGCTAAATCTTAGAATGTATATAGCTTATTCTGCACTAATGTAATAGCTGCATTTTAATAAATTGTGTGTTATCAAAAATTCAGTATAAAATGTTTGTTTCGGGGGCCATAGTTAAGGGGCGCTGGAGAGTTTCAGACTGAAAAATCAAAGTTACTTGTTTTCCTAGCAAGAACTTAAGAAATAGGAATATTGTTTTATAGCGGTAAAACCTAAATGCCACTGAGCAAATCCAGCACTTGATAAAATCTAGCTTTTTTTCAAGAGTAAAGAACTTTCACTTTCTATCACACCAGCACTATCATTATGTGTTTAGACCTTTGTCACCCAGTTACAGGAGACAGAGCTCAAAGCACTCAAACAAAGCAGCTGTATTTTGTAGATGCAGAGCCTTCTTCCTTCTGTGGTGTGGTGCTAGTTCTCAGTGACGGATGAGTTTTTAGTAAAGAGTTGGTCAGCCTGCTCTGGGCCAGATCCTATTCTAGGCAGAAGAATGAGTAGAACAGACCATGCCCCTATGCAAATGGAGCTTATTTTCTATTGGAAGACAGATAGTGACGAAAAGAAGGAAAAAAGGAATGGAGGGAGGAAAGGAAGGAAGGATATTGGGTTAGAAAGTGATAAATGCCATGAGGAATTATCAAACAAGGTAAGGAGAATTAGAGGGAGAGGGTGGAGGTGGGGGCTGGCTTGTGTGCTGCCTTAGATCAAGTGATCTAGCAGGGCCTCTCATGGCCACATTGAAGATGTGACTGGAGTAAGGAAGAAGCCATATGGCACCTTGGAGTAAAAGTCTCCCAGGCAAAGGCAGCAGCAAGGGAAAAGGTCTTGGGATGGAAACATAGCAGGCCTGTTTGAGGAAAGCATGGAGGCCTGTGGGCTGGAAGGAAGAGTACAAAGCAGGGCAAGAGAAAAGCGGCCTGAGAGACAGTTGGGAACAAGAGCGTGAGGGACCTTGTGGGACTTTACTCTGGGTGAGATAGGAAGGTACTAGAGGTTTTTGGCCAGAGGAGGGATGTTACCTGACTTAGGTTTTAGCAGGCTCCTAAGTAGAGATAGACAGTCCAGGATCACAGGCAGAAGCTGAGACTGTTGGGGAATTATTGTAGCCCTTCTTGCCAAGACTTGGTGGTGGCTTGATTTTGGAGGTCAGGGTAGAGCTGGCAAGAAATGGTTGGATTATCATGGATGGTATGGTTGGATGGCAAGAAGTGGCTGTTAATCTTTTGAAGGTTGTCCTAAAAGGATTTGGTGGTGGACTCCAAGGTGTTTGGCCTGAACAACTAGAAGAAGAGAGCCACTATTTTTGAGCACTTTATTTGTGGGCTCAGGTATGTGTTTGTGTGAAAGACTAAGGTACACTAATGGAGGTGGTTCCTTCAAGTGAGAGTGTGTAGAAATGCCTTATGACATTGCTTATGACATTGTAGAAATTCCTAATGACACTGTTGTGCTGAACACCTATCAACTTCAGTGGGGATGGCACCAGGTTCAAGAGGCTGAAGAAGAGACCCAGAGACAGGAAACGTGACATGGGCTTTTACTGGGGGCTTACATACAGGGGAGAGAGTCCAGTGGCAGTGGGCTGGACAGGAGAACCAGGCAACTTGCAAAAAACATGCAGTTTATATGGCATATTTACTTAGCACTCTCCCTGTGACAGTCTCTACCTGGCAACCTTCACTTAACCCCAAACAAAGGGCCTTGATTCCCTATACAGCCATGTTCCATTGGACAGGCCAGGGGCTCAGATGTTCCTTATAGATTAGGAACAACTCTCTGGGTTGGCCATTCTTGGATTCTTAGCTTGGGACACCTAACCACATTCAAGTGCATCTGCCATACAGGGTTATTCTTAGGGTATGCTTAAGTTATTGCTATCAGGTGTGTTTGCCATACACACATGTTCAGATACAAATGTGGGTGGGATTATAAAACCTGTCCTTTTCTTCATACATGCCTTCTGCCCCTCCCCTCTATACACTTAACAGCATTTCTTCTTAGCCATTCCCTACCTCCAATAAAATGTTCACTTGGAAGAAGACCAGTCATTTAGGACTTAGTGTGATTTTAAGTCAGTATGATACCTTTGCTAGATATATTTACATTTAAACCTAACTTTGCACTCTATGATGGCACATAGATTTAGTCTTTTAGGCTAACTTTAATCACTAAAGTTGCTTGCCCAGAGAACTGTGCTGAAAAAGTTTGTGAAGCTGGTTCTGGGCTCAGCAGGAAAGAGGAAACCTTAATCATATCTGCCATTATAGGGACTGAGAGTGGCATATCATATGTGCATAGTATTTGATAGCCTAGCTATGGCTGCCACACCCACACAAAATACTTTTTGTCCTATCCTTTCCCTCTTGGAGGAAGTTTTGGCAATAGCAAATAGAGGAAATATTTTCCTTTTTTACTTTCTTGAGGCCCGCTTGCCTTGTGACACAGGGAGACCACTGGCCCAAAGATCAGACTGTAATATCTAAAGGCCTTGATGAATTATGTGATACAAAACTCAAGTGCTCTAGGAGATAGGTCCTTTACCTTAATGGGTAATGCCTTTGCCAGGTCATAGGCTATTTTTTCTCTAGCATTCATCACTGCCAAACATACTGTAATTAACATTCATTTATTATGTGTACTGTTTCTCTGCTTCACCAGAATGTGAGCCACAGGGCAAAGACTTTGCTCTGTGTTGTTCAGTGCTATTTCCCCAGTGCCCAAACAGTGGCTCTAGGAAGTAAGTGTTGAGTGAATGTTGAATGAATAATAATAATAGTAAGTTGCAGCCTAGAGTTAGGATAAATGATTACTTAAGGTAGCAGCACTTTTTTTTGAAAGCAGAAAGCTCCTGTTGTAACAAAAATCACTGTAGCTGTATGGGTTAGTGAACATTATTAATAATTAGAGTGATAATGAAGATGATAATAATAAGAGATTTCTCAAAAGAAGAGATATGAATGGCCAAGTATATGAAAAAAATGCTTAATATCCCTAATTATCAGGGGACTATAAATTCAAGTCACAATAAAATGTCACCTCACACTTGTTAGAATGGTTTGTTAGATCAAGTTTAGCCTAAGCTGCCTCCTTACATATTTTAAGTTCAGCCTAAAGGTTTTTCCGTACATCGTGAACTATAACAAGCGGAGGTATAAACAAACCATAGCCTACCCTTGTGCCAATCACTGACTTTTGGCCAATCAAATGTAGCCAACTGTTTGAACTCTGTTCAAATAAGGCAAGCGCCCAGCTGCAACCAATCCAGCTGTTTCTGTATTTTACTTCCATTTTCTGTACATCACTTTCCTTTTTCTGTCCATAAATCTTCTTCTACCACGCAGCTGCACTGGAGTCTCTGAGCCTGCTCTGGCTCAGAAGGCTGCCCGATTCACAAACTGTTCATTGCTCAATTAAACTCCTTTAAATTTAATTTGGCTGAAGTTTTTCTTTATCAGGCTATTATCAGAAAGACAAAAGATAATAAGTGTTGCTGAGCTGTAGAGAAAAAGCAACCCATGTACACTGTTGGTGAGAATGTACATTAGTACAGCCATTATAGAAAACAGTATGAACTTCCTCAAAAAATTAGAACCACCATATGATTCCAGAATCCCACTAGTGTGTAGTTATCCAAAGGAAATAAAATAAGTCTTCTAAGGATATCTGCACTCCCATGTTTATTGTAGCATTATTCATAATAGCTAAGATTCAGAATCAACCTAAGTGTCCATCAATATATGATGGATAAAGAAAATGTGATATACATACACCCTGGAAAATTATTCAGCCTTAATAAAAGAAGGGAATCCTGTTATTGGAGACAAACTGGTGAAACTGGAGGACATTATACTAAGTGAAATAAGCCAGGCACAGAAAGACAAATACTGCATGATCTCACTTACATGCGAAATTTTAAACAGTCAAACTCATAGAGGCAGAGAATAAAATGGTGGTTACCAGGAGTTGGCGCGGAGGGTGGGCAGTTGGAGAATTGTTGGTCAAAGGATACAAAATTTCAGTTATGGGAGGAATGAATTAAAGAGATCTATTGTACAACATAATGACTATGGTTAATAACCATGTATTATTTTCTTGAAAAGCACTACAGAATAAATTTTAAGTGTTCTCACTATAAAAAATGATGTGATGGGCCAGGCATGGTGGTTCATGCCTGTAATCCCAGCACTTTGGGAGGCCGAGGTGGGCAGATCACAAGGTCAGGAGTTTGAGACCAGCCTGTCCGATATGATGAAACCCTATCTCTACTAAAAATACAAAAATTAGCCAGGCGTGGTGGCTCATGCCGGTAGTCCCAGCTATTCAGAAGGCTGAGGCAGAAGAATCACTTGGACCCAGGAGGTGGAGGTTGCAGTGAGCTGACATGCGCCACTTCACTCCAGCCTGGGCGACAGAGCGAGACTCCATCTCAAAAAACAAACAAACAAACAAACAAAAAGATGTGATGAATGCATATGTTAATTCACTCAATGTAGCCATTTAACAATGCATACATATTTTAAAATATGTTGTACCTGATAAATATATACAATTTTTATTTGTCTATTAAAAAATTAATTAATTAAAAAAGCCAAGCTCATAGAAGCAGAGAGTAGAATGATGGTTGTTGCCAAGGGCTGGGAGGAGGTGGGGGAATAGGGAGATGCTGGTAAAACATACAGTTTTAATTAGAGCGGAGGAAGTTCTGGAGATCTATTTTATAGCATGGTAACTACAGTTAATAATAATAATGCATTGTACACTTGAAATTGCTAAGAGAATAGATCTTAAGTGTTCTCACCACACACACAAATCATAACTGGGCAGTAATGGACATGATAATTAATTTGATTGTGGCAATCATTTCACAATGTATACATATATTAAAACAAACAAACAAAATAATAATAATTGTAATAGCTCTTTAAAGCCCTTATATGTGCCTGACCCTCAACTAAGTGCCTGATGCTCATTATCTCCCTTGTGAAGTAGGTCCTTGTTTGTCAAGTGTAGAAATTCAGGCTCTCAGTGACTTGTCCAAGGATACAATGCTAATAATCAGGGGGTTCCAAAGCTGAAAAGAAAACATTAAGACCTCTCTATACAGGAGGCTTGGCCTTTTATCTGCTAAGTTGGATCATTCTCTTTAGAGCCATTTAAAACCATTGGAAAAAGAAAGAACTTCTGGGCAAATGAGAGGTTTGGCTGCCTTTTACCATTGTAAAAATGCAACAGTTGCTGGAGGCTGAAAGCGTCTTTGAATTGATTCATTTGTTTTGTTTATTCTGCAATTCTCCAGTAGGAAAGAACCAGACCTTTTCTGCACAAATAACTTTTCCCAAATTATGTTGATAGGCTGGTTGTGAAGGATCCCAAGTGAGTATAAGGGTAAAGAAGAAAGGAGAATCTAAAAACCTTCACACCCAAATCCAGGCTTTTGAGGAAAAATAGGTGGTTGGGATGGGAAGAGCTGGGGTTCAGGGAGAGTTGATCCCAGACTTTTTTGCTTTGGGCCAAATATGCAGACCACTTTTTTTTTATTATTATTATTTTAATTTAAAAAAGTCACTCACTTTTATTTACTTATATTCACATATCAAACAGAATTTGCAGACTCTCACCATGAATGTAAGAGCAGCATTACTGACCATAAATAGAAAGTAATAATAGACTTAGTGAAAATAAAGCAATGCCATTTCCTGTTTTAAAATTAAAACAATACAAGTACCCCAGAGTTACAGCACACAGTCCATGAGTTGGAAGCTGAGTGTTGGCCCCCTAAAATTTTCCAGAAACGAAGCCAGTGGGGCAAATCCATCTTGTACCACAATGAAACCCTCAAGGTCATCAAAGAGGTTAAAAGAAAAAAAAAGCATCCAAAGGTCAGCAACCTCAAAGATTAAAGGTAGATAAGCCCACAAAGATGAGAGAGAATCAGCACAAGAATCCTGAAAACTCAAAAAACCAGAGTGCCTTCTTTTCTCCAGACAATCACATCACTTCTCCAGTAAGGGTTCTGAACCAGGTTGAGATGGCTGAAATAACAGAAACAGAGTTCAAAATACGGATAGGAATGAAAATCATTGAGCTACAGGAGTACATTGAAACTCAATACAAGGAAGCTAAAAATCATGATAAAACAATTCAGTAGGTGACAGAAAAAATAGTCAATATAGAAAAGAATGTAATTGACCTCATAGAGCTGAAAAATACACTATAGTAATTTCATAATGCAATCACAAGTATTAATAGTAGAATAGACCAAGCAGAGGAAACAATTTCAGAGTTTGAAGACTGGCTTTCTGAAACAAGACAGTCAGATAATAGAGAAAAAAGAATGAGAAAGAATGAACAAAACCTCTGAGAAATATGGGATTATGTGAAGAGACCAAATCTGTGATTCTTTGGTATCTCTGAAAGAGATGGGGAGAATGGAACCAATTTGGAAAACATATTTCAGGATATCATTCATGAGAATGTCCCCAACTTAGCTAGACAGGCCAACATTGAAATTTAGGAAATACAGAGAACCCCAGTAAGATACTTCACAAGAAGATCATCCCCAAAACACATAATCGTCAGATTCTCCATGGTTGAAATGACAGAAAAAATGTTAAAGGCAGCTAGAGAGAAAGGTCAGCTCACCTACAAAGGGAAGTTCATCAGAGTAACAGCAGACCTCTTAGCAGAAACCCTACAAGCCAGAAGAGACTGGGGGCCAATGTTCAACAGTTTTAAAGAAAAGAAATTCTAATCCAGAATTTCATATCCAGCCAAACTAAGCTTCATAAACGAAGGAGAAATAAGATCCTTTTCAGACAAGCAAATGCTGAGAGAATTCACTACCAGCAGACCTGCCTTACAAGATCTCCTGAAGGAAGCACTAAATACGGGAAGAATGGATGGCTACCAGCCACTACAAAAACATGGTGAAGTATACAGACCAGTGACACTATAAAACAACCACATAAACAAGTCTGCAAAATAACCAGCTAACATCATGATGACAGGATCAAATCCACAATTATCAATACTAACCTTAAATGTAAATGGACTAAATGCCCCAATTAAAAGACACAGACGGGAAAATTGGATAAAGAGCCAAGACTCATCAGTGTGCTGTATTCAGGAGACCCATCTCATGTGCAAAGACACACATAGGCTTAAAATAAAGGGATGGAGGAAGATCTACCAAACAAATGGAAAGAAAAAAAAAAAAGAAAAAAAAGCAGGGGTTGAAATCCTAGTCTCTGATAAAACAGACTTTAAACCAACAAAGATCAAAAGAGACAAAGAAAGCCATTACATAATGGCAAAGGAATCAATTCAACAAGAAGAGCTAACTCTCCTAAATATATATGCACCCAATACAGGAGCACCCAGATTCATAAAGCAAGTCCTCAGAGACCTACAAAGAGACATAGACTCCCACACAATAAGACTGGGAGACTTTAACACCCCACTGTCAATATTAGACAGATCAATGAGATGGAAGGTTAACAAGGATATCCAGGACCTGAACTCAGCTCTGCAACAAGCAGACCTAATAGACATCTACAGAACTCTCCACTCCAAATCAACAGAATATACATTCTTCTCAGCACCACATTGCATGTATTCTAAAATTGACCACAAAGTTGGAAGTAAAGCACTCCTCAGCAAAGGTAAAAGAAAAGGAATCACAGCAAACTGTCTCTCAGACCACAGTGCAATCAAATTAGAACTCAGGATTAAGAAACTCACTGAAAGCCGCACAACCACATGGAAACTGAACAACCAGCTCCTGAATGACTACTGGGTAAATAATGAAATGAAGGCAGAAATAAAGATGTTCTTTGAAACCAATGAGAACAAAGACACAATGTAGCAGAATCTCTGGGACACATTTAAAGCAGTGTGTAGAGTGAAATTTATAGCACTAAATGCCCACAACACAAAGCAGGAAAGATATAAAATTGACACTCTAACATCACAATTAAAAGAACTAGAGAAGCAAGAGCAAACACATTCAAAAGCTGGCAGAAGGCAAGAAATAACGAAGATCAGAGCAGAACTGAAAGAGATAGAGACACAAAAAGCCCTTCAAAAAATCAATGAATCCAGGAGCTGGTTTTTTGAAAAGATCAACAAAATTGATAGACCACTAGCAAGACTAATAAAGAAGAAAAGAGAGGAGAATCAAATAGATGCAATAAAAAATGATAAAGGGGATATCACCACTGATCCCACAGAAATACAAACTACCATCAGAGAGTACTATAAACACCTCTATGCAAATAAACTAGAAAATCTAGAAGAAATGGATAAATTCCTGGACACATACACCCTCCCAAGACTAAACCAGGAAAAAGTTGAATCTCCAAATACACCAATAACAGGCTCTGAAATTAAGGCAATAATGAATAGCCTACCAACCAAAAAAGTCCAGGACTAGAAAGATTCACAGCCAAATTCTACCAGAGATACAAAGAGGAGCTGGTACCATTCCTTCTGCAACTATTCCATTCAATAGAAAAAGAGGGAATCCTCCCTAACTCATTTTATGAGGCCAACATCATCCTGATACCAAAGCCTGGAAGAGACACAACAAAAAAAGAGAATTTTAGACCAATATCCCTAATGAACATCGATGCAGAAATCCTCAATAAAATACTGGCAAACCAAATCCATCAACACATCAAAAAGCCTATCCACCATGATCAAGTCGGCTTCACCCTAGGATGTAAGGCTGGTTCAACATACGCAAATCAATAAACGTAATCCATCACATAAACAGAACCAAAGACAAAAACCACATGATTATCTCAGTAGATGCAGAAAAGGTCTTTGACAAAATTCAACAGCCCTTCATGCTAAAAACTCTGAATAAACTAGGTATTAATGGAACGTATCTCAAAATAATAAGAACTATTTATGACAAACCCGCAGCCAATATCATACTGAATGGATAAAAACTGGAAGCATTCCCTTTGAAAACTGGCACAAGACAAGGATGCCCTCTCTCACCACTCCTATTCAATATAGTGTTGGAAGTTCTGGCCAGGGCAATAAGGCAAGATAAAGAAATAAAGGGTATTTGATTAGGAAATGAGGAAGTCCAGTTGTCCCTGTTTGCAGATGACATGATTGTATGTTTAGAAAACCCCATTGTCTCAGCTCAAAATCTCCTTAAGCTGATAAGCAACTTCAGCAAAGTCTCAGGATAGAAAATCAATGCGCAAAAATCACAAGCATTCCTACACACCATTATCAGACAAACAGAGAGCTAAATCATAAGTGAACTCCCATTCACAATTGCTATGAAGAGAATAAAATACCTAGGAATCCAACTTACAAGGGATGTGAATTACCTCTTCAAGGAGAACTACCAACCACTGCTCAACAAAATAAAAGAGGACACAAACAAATGGAAGAATATTCCATGCTCATGGATAGGAAGAATCAATACCATTAAAATGCCCATCCTGCCCAAAGTAATTTATAGATTCAATGCCATCCCCATCAAGCTACCAGTGACTTTCTTCATAGAATTGGAAAAAACTAAAGTTCATATGGAACCAAAAAAGAGCCTGCATTGCCAAGACAATCCTAAGCAAAAGAACAAAGCTGGAGGCATCCTGCTACCTGACTTCAAACTATACTACAAGACTGCAGTAACCAAAACATCACGGTACTGGCACCAAAACAGAGAGATAGACCAACGGAATAGAACAGAGCCCCAGAAATAACACCACACATCTACAACCATCTGATCTTTGACACACCTGACAAAATCAAGAAATGGGGAAAGGATTCCCTATTTAATAAATGGTGCTGGGAAAACTGGCTAGCCATATGTAGAAAGCTGAAACTGGATCCCTTCCTTACACCTTATACAAAAATTAATTCAAGATGGATTAAAGACTTAAATGTTAGACCTAAAACCATAAAAACCCTAGAAGAAAACCTAGGCGATAGTATTCAGGTCATAGGCATGGGCAAAGAGTTTCATGACTAAAACACCAAAAGCAATGGCAACAAAAGCCAAAACTGACAAATGCGATCTAATTAAACTAAAGTGCTTCTGCACAGCAAAAGAAACTACCTTCAGAGTAAACCAGCAACCTGTAGAATGGGGGAAATTTTTTGCAATCTATTCATCTGACAAAGGGCTAATATCCAGAATCTACAAAGAACTCAAACAAATTTACAGGAAAAGCCAAACAAACCCATCAAAAAGTGGGCAAAGGATATGAACAGACACTTCTCAAAAGAAGACATCTATGCAGTCAGCAGACACATGAAAAAATGCTCATCATCACTGGTCGTTAGAAAAATGCAAATCAAAACCACGATGAGATACGATCTTATGCCAGTTAGAATGGCAATTATTAAAAAGTCAGGAACAACAGATGCTGGAAAGGATGTGGAGAAATAGAAATGCTTTTACACTATTGGTGGGAGTGTAAATTAGTTCAACCAATGTGGAAGACAGTGTGGCAATTCCTCAATTATCTAGAACTAGAATTACCATTTGACCCAGCAATCCCATTACTGGGTATATACCCAAAGGATTATAAATCATGCTACTATAAAGACATATGCACATGTATGTGTATTGCAGCACTATTCACAATAGCAAAGACTTCGAACCAACCCAAATGCCCATCAATGATAGACTGGATAAGGAAAATGTGGCACATATACACCATGGAATACTATGCAGCCATAAAAAAGGATAATTTCATGTCCTTTGTAGGGACATGGATGAAGCTGGAAACCGTCATTCTCAGCAAACTATTACAAGGACAGAAAACCGGACACCGCATGTTCTCACTCATAGGTGGGAATTGAACAATGAGATCATTTGGACACAGGGCAGGGAACATCACACACTGGGTCCTGTCGGGGGGTGTGGGGCTGGGAGAGGGATAGCATTAGGAGAAATACCTAATGTACATGATGAGTTGATGGGTGCAGCAAACCAACATGGCACATGTATACCTATGTATCAAACCTGCACATTGTGCACATGTACCCTAGAACTTAAAATATAATAAAAAAAAGAAAAGATGCTCAGCGTTATCTGTCATTAGGGAAATAGAAATCAAAACCACAATATGACACCACTTCACACCCACTAAACCAGACAACAATAACAAGCATCAGCAAGGATTCGGGAACCTTCATACATTCCTGGTGTAAAATTTAATACTTGTAGAATTGTTCAATTACTTGGATAAAAAAAGATCAAGGAATCCAGAGCTGTTTTTTGAAAGAATTATTAATAATAAAATAGACCACTAGCTAGACTAATAAAGAAGAAAAGAGAGAAGATTCAAATAAGCACAATCAGAAATCACAAGGAGGATATTATCACTGACCCCACCGAAATACAAATAACTATCAGAGTATATTATAAACACCTCTATGCAGATAAGCTAGAAAATCTAGAAGAAATGAATAAATTCCTAGACACGTTCACCCACCCAAGACTGAATCAGGAAGAAACTGAAACCTAGAACAGACCAATAGGGAGCTCTGAAATTTAGACAATAATAAATAGCCTACCAACCAAAAAAAGCCCAGGACCAGATGGATTCACAGCTAAATTTTACCAGATGTACAGAGAAGAGCTGGTAGCATTCCTGCTGAAGCTATTCCAAAAAATTGAGGAGGGACTCCTCCCTAACTCATTCTATGAGGCCAGCAGCATCCTGATATCAAAACCTGACAGAGATACAACAAAAAAAAACTGCAGGCCAATATCCTTGATGAATATTGATGCAAAAATCTTTGACCTAATGCTAGCAAACCGAATCCAGCAACACATCAAAAAGCTTACTCCCTGTGATTAAGTAACCTTTATCCCTGGGATGCAAAGTTAGTTCAACATATGCAAATCCATAAATGTTATTCATCACATAAACATAACTAAAGACAAAAACTGCATGATTATCTCAATAGATGTAGAAAAGGCTTTTGATAAAATTTAATACCCATTTATGTTAAAAAACTCTCACTAAACTCCTTATTGGAGGAACATACCTCAAAATAATAAGAGCCACCTATGGCAAACAGACAGCCAACATCATACTAAATGGGCAAAGCTGGAAGCATTCCCACTGAAAATCAGCATAAGACAACGATGCCCTCTCTCACCACATCCATTCAACATAGTGTTAGAAGTCCTGGCCAGGGCAATCAGGCAAGATAAAGAAATAAAGTGCATTCAAATGCAGGTGACATAATCTTATATCTAGAAAACCCCATCGTCTCAGCCTAAAAGCTTCTTAAGCTTATAAACAACTTCAGCAAAGTCTCAGGATGCAAAATCCATGTGCAAAAATCACAAACATTCCTATATACCAACAATAGTCAAGCCGAGAGCCAAATCAGTAACATAGTCACATTCATAATTGCCACAGAAGAATAAAATACCTAGGAATCCAGCAAACTAGGGAGGTGAAAGATCTCCACAAGGGGAACTACAAAATTCTGCTCAAAGAAATCAGAGATGACACAGACAAATGGAAAAACATTCCATGCTCATGGATAGGAAGAATAAATATCATGCAAATGGCCATATGGCCCTTAACAGTTTATAGAAATTCAGTGTTATTCCTATTAATCTACCATTGAGATTCTTCACGGAACTAGAAACAAACTATTTTAAAATTCATATGGAAGCAGAAAAGAGCCCAAGAGCCAAGGCAATCCCAAGCTAAAAGAACAAAACTGGAGGCATCATGCTACCCAATTTCAAACTGTACTACGAGGCTACAGTGACCAAAACAGCATGGCTCTGGTACAAAGACAAACACATAGCCCAATGGAACAGATTAGAGAACCCAGAAATAAGGCTGTACACCTACAACCATCTGATCTTCGATAAACCTGACAAAAACAAGCAATGGGGAAAGGATTCCCTATTCAATAAATGGTACTGGGTTAAGCTGCTAGCCATATGCAGAAGATTAAAACTGAACCCCTTCCTTATATCATATACAAAAATTAACTCGAGATAGCTTAAAGACTTAAATGTAAAACCCCAAACTATAAAAACCCTGGAAATCAACTAGGCAATACCATTAAGGACATAGGAACAGGCAAAGATTTAATGACAAACATGCTAAAAGTAATTGCAACAAAAGCAAAAATTGACAAATGAGATCTAATTAAACTAAGGAGCTTCTGCACAGTAAAGGAAACTACCAACAGAGTGAATAGACAACCTACAGAATGGGAGAAAATTTTTGCAAACTATGCATCTAACAAAGATCTAATATCCAGCATATATAAGGAACTTAAACAAATTTACAAGAGAAAAACAACCCCATTAAAAAGTGGGCAAAGGACATGAACAAACACTTTTCAAAAGAAGACATACATGTGGCCAACAAAAATCTGAAAAAAAAGCTCAACATCACTGATCATTAGAGAAATGCAAATCAAAACCACAATGAGATACAGTCTCACACCAGTCAAAATGGCTATTATTAAAAAGTCAAAAAGTAGCAGATGCTGGTCAGGGTGTGGAAAAAAAGGAATGCTTATGCACTGTTGGTGGGAGTGTAAATTAGTTCAACCATTGTGGAAGACAGTGTGACGATTCCTTAAAGACCTAAAAGCAGAACTACCATTCAACCCAGCAATCCCATTACTGGGTATTTATATACCCAAAGGAATATAAATCATTCTATTATAAAGACACATGCATGTGTATATTCATTGCAGCAGTATTTACAATAGCAAAGACATGGAATCA
This sequence comes from Homo sapiens, assembly GCF_000001405.40. Taxonomy (NCBI): domain Eukaryota; kingdom Metazoa; phylum Chordata; class Mammalia; order Primates; family Hominidae; genus Homo; species Homo sapiens. Next base: position 61,097,363 of record NC_000003.12, on the reverse strand, counting down.
ATCTAAATGTCCATCAATGATAGACTGGATAAAGAACATGTGGTACATGTTTGCGCTTCCCGGGTGAGGCGATGCCTTGCCCTGCTTCGGCTCTCGCTCAGTGGACTGCACCCACTGTCCTGCACCCACTGTCTGACATGCCCCAGTGAGATGAACCCGATACCTCAGTTGGAAATGCAGAAATCATCCATCTTCTGCATCGCTCACGCTGGGAGGTACAGACTGGAGCTGTTCCTATTCGGCCATCTTGGAATCGCCCCCGTCTTTTTTTTTTTTTTTTTTTTTGAGATTGAGTCTCACTCTGTTGCCTAGGCTGAAGTGCATTGGTGCAATCTCAGTTCACAGCAGCCTCCCCCTCCCAGGTTTGATCGATTCTCCTGCCTCAGCCTTCGGCGTAGCTGGCTGTAATTTTTGTAGTAGAGACGGGGTTTCACCATGTTGGCCAGGCTGGTCTTGAACTCCTGACCTCAGGTGTTGCACCTGCCTTGGCCTCCCAAAGTGCTGGGATTACAGGTGTGAGCTGCCGCTCCCGGCCTCTTTTTTCCAGCTCACTTTTCCCAACCCCTTCAGTTGAGGCCTGAGTGCTGCCAATTTAGAAAAAGATGGCATCTGGCTAAGTCTATGCTCTTCTAGCACAAAGCATGAACATCTACTTTTGTCAGGCATTGCTACCTCACTATCAATGAGGTGGCTGTACCAGAATAAAGCCTTCTGGCTCAACACCCTAGAGAGTAAAGCAGCCCAGGCTTCCTCCACAGGAAACCCAGACAGTTGTTCATCCATATTACCTTAAGGCATTTTCCATTCCACAAGTGGAAAACACTGCCCTAGATCCATCCCCTACCTCTCTGTTCTCTGTGTCCCCGGCTGGACATTGCTTGAAACAACTATTATAGGGTGAGTTGGTTCAATCTTGCCTAACTGTGTCCCAGGACTCTTATCATTCTGCCACCAGAAAGTTCATATGCTCAAAATTGGTCCTTAGGACCACTGACCTTAGCACTCTCCCTCTGTGAGGGTACAATTTAGGAATAACTTTTGTTGGTGAAATTGTGGCAGGAACTTTGTGCCTGTGTCACACAATCAATTAGACACTTTGCAAGGTAGAGGCATTATTATTATCACAAGCAGATGGTGAAATGTTACTCCATCCTTCTGTGCCTGCTGTAACTTCCTTGCACAGCATCATTTAGGGTGTTTCTTTGCAAATTGCAGTTTGTTTGAGAAAGATTTAAAGCCCTGAGGGTTTGGTGAAAAGCTCTTGGTTATGAGTGCATCTACTTTGTCTGTCAGTAGCAAAAAGGGCACCTCTGATTAATACTGACTTTGCCCTGCAAGTCAGGTAGAGTGCAGATGAGGTCCTTTTTTCTTCACTACTATTCTAGGGTAAGAGAAACTTGGAAGATCATCTGCCTGTGGCCTCTAGAAGAAGGTTAAGTGAGCGTTGAGCCAGGAATGGAGGCATTTCTTGTAATGAACTTCTCTATAGAACAAGATAGCAAATCTGTTACCCAGAATTCTAGAGGGCTGCTTCCAGAAGAAAGGTATTCAGGCCAGGCTCTCTGCCTTGCAGGAGTGATACCCTGAAGAGAGGGGACAGGTGTCATGAGCACAGTAAATGTGGTGGCAGCGAAAAAGCAGAATGGCACTGAGGGCATCCTGGGTGGGGATAGGTTAGAATGAGAGATAGGGAAAGATGAATTTTTTTTTTTAAAACAGATGCTTTAAGGTTGGGGCAATGGATGGGTGAGGAAGAATTTTAGGCTGTGCTGCTGTGCAATGCACTGGCAAATGCCTACAGAGTCATTCTTCGTGGATATGTTATTGGGCAGATGCAAGTCTCAAGGCAACCCTGCTTTATTTGGGTTACCTGTGCATAAAATCCTGTTTGCACAGGTTCTGAGAGGAATGAAGGAGATTGAAAAGGCCCTTGCGGAGTCTGTATCTTATATGTAGGTGAGACAGGCTTAGAATTGTTCCATAGTAATGCACAGTCAAGCACAACATCATGTTTGTGGAAATCCCAGAGGGGGCCCTGGGAAATGTGTCAGAGGAGAAAGTTTGAATGAGGCTTTCTTGTATAAAAAGAGGTTTTGTGACCAGATTCACAGCTACTTCTGTCCACTTTTCAACATTGTATAGATATTATTATACAAGGCATGTCTCAGAATTAGTGGATCCTCTGGCTGAACTAGTAGTAAATGGATAGATTAATTGATGAATCCCTGCCATTTTTCTGATAGTGTGTGCCATACGTAGTTAGAGAAGGCTCAAACCTTCACCACCATCTGAATATAATAGTCTTTGCAAATACTTCCATTGCAGTATCTAATTCTTAGTCCTCACATACAGTGGTCTCCCCTTATTCACGGTTTTGCTTTCTGTGGTTTCAGTTAACCATGGTCAACTGTGGTCCAAAAATATTAACTATAAAATTCCAGAAATAAACAATGTATAAATTTTAAATTGCACACCGTCCTAAGTAGCATGATGGAATCTCATGCTGTCTCGCTCCATTGTGAGGAAGTGAATCATCCCTTTGTCCAGCATATGCACTGTAGATGCTCCCTGTCCATTCATCACTTAATCATTATCTCAGTTATCAGATCAACTGTCATGGTATCATGGTGCTTGTGTTCAAGGAACCCTTGTTTTACTTAATAATGGCCCCAGCACAAGAGTAGTAATGCTGGCATAGTGTTATAATTGCTCTATTTTATCATTAGCTATCATTGTCAATATCTTACTCTGCCTAATTTATAAATTAAACTTTTTCATAGGTATGCATGTGTAGGAGAAACATAGTACTGTTTGGTTTCAGGCATCCACTGGGGATCTTGAAGCATCTGTCCTGCGGATAACCAGGGACTTCTATACTATGTGTTGAGTACTGTGCTGAATACCATATGGGAATTGTCTAATTTTATTGCTCTAAGATTCTTCTTAGGTGGATATTATGAGCATTCCACCTTTGCATGTGAGATGCAAAGAAGTTATTGTTCTGTCAGTTATGCAAGGTTGCACAGACAGTAAGTGGCAGAGGCAGAATTCAAACTCCCAGATCTGAGTTCATAACTATTTCCAAATACTGTCTCCTTCACATTACAATGATATCTTCAGAAACTCTACTGCATCCTGGTTATTACTTTATATTGAAAACTGTATACCTCTAACCCAGTGATGCGTCACCATTTTTGGACCCCTCTTCAGAGAAAAATACACACACACACACACACACACTTGGTTGCATTCATACATGTATATATGTGCATATGTGTAATTTTTTCTTTTTAATTTCAGAGGTTTTAAGGATCCCAAGTTGAGGACACCTAACCTACAGGGAAAACTCATTTGAACTTGGAGTCTAGTTGCTGTTTACTTCCTTATGAGGGCACTAATTCTTGCTGATATTAACAAACCCTTTCAAGTATTTCCAGTGTAGCAGAGTCAAACTTCAAACCTGGCTGTTGGTCTAATATATAACAAGACTAGTAACCATTTATTTATTACGTGTACCTAACTCTTAGGGTTGACAGTGGGTATACACACTGGTGAAGTCCTACTGGTTATACGCAGTGGGCATCTGTAATGATTTGGTCAGGGGTGAATATCATGCCTGCTAACAACTTTTTGAGGTAGGTGATGTTACATATTATGCCCGTTGTTCAAATGAGAATCCTCAGGCTCAGAGCACTTCCTCAATAGCTTACATGTGGCAGATGCCTGTCAATCTAATTTCAAATCTGCTCTGATCTACTTTCCTATCCCGGCTTTGAATGTACCTTTCCTTCCAAATCTGTTACAGGTTCTGCATTACATCACATTGCTTTCTCTTTCTCAATCTCTTTCTGTTTCTCAACCTTGGCATTATTGGCATTTTGGCTTGGATAATTCTGTTGTGGGGGCTTGTCATCTGTATTGTAAGAGCTTCCCTGTAAGCAGCATGCCTGGCCTCTACCCACTGGATGCCAGAAGCACCCTCTACCCTCCAGGTTTTGACAATCACAGATGTCTCCAGACCTTGCCAAATGTCCTCTGGTGAGCAAAAATCACTCCCTGTTGAGAACTACTGCTTTCTTGCTCTTTTGTATGCTTTCTCAGTCTCTCTCTCTCTCTCTCCATACATAGAATTATAAACGTTTATCGTTGTGTGCTCATTGTTTGCCAGAAAAAGTGTCAAGACCCTTCCATGCATTATATCAAGTCCTCAAAACATCCCACCACGTTGTTTACTTCATTTACAGATGAGGCGAGACCTGGGTATTTTGGCAGATTAGTAAGTTGCTTAGAGTCACACAGCTGCTAAGGGTGGACCACACTGGGATTTGTCTTAGCTCTGTGTGCCCTCAGGGCCCTGGGCTTTATGAGAAATGTTTTCACTGAGCTACAGAGTTGTTTAGGGCTTCAAATTAATCAGACTCTGTATATTTTCATTGTTTGGGATTTGTTCAGCTAGTAAGCTGGAAGAAAATTTTAATGAAATTGTAGGTCATGTATTTCGTTATTATTTATTTTTATTATTCTTACATTCTTGCTTTTATTGTCAATCCTTTCTCACTAAAACATCATCATCCACAAAAAAATTACCAAAACAAAATGTTGCCTTTGACCCTAATTTATGAGCATAAATATCATCTTATTGAACTTAAAACATAAAAGAGATTTCTTTCTAAGAGAACAAACTATTTCTCTAAATCATCTTCAGATAACTTTTTCAATGGGTGCTTTATGTGCTTCTTAATAGCACAGATTACTACTAAATAACTTGAACATAAAGACAATAAATTTTCTGGAAATTCTAATACGGAAGTTTTTTAACAAAATAATTTATTGTCAGCAAGCAGTATATATATATATATATTTTTAAGGGACATATATACTTTAGAGCTCTGGGGCCTTTTTGCTTTTCTCAAATTGAGTTTTAACAACAACTTCAAAATTAAAAACATGTATTAAAAGAGTAATTACCAAATAGGAAGGATGATGGAGAAGAGGGTGCAGGCTTAATTGAGCTTGACGTAGTGGGTCGTTGGGATGTAATGGTGTAAGAAAAATAGTTCTTGGTATATGTACCTGCTCAGTATCTGTACTCCTCTTCTTTGAGTTATAAAGTAGATTTTTCCCTTGGGGAATAGCCTTCTCCACCAAACACAGTATTATTGGAGCTGTCAAACACCTTGCCTTCCCCAGGCCAAGCAGTGGTCATGTGACCAAGGCAGTGCCCAAGTCCCAAACCCCACCCCCCTACCCCCACCCCACCACTCTTTTTTTTTCAGAGATTCTGAATCTTGAGTACATTGACCCAAGGATGGAAAATGGTTGTTGCTGATTCTTCCTGCTGATAGTAGCCTGAAGAACTAACTGACCATGAATTCCTGGGAGCCTGACTCCTGTTGCTTCTTTTTTTTTTTTTTTTTTTTTTTTTTTAGACAAGGTCTCTCTGTTGCCCAGGCTGGAGCACAGTGGCATGATCATGGGTCACTGTAGCCTCAACCTCCCAGACTCAAACAATTCTCCCATCTCAACCTCCCTAGTAACTGGGACTACAGGTGGGTGCCACTACGCCCAGCTAAATTTTTGTAGAGACTGGGTTTTGCCATGGTGTCCAGGCTCGTCTCAAACTCCTGGGCTCAAGTGATCCCTCTGCCTCGGCCTCCCAAAGTGCTAAGATTACAGGTGTGAACCACTGCCCCCAGCCTCCTGTTGGTTCTAAGCTTCATTTAGTTTTACTTTGATTTTTAGGCACTATTCTGTATACTTGCAGTAGATCTCTTTTCTATTTTGCTAACGTTAGGCAGGATGATCTGCGTTGCTTGACCCCAAAGAACCTTAACTAATACGTTGATTTGATGTTAATAGTGGTGATGATGAGGACGAGTAGGAGGAGGACAACAATAGTAACAGCAGCTGACATAGATTGATTATCTAATTTAATCTTATGAGGTAGATATTGATATATGCTCCCATTTTACAGATGAAGAAGACTTAGGAAGGTTACGTGTCTTGCCTTCTTAGATTAATAAGAGGCAAATCCAGGATTGGAATCCAAGTATGTTTTGAGAGCCCAAACTCCTAATTGCTTCACTGATTGGCATGTAGGGAGGATGTACCAAAAGCATACATTCATGTTAGGTCTATTTTTTACTTAATACCTTATTTTTTTATCGCAAGAGTGGGACCATTTCTCTTCCATGTGTTCCTTGATACAAAACCAGCTGCAAAATGTTAAGTGCATATTTTTTCTTGTCTTTATGTGGTAAATTAGAATAATTATTGTTAGTTAAGGGATGTGAACGAGATGTCTTTATCAACCACGAAGTTAAATGGAGTTTCTGTTTTTAAACCACAGAAGATAATGCTGTCTTGACAGATTGTGAGTGACAGAAAGAAAAGTGTTTCCAGCAGGATCCAAATGGAGATGTTGCAGGAGAAAGCATAAACAGCAGAATCAGAAAGCTCTGGGGGTTTTGTATGGAGTGATGTCATCAATTTTTACTCTTTTGGTGCCTGACAATAAAATAACTTGGTACCTTCAAATTTTTCCTATTGATTTTAACAAGGGTGACAAAAAAGGGGAAAAACGTTATTTTTGTTTATCTTTAGACAGTCCTTAGATATAATTCTAAACATATATCATCCCTTTCCCTCTTGTGATTGTTGATGCCTCTATCTATTTGTTCATATCCTTCTCTCTTTATCTCTACACACACACATTCACAGCCACACATGCATATGTACTTTTTCTCCCAAACACAGCCGCCCAGTAAAATTGACACCCACTGGGAGGCCCATGGCATTTGGAATTTGGCCCATTGACTCCGTGGTGAATTTGGATAAACATCTCTAAAGCAAAGCTCTCTCTTTTTTCATGTAATATAAATCCCTGTGAGACTAGAAATCCGTTCAAATTCTATATCATTTCAGACCATCCCTACAAAGGCAGAAGCCTTGGGGAAAATCCTCTTGGGAGGTGCTCCACTCCTTGCATACACAGTTGAAATATGGATAAAATGAACAACAAAAGCAACTTTCATAACAATCCTTGGTCATAAACATGGGTTCTTGGAATTTTGAAAATGTCTTAAGAATCACCTATTCAAATGATTCTCACACTTTGAGACTGGTACAATTTCCCCCCTAAAACAAAGGGCTGACTTTACTTTGTCACCTTGAAGTTTTGCCCCAAAAAAGGGCATGAATGAAGAAAACTATCATTCACTATTTTGGGGGGCTATTTTGATACTAAAAGGATGAAAGGCATAATCTTGGAATTAAAATAATTAAATATATATTTAGCTTTATAAAAACCTCTTTGATTTTGGCATTTCACCACGAGTGAATGAAAACTTCATCATGTATTGGCATGCGCTTGTTGATTGGCTTTTAGGAACCACTGATTCAGATCAATCTTATCTGATGCTTGCTTCTCTAAAGATTTCTGCGAAGGGAATATTCCATTTATACTTGAATACCTACAGATAAGTGGAACTCATTATTTATAAAAACAGTCTATTCTGTCTTTGGATAACACTGTTGAAAGATTTTTCTTATGTCAAATTGAAATCTCTCTTCTTATAGTTTCTACTCTTTGGTTATGGGGGGATAATTTGGGGCTGAATAGAATAAAACTTAGTCTCTTTACACACAATGAGTCTTTGAAATGACAACTGCTATCCTAGTCCCCCTTTTCATCTCTCCTTGCCCCAGAGTTCAAGTCTTCTGTAAATAGGCTCAATCCCTTTAACTATTTCTTTTATGTGTTTCAAACAAATATTTACAATTGTATTCAATTTTTTTTTACTGAAGTATACATGCTACAACATGGATGAGCATTAAAAACATGCTAAGTACAATAAGCCATTACAAAAAAGGTCACCTATTAGAAGATTCCATTTATATGAAATGCCTGAATGGGCAAATCCATAGAGATTGAAAGCAGATGAGTAGCTGCCAGGCACTGGAGGAAGAAGGAATCGGGGAATGTATGCTTAATGGGTATAGGATTTCCCTTGGAGGTGATGAAATGTTTTAGACCTAGATACAGGTAGTTGTTCCACAACATTGTGAATGTACTTAATGCCACAAAACTGTACACTTAAAAATGGTTAAAATAGTAAATTTTACGTTACGGATATCTTACCACAGTATGTATATATTGAGCTGGGAATGGACCTGGTAGTCTGACACAAGAGCCTTCTCACCCCACTTTGGATGCCCTATGCCAGTTTTCCAAATGTTGAATAAATTTTTTTCCCTGCTCAAAAAAAGTCTGAGTACCACTGGTTCAGTAAATATTCCCAGTAGGAGACACTGATGTAATAATAGGCTAAGGGAATATATACTGATGTCAGTAATTCCATGGGAATCATTTCTACCTCCATCCTAATCTTCTTTTTCTTCCTCTTTTGTTGATATTCCCCAATGTCCATGACTCTCAACCATTTCCCACACTTGCAGTACTTCACAGATGACTACTTATTTCGGTTTTTTCCAGCGCAGCCATACTTGCAGTTTTCATGGTGTCTTTTTGGTAGGTACAACAGCATAAGATAATGTTCAAGTAGAATGCATTCACTGTATTTTGTAGTTCTTCCCAGCATTTTGGGTCACTAAAAATTCGTGTTAGAGAAGTAGAAAGGAATTGTGAAATCAAAGATAGTAGTCCCATTTTGGATACCTGCATAATATGAAAATTTTCTTGGCATTGGTGAATATTAATATTTTATACTCCCTCATAAGGTTCCTTCATTGGCTCCTGTTGGAGCACAGTTTCCAATATATTTTCTCCCAGATTTTGATGACTTGCCTTGCAAAATTTTTTGAAGTTTACATCTATACTTTAAAAATTTCACAAAGGCTCTTTATCTTCATAGAAAGCAAGGGATTCAGCTTCGATTTGCTAAATTGGCTGTACAAGGTAGCATGTTGTTATTCTATTTAGAGGACTTGAAAGCAGACTCACTGATTCAATTATATTTAATTTGTAATTAGCTCCCTCCCAAGCAGCTAATGGTGCATAACTTGGTCACTGCTATTCTGGATGGGCAAATAGTAGAACAAAATGACTTCTTTTAGAGAGAGCCCATCTTAGACAGAGTCCCTTCTATTATAGTAATATTTCTTGGGATGACCTTCCAGTTCTAAAACAAAACTCTTTTCTGGGCAGTGTCCCCTGATCCACAGAGGTGGGCTCCCAGCAGCTGAGACCATAATGTTTGACTTTTTAACTTGAGGGCAGAGATGAGTGATCTAGGGCTAGGTATCTGATTATGCCAATCAGATTCTCTCTTCTAAGAATTTTGAATTTTGAATTGAAAGCAAAAAGTAGTTATTAATGGTATTTTAGTCATTCAAATAGCAGTGCTCTAGAGGGAGGTCTCTAAGATCCGGCCTCTCAGTTCTCTGAAGCTACCTTGATTTCCTTCTTCACAAAGCTTGGGTTTTCATTCTCCTTTCAATTTTGTGAGATACTGTAGTATTCTTTTCATTTTTCTTATTTTTGAATAGACTTGCTAGGGCTGGCCTATATTTCTTGCCACCAAACTTACCTAGTACAGAAATCAAAGAAATGAAGTCTCTACCAAATCTACCAATGCAAGTGATAAAGGCTGTATCTACTTGGTGGAAATGAATTACAACATGTAATTTTGTGCGTATGTGTGTGTGTACATCTGTGTGTGTTTGATTGAATTACTTAGCATTTTACCAGATGCTCCAGAGCCTTATTGTTTTTGTCATCATTATCATCATGAGCATCATTGTCAGTCATCACAATAGCTCTTGTTTATGGAACACTTTTTATGACTCAGCACTGTATTAAGCACTTTGCATACAAAATAACATTTATTTTATAATTACAACAATATTATCGAATGGATTCTACCATTATCCCCATTTTATAGTTTAGGAAGTTGAGGCTGAGAACCTTGCTGGAAGTTATACATCTGGAAAGTGATGTAGCGGTGATTTAGGTTTGTCACACTCCAGAGAAAGATTATATACTCTTAAGATCTGTATAATAATATACAAAAGTGGTCCCCAAAGGTGTTACATATTCTTAGTTTGTTGTTCTCTTTATGTTGGATGTGGAAGTGGGATAGAGATAACATTGTGGCTTTTGGAAAGTTCAAACTCTATTTCTGTTGGCTTAATTTCATTATCATTTCTTTCATGTATAGAATATTGTTTGTGGGGAATCAGGCAGGAGAGACACAAGATTAGATAAATTGTCTTGAGAAGGCCTCTTTGAAGAGGTGACATTGAAACTGAGATGGATTGACAAAAGTGAGGCAGGCATGTGAAGATCAGGGACAGGGTGTTCCAGGGAGAGGGAAGAACAAATGCAAAAGCACTGATTTGGGAATTAACCCAATGGGATTAGAAGAACAGAAAGTAGATACATATGGTGGGAGAGGAGTGAACAAGGGAGTGAGTGGTAGGAGATGATGGAGGGAAAGGCTATGTCTGTATCACTAGAATCTTATAGGACATAGTACAGAATATGGAGTTTTTATCAGCACATTAGCAAATTCAAGGAGGAAGAATAATATGATTTAGTTTATATGATGACTTTATTTAGTTATAGGATGAATTTCTGCTTCTGGTAATGATAGGGTAGCTAATAATCCACCAAGAGAATAACTAGAAAAGCCAGCCAAAATAAAGAGAAGATATTTGTTTGAAGGTATTGAAGGGCTACCAAGGCATCCAGGACTTGAGGGGTCAGAACCCTGGAGGGAGGAGGTGCATTGAAGTGACTTCAACATTCTCATTCTTTTTCTTTTTGAAGCATTTGTTGATTTGTAAATGACAAAGACCTGAAAAGCTTAAAAGTCCAATAGAAAGCAGCAGCTAAAGAGATGGGGAAGAGATTTTGGAGGTCTCAAGAATGCAAAAATCCTAAACAAAGCAATAGCAGACTGAACAATATAGAAAAACAATATATGTCATGACAAAGTTGTATTTATTATAGATATGAGTGGTAAGGTAATGTTCAAAAATCAAATGATGTAATAACAGAAAAGGAGAAAAGCCATATGATAAAATTCAACATCTAATCCTGATAAGAACTTTTAACAAACTAGGACTATAAGTAAACATCCTTAATAAAGACTCTCTATATATTTTTTAAAAACTACAGCAAATATCATACTTAAGTGAAACATTGAGAGCCTTGCCCTAAGATTAGGTCTGAGAAAAGGGTGACTGTTCTCACCACTGCTGTTCAGCATTGTACTGGAAGTCCTGGTGAATGTAGAGAGACAGAAAAAAAAGATATGAGCATTTGAAAGGAAACAATAAAATTCTTTTATTTGCAGAACATATAATTATGTAAATTTAACAAATGAATTTAGCAAGGATGCTAGATACAAAGTCAGTATAAAACATCAATTGTATTTCTACGTACCAGAACAAAGAATTACAAAATGAAATTTTAAAAAGATACCATTTAAAATGAATCCAGCAACATATAAAAAGGGTTATAAACTATGAACAAATTGTTTTTCCAAAGAAGGTGAGGTGGAACAATTGCATGTCTTTATCCAAAAATTAGCCTGTACTGTATACAAAGTTAACTTGGAATGGATTACAGACCAAAATATAAGCTTTAAAACTATAAAACTTCTAGATGAAAACATACAGGAAAGGTTTTATGACTTTATATTAGTCAAATATTTCTTAGATATAACACCAAAATCAAGATTTCCTAAAAGAAAAAAACACTGATAAATTGAACTTCATAACATTTTAAAACGTGAGTTATTTAAGGACACTATTAAGAAAATAAAAAGACAAACCACAGAATGGGATGAGATATTTGCAAATCATATCTGATAAAGCATTTAATATCAAGAATATATAAAGAATTCTTATGTCGGTAATAAGAAAACAAACCAAAGCATATACATTAATGGCAAATAATCACATGAAAAATGCTTATCATCACCAGGAAAATGCAAATTTAAAGGAGAGGAATAGTATGAAATATTATTATATACCACATTGAAATACCAATTTATACCCACTAGGATGGCTAAAGTAAAAAAGGCAATAAGAAGTGCTGGTGAAGATATGGAGAAACTGTAACCTTTAAATAAAGCTATTAGGAATGTGAATGGTACAGCTACTTTGGAAAACAATTTGGCACTTTTTGAAAAGGTTAAACATGTACTTACCATAAGACTTAGCAATTCCACTTCAAGGTCTTGAAATGAAAACTTGTGGAGAAATGAAATGTATGTCTACATTTATAGCAATGTTGTTTGTAATGGTCCCAAGCTATTATAGAAGCAATCTAGGTATCTATCAATTGGTAAATGGGTAAGCAATAATTAGTATATTTATACAAGGGAATACTACTCAACATTGTAAAGGAATGAACAGCCCATACCTGAAATAACCTGGATATGCTTCAAAAGTATTATGTGAAGTGAAAGAATCCAGACACAAAAGAATCTATAGTGTATGATTCAATTTTTAGAAAGGGCAAAACTACAGAGATGGAAAGCAAATCAGTTGCTGCCTGGTGTGGGGAGTGGGGATTAACTGCAAAGGGCATGAGGTAACAGTTTGGATTGATAGAAGTGTTCTAAAACTATGTAGAGGTGATGGTTGTATAACTATATAAATGTATTCAAAACTCATCAAACTGTACATCTAAATAGATGAATTTCATGCTATGTAAATTTTACCTCAATAAATGTATTTAAAAAGTTACCACTTAAAATAGCTTGAAATATTAAAAACATAGGAATATATCTAACAAAAGATGTATTAGACCTCTACAGAGAAAGGTACAGAATATTACTGAAAGAAATTAAAGATGACCTAATATATGAAAGGACACAATATATCCATGAATTGGTGACTCAATAGGGTCAAGAGGTCTATTCTCTCCAAATTGATCTCTAAATTTCATGCAATTCTAATCAAAACACCATTATGCAAAAGGCAAAGAATAGGCAAGATAATTCTGAAGGGGAATCAGAACAAAGTTGGAGGACATATACTATCTATCAGCTCTTCATAAATTCATTATAAATCTACAATAATTACTATAATGTGGTATTGCACAAGGATAAGCAAATAGCAATAGATTAATGGAACAGAATGGAGTGTACAGAAATAGAGCCACTCATGTAGGGACACTTGAATTTTGAGAAAGATGACACTGTGGAGCAATGAAGAAAGGGCGATCTTTTCATTAAATAGTGCTGAATCATTTGGGTATCAGGGCAGGGAAAAATGAACCTCACATCATAAACAGAAATAAATTCCAGTTGGATTGCTGATCTGAGTGTGAGAGCTAAATCAATAAAGCATCTAGAATATAACATCATAGAATGTCTTCATGATTTTGGGATAGCCAAATATTTCTTAAACAGGACATGAAAAAACACTATCCAAGCATCATTTCATCTAATAGCCCCAAAGTGGAAACAACCCAAATGACCATCAACTGATGAATGGATAAATAAATGTGGTATATCCGTACAATGGAATATTATTAGACAAACAAGTAGAGAAGTACTCATATATGCTGCAACATGGATGAACCTTGAAAACATCATGCAAAGTGAAAGAAGCCAGTCACAAAAACAAAATAAAAAAAACACATATCATATAATTCCATTGATAAGAAATACCCAGAAAAGGCAAATCAATAAAGACAGAGAGTGGATGAGTGGTTGGTTAGAGTTTAGTGAGGGTGAAGGTGTTGGGAGGAATAGGGAGTGGCAGCTAGTAGGTATAAGGTTTCTTTTTCTTTTTGTTTTTGAGACGGAGTCTCGCTGTCGCCCAGGCTGGAGTGCAGTGGCGCGATCTCGGCTCACTGCAAGCTCCTCCTCCCAGGTTCACGCCATTCTCCTGCCTCAGCCTCCCGAGTAGCTGGGACTACAGGCGCCCGCCACTTCGCCCGGCTAATTTTTTGTATTTTTAGTAGAGACGGGGTTTCACCGTGGTAGCCAGGATGGTCTCGATCTCCTGACCTCGTGATCCGCCCGCCTCGGCCTCCCAAAGTGCTGGGATTATAGGCGTGAGCCAACGCGCCGGGCCAACGTTTCTTTCTGGGGTGATTAGAATGTTCTAAAATTGGATTGTAGTGATTGTTACACAACTCTGTGGATATACTAAAAAACTTTGAGTCACATACACTTGATTGGTGAATTGGATGGTATGTGAGTTATATCTCAATAAAACTATTTTTAAAACAATAGCAAAAAATGAAAAGATAAATATATTAGAGTACATCAAAATGGAAAGTTTATGAACTAAAGACATCACTAGCTGAGAGAAAAGGCAAGCCACAGAATGGGAGATGATAATTACAATATCTCTGGCAAAGGACTAGTATTCAGATCATATAAATATCATCTACACATCAGTAAGAAAAAGAGGTAGTCTACGGCCATACCACCCTGAATGCATCCAATCTTGTCTGATCTTGGGAGCTAAGTAGGGATGGGCCTGATTAGTACTTGGATGGGAGAAAAATAGCCCATTGGAAAAAAGGGCAATGAATTTGAACAAGCCCTTTACAAAAGAGGATAGTCACATGGCTACACAGCATATTACAAAGCTCTTATCATAATTAGTTATTAGAGACAATGAGCTACCATTGGACACTCATCTGAATGACTAAAATGAAAGAAGATTGATAATACTAAGTGTTGGCAAGGGTATGAAGCAACTGGAACTATCATACAGTGGTGTGGGATTGAAAATTAATATAATTACTTTAGAAAACTGGCAATATTTAGTGAAAAACAATTGTAGGCCCTGTGACCTTTCACTTCTACTAGATATACGCTAAAAATGTGAGAATGTTCGTAGCTCCATTATTTTTAATAGCTTTTCCAAATGGAACTCAATCTGAATGGTCATCAACATTAGAATGAATAAGTAAAAGGGTATATTCACATAATGAAATATTTATAAAGTAAAGAAAATGAATCAATTACTTCTAGTTGCAACAGCAAGGATCATTCTAACAGCAGAAGACAGATACAAAAGCATGTGCTGAATGTTACCATTCATATAAAATCCCAAACCATGTAAAACTAATCAATGTTGTTAGAGGTCAGGATAATGGTTTCCTTTGGGCTGGAGCAGGAGGAAATTAATTGGGAAGGGATATGAAATGTGCTTCTAGGATGATGATAATATTATATTTCTTGATTTGGGTAGTGTTTAAGTGGGTATGTGTGCCCTGTAAAAATTCATTCTGATTTATGCACTTTTCTCTATATCAGTTACATTTCAATAAGCACTTTTTTTTTTTGGAGAATCTATTGGAGCAATGCAAAAATGAGGGGAGCTTCCTAAAGGAAGCTGTTACAATTACCCAGGTGAGACAATTGTATGGGATTCAGGGTAGTGGTGGGTATAGAAAGAAGTTGACAGATTTGAGAGGTATTAGGTGTCTGCTCACGACTTGGTGATTGATTTAATATGGGAGTGTTAGTAGGTCGAATTGTGTGCCCTGCACAGAATAGGTTTACTTGTGTGCCCCCAAAAAGATATTTGAAGTTTGAACTCTCATTGCCTCAGAATGTGACCTTATTTGGAAATACTGTCATTACAGATGTAATTAGTTAAGATGAGGTCATACTGGAGTTAAGATGGAACCTTAATGCAATGTGAATGGTGTCCTCATAGAAGAGGAGAAAAGACACAGTGATACAGACAGATGAGGGGAGAACGTCACATGATGACAGAGGCAGAGACTGGAAATTAGGAAGAGGCAAGGAAGGATTCTACCAGAAGTCTCAGAGGGAGGAATATCTGGGTGGATGGTGCCCTGAATTGACCAAATTGAGTTTAACATGGACCATCAAACCAGAATTTGAAAATTTAATTAAAAGGCTACGATGATGGTTTTAGCAGACAGTAGAACATAATGCATCAAAGATTGGGCACTTTGAGGGAACAGTTTTTTCCTCATTCTGCTTTCAGCCAGGAATTCACCTAAATCTCCTTGACCAGTTAGGAATATAGCTTCTTTTTAAAGCATTTCAGAGAGGGCTGACAACCTCCCTTAGAATGAATTGAAAGAATGGCAGCAGGAGGGGCAGCAGGAGAGGCAGGTTGGTGTGAGTAGGTAACATGTCCCTTCTTGTTTTTTCCAAGTTGTGGGGCACAGCTGGAAGTGGAACCCTGGAGACACAGCCTCTCTATTTTATTATGCTTCGGGAAATCTGAACAAGGAAGCAGGGCTACTGCAAATTAGCTACATTTCCCTTTCTATTTCTCAATTCCAAGTACTAGGAGATTTGCTAGGGCCCATATTCTTTTAATCTTTTCTGGGCAGTGGGAGATAGATCTTTGTCAGATGCTTCTCTCCAGGCCGCCTTGAAATGAAGAAGCAGGCTTGTGAGCTGGGAGGCCACAAAGTCCTACTAAGTTTGGGTATCTGCCTCTTCCGCTTTTTGCCGTGATCCTTTGACAAGCTGACCTTCTCTGAGTTCTCTGCAGATTTCATTCAGTGGCATGCATGTGAATTGGCATGAACTTTCTCATTGTTTTTTTTTTTCCTGCTGTGGGAGCCAGGAATGTTTCCCCATTGGTGGGAAATGCCCCACTAATCCATCTCTTTCAAAGCTGTCAGGGCTCTTTTTTGGCACCGAAAGAAAAATAATTGAGTCTAATCAAGCACCTTAAATATTCAATATGATTAGAGGAAAAATGAATGGGTTTTGTAAACTCCTATTGATACTAAATTCTATTTGCAGTTAGTCTTGGACATAAATTTCAGAAAATTACATGTAAATGTACTCATTAGTGCACTATAATATCGAACATCTATTTTGTCTCTGGGCAATTTTTCTTTTCTTAGCACAAAAGCTATTTCTACTTATTAAAAATAGTAATTGATTTTCCATTTTTAAAAAACTTTTTTTTTCAGTTCCGTTTCATCTCTGCATTTTGGCTCATGCATTCCAATAGTGTTTTCCTAAGGCTGGTAAAAGAATTACATTATGCTCTAATAATTCTGAGGGCAAAGGGGAGGAAGGGCAGATTTGATGTTACTGAGGAAACTATTTTAAAACTGGAGTAGGCTCAGAAAACAGATCTCTAAATGACAACTTGAATGGCTTCATGCTAAGGATTTGATTATATTGTGCATAGTTTTACCTGAACATCTTAGATCTTATTTTGTAATTAAGTATTTTGATAAAGCTCTAACTAAATAGTACTTGAGTAAAAATATGGTTTTATTAAAAGGCTCTAAAACTTACCAAATCAGCCATTTAGATTAGTTGTAATATGAATGCTTTCTGTGTGCTTTTAAATGTTTGTTTGACTTCTATTCCAGTGTAAATTTATTTTTAAAAAATGAAATACTTTAAGAGTTTGATGATAATTTTAATTTAAAAATTTATTTATTTTAAATGACATTTATTGATATATAGGACATGTTCCATTTTCACAAATAATTTTGGGGAAAGAAATAAAAATACTTAGCAAAAAATACTTTAAATCACATATTTAAGTGTGATTTTGTAGGGAGAATATATAAGTTTGTTCATATGAGTATGGTATGTACCTGAAGGGCAAGTGAATGAACTTCTTTTTGTCACTTTATGAATCCATTTTTTTGGTTCTATTTTGTTTTCAGTGCTTAACTGAAGATAAATTGAGCACAGAGTAATTCTGGTATACATAGGTTGCATGTGTATGTGTGTGTGTGCACACGCATGTGTGCCTGTGCATGTACATGTGAAATACATCTTTCATACCATCAAATAAATTACATAGACACTAGAGATTTAGAAAGTATATACTTGTAATAAATAGGGAGGAGAAGATTTTGCATATTTTTTGGTATTATCCTATTTTTACTATTTATTTATTATGAACAGAAAAATGACATTTTTTTTGATTCGTGAAGTCCATCAAACAAAGTTCTTTGCTGAATGTGTTTCTCCTCCTAGTTTATATTCCATATTATGGCAGGTAAACAGACTGGTATCCAAATTTTTTAAATCTGCTTGCAAAAAGCCAGAAACACTATAGTGTCCTCAAAGTGAAGATGATTGTGTAGTTTGGCTTTATGGGTTTGGCAAACACAACTGGCTACTTATACTATTAGTTATTTAGTAATTAAATCTCCAGGCAGTATATTAAGACCAAGGTGGTAAAGCCTCAGCCATCAGCCTCAATTGAAATCTCAGTTGTACAACTTGCTAGCTTTTGTGACTGCAAACAACTTTTTAAACATGTCACAAGGATAAATTATGATACCTGATAGAGTTTTGAGGAGGATTTAATGCATTTAACATTTTGAGAACAATCTCTAGCACATAGTGAGAACTAAATATTAAAAAACTTAAAAAGTTGAATGTGACCATCTTTTTTTTTCTAACCTGGTCTGTGGTACCCATATTGACTTTCATGTTTTGGAAAAAGGACATAGAAGAAAATGTTCTTTAAATTGTATTCATATATGAAAATTATATTTAAAAAACACAGATTCATAGAATGCTCATTAAAGAAATCAGTGGATTACAAAACTTTTCCTGGGTACAGCTGTATCACTTTTCATTGTTAATAAAGTATCTGAATGTGAGTGAATTATTAATATTGTTCAGATTATATAAAAAGCGGTAGGTGGTACTTTTAGCCTTTATGATCACTATTATTGGTTTAAAGTCAGGTCATTGTGGCACTTGCAATTCAGCTTCAAGAACTATTTGCTGATAATATTATTGGAGAAAGCAAGATGTATAGTAATACATAAGCAATGATCAGTCTTTAAACTGACTAGACCATGATGTCATTCCAATTTCTGCATGGGTAGATGAAAGCAGGGAATGGGGAGGTGGAAGTGATGGATGAAGCATTGGTTGCTTAATAGAAATAATGACTATCGGGTGCCTGTGTAATGTTTTCCACTCGTTCTTCCTAGAAGCCACAGAGAGAATGGGTAAGGCCCCCCTTTTTTGGTAGCAAAGAAAAAGAAAACTCCAGAGACTCAGTGGAAAATGTGCCACAGAGTAGGAACGACTAATACCCTGTCTATTGTTTATCCCCCTGAGACTTCCTGCCTCTCTTGTTAGAGCGATGGGTGAATAAAAATTAATTAGAAGCTGGAATCTGATTTTAAGACGGGATGTCAGACACATATATCAAGTTGTTAGGTTAGCTGGAAAGCATAACCTGGGATTTATATATTTAGAAGTCATAATAAATCTGTCTGTCATGAAAATCAGATTACCCAGTGTTGCATGCTAATGGCTATAGTCCCATGGAATTGTGGTCTCCCCAGCAACTGCCCGCTGGCCCTGCCTTTTTCTGCTTTGCTGTCTGCTTTAACTAACCACCGCTCTCCCCAGTTAGCAAAGTGCCTACTTAAAGAAATACATCTGGACCTTTATAAAGAGGTGTTTTCCGTGGGCTATTGTGGCAGCCTCCTATGGCTCTCCTTGACTCTATTTCTTCAACAGTCAGTCAGTGCATCAATCATTCAATTCACTAATGTAATAATTATTTCCAGGATATTTATTGAGTAGTTGCTATGTGCCGGGCTGTTTGCAACATGCTAGGAATCAACAAAGATAGTGCCTGCTCACATGGAAGCCAGTGATGGTGGAGAGAGATAAGAAAAACACACTATGAGATGGGTGAAGTGTGGGATGTAAGGAACTCAGACTTAGGGACTTTGAAAAAGGCTTTCCAGATGCCAGTATCTTTTGAGCTGAGAGTTCTTAGCTGAGTGGTGGGAATTAGACCACTGGAGAGTTTCTTGGGATCTTACAAACTAGGTGTAAACACTTAGGATTCTTCTAAGATCAGTGGGGAGGAAGTAGGGGTGATACATTCCCACTTTGCTAAAAGCTGTCAGATTACTGCATTCTACTGGCATGGCTGTTTTTTTTTGTTTGTTTGTTTGTTTGTTTTTTTTAATAATTGACTTGAAGGCTTTGTGCAAAGTGGTGCCAAATTACCTTTTTGACTTTAGTTCTCACTCTAATTTCTCGCCTTTCCTGTGCTCTAAGTATGCTTGAACTCTATTACCCAAATATTTTGTGGGCTTCTATGCTTCCATTCCTGTGTTTACCCTGAGCCATAGCTCCTGTCACTTCATTTCTCACTAGTATATACTTCATACATTCTTCCAAGTCCAATTCAATGACACTGCACTTGGGGGCTTTCGTTGATTTATCTTAGGCAGAATTAATTCTACCTTAAGTTTGTACTTCCTTAAGTGGGATTTTCTTCATTTATCCTTCCATCAAACAAATGTTTGTTGGTTCAAGATTGTGTTTCAGGTATGTGGCAATGATCAACAAACTGAAGTATCTGACTTCATGGAGTTTATTTAAATAATAAACACATTTAGCCTCATTCATCCTGCCTGTAAGTTTGGTTAGGTATTTACACACCTGTCTCCTTGACTTACTTGTCAGATGCACAAGGATGAATACTATGTTCCTTGTATGTGCATAATAAACTTGTTTTTAATTAAATGAATGAAGAACCAAAAGAAACAGGATGAATATTTGCAGAGAGATTTGGCCTGATACTTTGTATTTCAGTGTAAGGAAAATGTATTGATTTTGGAGTCACATTGTTGCAAGTTCAAACCATTCCTCTACCTCTTAACACCTGTGTGGTCTTGGATAAATCACTTAACCTCTCTGATCCCACTGTTCTTCTATTCTGTATATTTCTAGCTCATGGTATTGTGGAAATTAGAAACAATATACACAAGATGTTTATTTCTGTGCTAGAGACATATTAAAGACTCAATAAGTAATTCATCTTTTATGTATTGTATTCTTTTCAACAGACTTCCCATATAAAAATAGGGTGAAAGTTTTGTAGCCTATTTGTCCTTAGAAACATACAATTTGACAGACTGAGGCATGCATGGTCCGTTCAGCATTCACCATCTTGGTCCTAAAAGAGTCCTCAAGAGACATGTCATGGATGGATCTCACTTTTCCTTTTGTCTCTGGATTGGAAAGCTTTCGTTCTTTTACCAGCCCTTATAGCTCTGTCTTTCACACCCTGACCTAAGCTATTATGAAAGACTATTATATTTTCTACCAGTACCACCTCTTGGGGCTGATGAATTCTGGAGGCTTATTTTCTCTATGGGGAAGTGCTTTGCAAATTCAAAAGGGTTTAAGGGTCTCCCCTCTGCATCGCTTGTTTTTGGCATGCCTCCATCGTAGCTGGTAGGGGTTGATATCGCAGATTATCTGTTGGCCTGGTGTGCAGAGAACAGGTAGTGTTTAAATCTCAGATCTTTCATCTGCTACCTTTATAACCTTAGGTAATCATTTAGTCTATAGCTTACTTCCCTTCTCTGTAAAATGAAGATATTAGTAACTTGGTCATAGGGCACTTATGAGGGATTAAACGAATAATAATGTAAAGTGCTCAACACAATTCTTACCACATTGGAAGCACTCAGTAAAGGACAGCTGTTATTAAGCTATTGTATTATTGCTGTTTGTATTTATAATCATTATTATTTTCATTAGAGTGTTTGTCTAGTTCCTTGTTAGACTCAAAACTTGGTAATAGGAAAACCATGTCTTTAAATGTTTATATCCCTAGAGATGTCTGACACATAGAAGGCAGTGAACGAATACTTATTTAATGGATAAATGAACAAAAATATAAAGTATTATTTATTATTTATTATCAAAATGTATTAAAATGTATATGGAGTGCTTTCTACACAGTGGGAAATTAATACACACTTATTCCTTTCCTGACTCTACTTAACTTTCCCTAGTTATATCAAAAGGTTTTTCTGGGTTCTCAATCTCAGTGAAAAGGATTGTTTGTGTTCTCCTCACCTTTTCTGGTTCTATAAAGGGTTTTATCTTTTTTTAATTTTGTTTCTATGCAATGGTCTTCCTAATCTTCCATCATTTCTGACTTGTTGGGTGCTAATGATTTTAATTCTTTGTGTTACTAAAAAGCTGTTTCTGAGTGAATTCCCTATAAGTGTAGATGCCATGAAATAGTATTTTCTGGGTAGGTGTGTATGTGCATGTATGTTTATTCTTTTTAATAAAACAAACATCCCTTATAGTACTCCCCCCTGCCACCACCCTCTTCTTGCAGGAGGAGAGAGATTGTTAAACCAATGGGCAGTGAGGGTCTGCAGCTCCAGATGCGACACAAGGTTGATGCAGAAGCTCCCACTGAGAATGTCTGGATGACTTTGGGAAGTGAAGGCATCTTCCTGTTGTGCCTATTTTTCCCAAAAGGAGTTTAGCCAGGGGCTAAGACATTTTTTGGTAGAACATTGAAACCTGCTTTGTTCTTTCTAGCCGTCAATTCCGTGCTTGCCATTTGTTGTTTTTCTTACAAGTGCAGTGCTTTCTTTTCCCTTTCTCAGCTTGACAGCTTTTGTCTGAGACTGAACCTAGCTTGGCTTTTCCATGTGTCTGGTATCCTTTACACAGAACGTTTAACTTGATGCTTTTCACAAAGGTTCACACACTCAATGCTCTTGGATGCCAGCTGGGAGGATTCTGTTATGGGGTAAAGGGGGTTAAGTAAGAAATTATTTACTTCTATAAGGAATTACAGCCTTTTCATTTTCTAAAACACTCAGTCCTCTTAACCCATCTTTATTTTCCCCATTTATGATCAAGGCTCACCAAAATGAATATTTGTCTTTGATCATTACTTAGGAAAAATAACAATACTATTAAGAAGAAGAGAGGTAATTGACATTAGGCCTCAGAGACAAGGAGACTGTAGGAGTGATACAATTGAGGCAAAGGATAAGAGCAGCCTCAACTCAGCCCCAGCCATTTGTTATCTTGTAGGAGTGTGGTGCCGGTAGGGTCAGAGCTTCCAGCATTTTCTGTGAAATCTCTCGATTTACAAATGTTGAAAATAATTTTAAAATGTTAAAACACAAAGTCAACCATTACTGTATGGTCCAAATGAAACAGAGCAATGGGTCAGATTTGGCTCATGGGTCACCAGTGTTCAACCTCTGCCGTAATGCAGTAGGTGCACAATTTGTATTTTTAGATATTCTTGCATACTCTTTTAGTTCTGAACAAAAAACAAGATTACAGTTAGAGATGTCTCATTTCTAAAAATCACTCGAATACCCTCTCAAAAAGAGAAGACTGTGATATTCTCTTCCGAGTGAGTTTATAGCAAAACTCTGAAGGATTCTATAAGATAAATGGGTTAGTTGTTTTTCACTTAGTACTGAAGGCTTAAGGGGTTTTTTGTGTTCTTCCTCTTGTTTTCCATTTGGCATGTGCTGCTTATGCTTTAAAAAAAATTAAACTGACATGCAGTGGAAAAAGTTACTGGAGCCTGAAAGTTGGTTAATATCAATTACATTCTCGTGTCTAATAACCCATGCCTGGGAAATGCAACTTGTTTGTTATAAATACCCAATGCCAAATCAAGAATAAACCGCTGCTTTGTTTTAGTCTGTATTTACAGCATCATTTTAACTACTTTGACCCTATTCAAGGAGGTAATGAAGAGCTGGGTGCCAGTGATGTTGATAAACTGTGGCAATTTCTGCATTGTGTCCTTATAGCTGCCTCTGCTTCAGCCTCTATTATTTAAATTGCTAGTCATTACAGTCATGCCATTAACTGGAAATGCCGCAAGATGACACATAGGAATAGGGCCAGCAGGACACTGTTAGCCCTTCTTACTGAGTGCAACATTCTGGGATGGCTAGCAATAGTTATAAAAGGAAAATGCACAAACCCAACTCCTAAAGCTTGAATACTCACGAATTCTTTGCAGTGCTGGTAGGGTGATTTTTGAATTCCCACTTGTCCATATTTTTTAGACCTTAGACCCAAATCACAAATAATATTCCAGGCTTTAAAACATATATTTTATTTTTCACTAAAATTTAAAATATCTAAGCATAGCTCAGGCTGGCTTATTCTTCTCCATCAGGATCAGACGCAGAAGAATATGGGAAGAGGAGGTTGTTCAGCCTGGGATGTGGAATCAAACAAAGTAATTGTCCAGTCACTTGACTCTTATGAATACCATTTTTAGAAAAGTGCACACTTTATTACTATAGGGCCCCTATAGGCCAAGAAGCCTGTCAGTCTCCATTACTTGATTAAGACTCACAGTTAAGGTAGTCCATGCATACAAGTAGCAAATGATTTCTTTTGATCTAACAGCATACACTCCATCCATCCTGATCTATCTAGGGAACCTCTTACAAAAGCAGGGCCTCTGGCTAGTTGTTCAAGACCTACAGGGAGGAGGGATTGGAAGAGGTCTTTGTTGTTCAAGATTTTGTTTTTTTTAGAAGGCCTCGAATTTTTAGCAAGATATAATCCATTACAGCACATGTCTTTCCTTGGAAAACTTTGTCTTTGTCCATAGTTTTTGGGGGCCTTTATAAAAAAATTAGAGAAATTGGGTCCTGTTGTGCATGTTTTAAGAGGAGGAAAAGGTGCATTTACCCCTTTCTTTCTTGTTACTTTCTCTATTAACTACATTTACAAGCCATAAACAAGTATATACTGTGTATACTAAATATGTATTTGGAAGGTGAGAGAAAGAAAAGACTTTTTTTTATTTTTTATTTGTTGAACTCTGCTCTCTGTCATGAGCTTGGCACTTTTGCTTTTTGTATCACTTACGATCCTTTCAGATAAAAGTAATAGAAATCCTAGTTCAACTGATTTAAACAAAAATTTTAAATATAAATAAAAAAAATAGGGCCATGCCAGAATTCAGCAACAACATTATCAAGTATCAAGGTTTTTTTCTGTCTTTTATTTCTCCCCTCTTTCAGGTGTTACTTTTCTTTGCAGGCTTGTCCTCTAATGGTCCAAGTTTGGCTATAGTGCATCCAGAAATCCTCAGTGTCTGAAGGCCAGAAACGGCAATGAATACTCATCCTTCTGGGTGTCCTTTGTTTTCTTAAATGTGAAGAAAACTTTTTCAGAACGACCCTGGCCTCCAACAATTGTCCCACTTGGTGATTGGCCAGAATTTCAAACCATACCCTGAAGTGATCCCTTGCAAGGGGAATGAAGTTACCATGCTTGTCCTAGTCTAGTTAAGCTTCAAGCCTTAGGTCTGAGTAGGCCCCAGCCTCTTGTCCCTGGGTATAGGTTGTGGGCAGTCAATACCTGAATAAAATCACAAAGTCAGATCCTATTAGAAAGGAAGGGGAGGGAGAAATAACTATCGGATAGGAATGCAACACTCCTCATTTAACTCTCCCAACAACTCTATCCCAAAGGTCCAGAACACCCAGAGAGAATGACCTTACCCATGGTCATAGAGCTAGAAAGTAAAGAGCTGGGATTTGAATCCAAATGTTTCTGGCTCTAAAGTCCTGGATCTTGGAAGAGACCAAATGAGGGGGCATGAGGGGTGGGACTATCTAACAGGAGAGTGATTGTGTCACTAGAATATTCCAGGGAAAATGTCAATGGGTCTGTTTAGCTCACAAATCAGTAATAAGTTATAAAAACAACATTTGCATTGAGACTATTTAGAAAATGTAGGATAACATAAGGCAAAGAATAAATATCCCCCATAACTTCACTATCTAGCCATAACCACTATTAATATTTTGGGGTATTTCATCTTTGTCTTTGTAAACACACACACCCTGCTTATACACTCAAAAATATGTACTGATCATTTTCTGTGTAGAATAATATGCCAACGTAGAAATATATATGGAAATACTTATTATAAACATATTGGAAATAGGCTGCATAGACTGTTTTATATCTTGCTGTTCCACTTAACTTTATGTCATGTACATTTTTATACATTTTCCTATAAACTAATTTTTAGGAACATTATTTTTAATGACTGCATAGCAATCCATTTTATAGATAACAAAATATATTAGAAAGGTTTCTTATTTGTTTCTCCCTATTTCTCTTTATGGGAAGTAACACTGTAAATGAGCATCCACACATGATATATCTTTAGGCACATCTTTTATTATTTCATCAGGATCAGGATACAGTCTTTGAAATAATGGGTCAGGAAATATATGTTTTAAAATTGTGAACATTCAAAGCATATTGCCAGATTGCAATCCAAGTATGTTGTATAGTCTACCTTTCCAACAACAATGTGTGAGAGTGTTTGGACTCTTTCTTCATGGCTCTTAGCTAGGAATTTTTTTTCTTTTCTTTTTCTTTTGGAGTAGATATGGAAGTTATGTATCAAGGCCCTGCATTCCACAGATAAATTATTGCTTATACCTATTTGTTATTTCTCAAGGGGATTGCTGAGTTCATTATGCTTCTTGTATTAATTGTACAAGGCAAAAATGGAACCCCATATAAGATATTGAGAAAAACCATCACAACTTGTACTGAAATCATATTTGACTTTGTATCTCTACCCAAATTGAAATAAAAACCTCCATAAGTGCTCGTGCATTGTTAAAATATTCAGACAAGTTATTTGGTTCATAAATAAATAATTTTAACTTTTATGATAATGGAGAGGACGAGAGGTGGTATGAGACTGTCTGAATATGCCAATAATTCACTCTCTTGCAGCCAAGATAAACAGCATCATGAATTAAATGATAGAACACTGGATGAGGGGCTGCACCATCGTAAGACTGGGCACTTGTTAGGGATGCATGGATCCTCAAAATATATAGCATGTCAAAGAAAATTAGTATTATGTATTTCAGGGGGTACAAAGAGAGATGCTCTCAAAAGGTGTCCTGGGAAGGGGCAATTAGAAATTGTTGTTTAGCAACATATTGGTTATGAAGAGAAGGAGCAGAAGGCAGGAAGCTTATGTGTACAATTCAGTTTTGCATTATCCTGGGTAGAGCCAAAGAGACTGAATTGGATTCTAATAGGTTAGAAAGACAAATGAATTAGAAGCAGCCAAGATCTGCAAATTTCCACACAAGTCTGTCCATTTCCACGGGGGTCTTTTGAGTGATTTTCACTGCCATGCCAAGTGTTTTCAGTGACCTACTCAAAACTGGAGGAGGAGACACAGTACGTTGAACATCTACCTCTTCTCTGAGCTTCATTTCCTGCTCTGGGCTCCATCCTCTGGTCCTCATCCAATTACCTCTTGCTCTGACATACCGAAGCCTGCCTTTTAATGCCAAAATTTATTCATTCTTTCACACATCAAATAGTTTATTGGCTAAATTCTGTGTACCTGGTACCATGCCAATCAAAATGGTGGTTCCTGGTCAGGAACGACGGCTCATGCCTGTAATCTCAGCACTTTGGGAAGCCGAGTTGAGTGGATCATTTGAGGTCAGGAGTTTGAGACCAGCCTGGCCAACATGGTGAAACCCCGTCTCTACTAAAAATATACACAAATTAGCCAGCCAGGCGTGCTACTCAGAAGGCTGAAGCAGGAGAATCAGCTGAACCTGCAGGCGGAGATTGCAGTGAGCCGAGATCGCACCACTGCATTCCAGCCTAGGTGAGACTCTGTCTCAAAAACAACAATGACAACAACAACAAAACCAAAATGGTGGTTCCCCATCCTGCTTATCTGATTGGCTTATCTCACTAGAGTAGTGTGCACTTAGATCTGACTGAAGCTTGATTCTCCTGCAATCTTCATTTTGAAGAGGACTTTGTTCATAATTCTTTATCATTTACCACAGTTCTTCCTGAACATATACTATGTGTGGGGCACTGTGCTAAATTCTGGGGATACGAAGAGTTTAAAATCACGCAATGCTGGTTAAGAAAGGATGCTATTCTTGAATGTGGAGTTGGTTAGTACTGCCTGCCACTCTAGATTATCTCTTCTCTTTTAATTTTTGAAATTACTTCCTTAATTTGGTTGGGCAGGAATTAAAATACAGAGAACAATACCTAGTTTACTGACTCTGGTTAGTAACTACATATGCTAATAGACTCAGGAAAACAGGGTTATCACCTACCATAACAGTCCTTAATCATGGCTACACGTTAGAATCATCTGCGAGATGTTGGGGGAAAAGCACAATGCCCAAGACATGCCCCAGAGCAATTGCTTCAGAATCACTGGGGTGTGTGACCTAGACATCAGCGCTTTTTAAAGCTCCTAAGATGATTTCAATATGCAGCCAAATTGAGAAGCACCAACCTAGAAAGTGAAGGTGCATTGAGTTACCACCTTTCCCCTTGTGGAGCAACCTTTACTCAAGCATTTTTCCAGGCAGCCCAATTCCATTATATGTGCCACGAAAAAAACCATGGCTATCATTTTCAAGAACTCTGCCCTCCTTCTTGGAGATTTAAAGCAGACATTCGTATTTTAAAGGCCTTCAGGGATCTTGCCATTAAAAAATAAAAAAGAAAAACCTGTTGAATTCTAGTAGAATTCTCTATTAATTTTGATTCAGGATTGGCTTGTGTTTTCTCCCTCTTTCTCTCAACCAAGAATTTCACTGAATATATCTGATAAATGGCCAGAGTATGCAAGAGCTGATTAATCTAGTCAGGGAGTGATTTCAGTTTTTGTTTCTCTATTCTCTGGTCCCCCTTGCTGCCTTTTTCTCATTACTTTTTGAGTAGGAAAGGGGCCCACTGAAGAGGTAAAGCTGCAGTCAACCAGTTTGTTAAAAGCTTTCATTGACTTTCCAACAATGTAAAATAAGGCTACATTGTGGAAGAGTCTTCTGGTTCTCTTATTTTCTATATTGGTGGTTCTCAAAGTGTGTTCCCTAACCACAGAATCAGAGTGAACTGACTGGTGTGGTAGGTAGAATCATGCGCCCTCCCCCCAAAGATATCTACACCCTAATCTCCAGAACCTGTGAATATACTATCTTACCTGGCAAAACAGACTTTGCATATGTGACTAAGATTACAGACCATGAGATGGGGGGATTCTCCTGAATACCTGGGTGGGCCCAGTCTAGTCAAATGAGCTCTAAAAATCAGAGAACCTTTTCAGGCTGCAATCAGAAAGATATGGCGATAGAGGAGGCAGGTGAGATTCAAAGCATGAAAAGAACCCAACCCCTCATTGCTGACTTGATGATGGAAGGAGGGGTCAACCTCCTAACAAATGTGGAAGGCCTTTAGAAATTCAGAATGATCTTCAGCTGACAGGCAATAAGGAAACAGGACTTCAGAACTGCATTCTGCCAACAACCGGAATGAGCAAGGAAACATTCTTCCTTAGAGACTGCAGAAAGGAGTCTGCTTACACCTTGATTTGAGCTTGGTGCGAGTTGTGTCAGACTTCTGACCCACAGAATAGTAAGATAATGAATTTGTGTTGTTTTAAGCCCAAAGTTTGTGTAAATTTGTTCTGGCTTTATTCGGATAGTAATACACCTGGTAAATTACTGAAATGCAAATTCTCAGGCCTCACCCTACACTTACTTAATCAGAAACTCTGAGGAGGGGGTTGTGCAGTCTATTTTAATGAATTCTCCAGGTGATTCTGATGTGCTGAAGTTTGAGAACCACCATTATACAATAATAGAATTCCCAAATATTGAGTAGGAATATAGCTGCCCAGAACAAAGACTGCATTTCTTACTTTTGTTGCAGGTGGTTATGGCCATTTGACTAAGTTCTGACCAAACAGGTTGTTCAGTAAAGGGTTAACTCAAGGCTTGGGGTGTTCAAATTCTGCAGATACCAAATAAAAGACTGGCCCTTGACCATCTCCAAAGAGATAACCTTGGAGCTTTTGAAGCACCCTAACTGAGAAAAGTGCCTTTGAATACCTGAAACTGTGGGTCTTGCCAGATAGTTTATACTGACAATGTGATTGTTGGTGAATGCTGTTTCTGTTCACCTGAAGCCCTGGGCTATGTTGTATCAATTTGACCTCTGGGGGGACTGGAGACTGGGTAATTAAGGTCATTCGTGTGGGAAGTCCATGTCTATGTGGCTGACCCCCAATAAAAATCATGGACACCAAGGCTCAGGTGAGCTTCTTGGGTTGGCAATACTTTATACATGTTGTCATACATAGTTGCTGGGACAATTAAGAACCAGCTGTGTGATTTTACTGGTAGAGGACACTGTAAACTTGTGCCTGTTTTCTCCTGGATTCTTTCCTATATACCTTTTTACTTTGCTGATTTTAATCTGTGTCCTTTCTCTGTAACAAACCATCACCATGAGTACATAGTTTTTCTGGGTTCTGGGAGTCTTTTAGTGAATCATTGAGTCTAAGGATTGTCTTGGGGACTCCTGATGCATAGAGATAATAAGAAACTTTATGAGCAACTTTCTGGACATTTTCTTGTAGCAGGTGCACAGTGCCACATTCCCTATCCCCACCTAATTTCATTGCAGCTGTGGCAGATGCTGTCATGTGCTGCCAGGGTCCTCAAGTTCTGCTGTGCTGTACATCTACTATTCTGGTTTAGGCCTTACTCAAAACCAAAAGAAGGCTTCCCAGCCCACGCACAAGCATAGCCGGGGAAGTAACAGCACTACAGGCAATGCTTAACCAATTGGTGGGTTGCCACAGCCTTCTATCAGATGGACAGTTGTGGGTACATTCCACACAGCTCCTCACATAGCACCCCAGGTGTTGATAACACATGCTGTTTCCTTTTTCCTTCCAGTGTTTACTGTCTCATCTCTTTCTTTCAAATTTTCTGAGATCACCATCCAAATAATCTACCCAAACCTATGCCCTTGGTCCTTGTCTTAGGCTTTGCTTTCAGGGGTACACTAACTAGGAGAATTCTTAAAGAGAAGATGCATTACAGCTTCCTCCTTGCTGCCAACTGGGGTGCAGACATAACGGCTCATTAATACTTTTTGCTGTTTTCTTGTTTGTTTGTTTTTGTTTTTTTGAGACAGAGCTTTGCTCTTCTTGCCCAGGCTGGAGTCAAATGGCACAATCTCTGCTCACTGCAACCTTTGCCTCCTAGGTTCAAGCAATTCTCCTGCCTCAGCTTCCTGAGTAGCTGGGACTACAGGTGTATGTCACTACGCAAGGCTAATTTTTTGTATTTTTAGTAGAGATGGGGTTTCACTATGTTGGTCAGACTGGTTTCAAACTCCTGACCTCAGATGATCCACCCACCTTGGCCTCCCAAAGTGCTGAGGTTATAGGTGTGAGCCACCATGCCCGGCCTTTTTGGCTATGTTAAGAAGATGAATGCTGTGTTTTGAATGTGTCCCCCAGAGTTTATGTTTTGGAAACTTAATTCCTCAATGCAACAGTGTTGAGAAGTGGGTTGTTTAAGAGGTGATTAGGGCATGGGGGATCTACCCCCGTGAATAAATTAATGTCATTATTATGTTAATGGGTTCACTATTGCAAGAGTGGGTTTGTTATCCAAGTGAGTTTAGTCACTTCTTGCTCCTTTGCGTGCTGTTTCTCATCATGTGGTGCCTTATTACATGTGTAACACAGCAAGAAGTCTTTCACAAGATGTGGGCCCTTGATCTTGGGCTTCCCAGACTCCAGAATTGTAAGCTAATAAATCTCTGTTGTTTATAAATTACCTAGTCTCAGGTCCTGTTATAGCGGCACAAAGCAGACTAAGACAGTCACCCTCTAGGAATGGAGATACAGTAAGTTGAAGGCATCTAGGTCTGTAATGGGTCTGTAGAACTGCCATGTCAGCACTAGACTACTGATCTCCAAACTTGTTAAATGAGAGAATAAAAGCTTGTATATTCAAGCTTCCGTTCATTTTTTTTTTTTTTTGAGGTGGGAGGTAGTGAAAGAGTGGTTCACATTCAACTTAACCTTTTTCTGACTAGTACAGCAACTAATGGCTACATGGAGAGTTTGATTTATTGTCAAGTTGAAATTAAGTTGTCCCTGATGTTTATCATCACAATGATTAAGGGTTGACTGCCTGAGGGACAAGCATGTTAGTTTTGGGGAAGCGCAGTAGACTGAGAGTCCAGCAACTTGGATTCAGTGTTCACCCCTAAGCAGCTGTGCCATTTAATTTCTCTTGGATTGGACCTTCTTGATCTCAGGGTCACTTTTGATTTTTATATTCCATGATTCTATGATTTAAAGTATTATGAAATTCACATGCAAAAACAAAACACTTAGATCATTATGAAATGTAAATGTGAACACACCATCTATATTTGCATTTTGAGATTTCCTTTCTAATAGAATGATGAGCACATCTTAGCCTGTGTGTGTATGTGTGTGTGTGTGTGTGTGTGTGTGTTGAAAATGACTCGTGAGATAGAAGCCCCTTGAGACATTATTAAAGTTGATCACATTACTCACTGTGAAAACTCAAACTTTCCTTGAATATTGGAAGCTGTTTACAAAACTCTGTTTACCTGACAGTGATTCTTCAGGCTAATAGGAATCTTCATGTGTCTTTTTTTTGTTTGCCTGGATGGTACCCAATCAGTCTATATAATAAGACAGGCCAAAGGACAGGGAATTATGCCCCAGGACACTCTCTGCTCTGTCATTTGGATTTGCATGCAGAAATCATAATTTATGGTGTGATCAAGAATGATATAAGTTGGCAGTATAATGAGCTTGGGATGTTGGATAGCCCAGATGTACACCATGACCTTTGCTGGATGGAAGTGTTAGACTTGGGCACATGCATATCAGTTGTGGGTAAAGACTCTCCTTTGGGGAGTCAAGGGTCATGAATTTTTGTCTCTAGGCAGCATATACACAGTTGCCTGGCAACTGTGAGAGCAATTTAGTCCTTGCTATATGATCCTATGAAGGATTTCATCCATCTTGAAAAGCTAACAGCATAATTTAAATTTTTGAAGCAGCGTGTGGGCGTTCTCAAGTGGCAGAGCCTTATCTCACATCTAGTTGCACACTCTGTGTAAACTTGAAGTTTTCCTGCATGAAGGATGCTGTAAACAAAAAGCTAGAACTCTGAAGTAAGGTTGAAAGTGAGATCCTTCATTAGAATGTATTCAGTATGAAGTAACAGAACACCCAACTAATAGTACCATAAATCACAAGGAGATTTACTGTTTCCTATATAAGAAACCTCAAATTAAGTAGTCTCAGTGTTGATTTGGCTGCTAAACAAGGATCCAAGCTCCTTTCATGCTTTCATTCCACCATTGGCGGTGTATTGGCCTTAATCCTTAGACTTGTTACCTCATGCCACAAAATGGCTGCCAGAGCTTTCAACACCACAGTGTCCTGGATTAGCATTCAACACAGGATAGGAGGGAAGGGAGCAAAAAGGGCCATCTCGTGGTGGGCCTCTCTCTCTCTTTCCATTTCAGGAAAGAAAATCTTTCCTTAAAGTCTCTTAGCAGATATCTTTCGATTTCTCTTTGGCTAGAACTGAGTCACACATGCATCCCATCCCAGACCAGTCAATGTCAATGAAGTATTCAGTTACCTTCACTGGCTGAGACCAGTACGTTTCAGCCTCTTATGCTGAGAGTAAGGCCTATCTTCCCTGGACACACTACCACCTGCAGGTACCTGAGAAAGATCAAGGTATGTTAGCAAGGATGAAGGACTGATGGCTGCTGGAAAAGCACCTCACACTGCTGCTATACTTCTGTCCATGTTAATGCTTATGTGTGGAGGTCAGAGGGAACTAAGTCATCGTCAAAGTGTTTTTAAACATGACATTGAAATCATAATTTGGAAATAGAAACATTTTGCATTAAAATTGGATTTTTTTTCTTCTGTTAAAAAAATTCATAGATTTGGCAACATTTGAACCACATACACACATGAGAGTATTGCCTTCTTCCCTTGAGGCATGTGTTTCAGTTTACCACGTTCTTCACCACTCTTTCTGTCATGCACTTGGTCCTCTTTACTCATGTATGTTAACGTCCTGGCCCCCATATTCATTTGTGTTTGTGAACCTTGGTCTAGATCCTTTTTAGTGACATGCAGACATTATGAAACAGGAGTCTTACAGTCAGACTGGCCCATTATGCTCCACTGTGCCAACTGCCACCCTTCTCTTTCATCCTTCCCATACTTGGGATTGTTTTGCTCTTCTGGTATATATTTTTAAAATTTTATGCCTGTAGAAGGGAGTATAGTGCAATGGTTAAGAGCATGGCTTTTGACATAATACATAAGTGGTTTGAGCCCCGGCAGTATCACTTACGAACTTGTGGCCTTGTATTCACATCTGCAGAATTAAATAATAATGGAACCTACCCGATGTGGTTGATTTGAGAACTAGTACATGGTTCACTTAAAACTAATCTTTTTTTTTTTTGAGACAGAGTCTCGCTCTGTCGCTCAGGCTGGAGTGCAGTGGCGCGGTCTCAGCTCATTGCAAGCTCTGCCTCCCGGGTTTACACCATTCTCCTGCCTCAGCCTCCCGAGTAGCTGGGACTACAGGCACCCACCACACCCGGCTAATTTTTTGTATTTTTAGTAGAGACCAGGTTTCACCATATTAGCCAGGATGGTCTCGATCTCCTGACCTCGTGATCCACCCACCTCGGACTCCCAACACTTAAAACTAATCTTGACGAAGATGATGAAGAAGAAAATGATGACATCTCTACGAGTCTGTGTTAATGATATCAGTTAGTCCTCCAAGGCGCCATTTGGAATGCGTAGCACAGCATCTTCAGTGAGCAGAGCTGATGAATAGCAACTATGTATCCCGTGGAGCTAGAAGAAGGTCCTTTGAGTGACCACATGCTTGAGGAGCAGTAATCACCTGGAATAATTTTTTTTCTGTTCCTTTAAGAGATAGAATCAGATCCACTTAATTCATGGCTCCAGGTAACCAATACAGCTCCAAGAAATTCAGTTCTGCACTCAAGATTTGCTCATTTCTATTCATCTGGGGGCATATTCTGCATTTATACTGTCCAAAAGCAGTGGATATTTTAGTTTATGCCTGGGGACATGGGAAACCATTCTCAATGTCTCTACTGACGTTGGAGAGTCACAGTTTCCATACCAAAAACTCTTTTTTTATTCTATTCTTATTTTTTGGTCTAGGTTTCAAGAGATTCATCCATTTGTAACTCAATCTAGAGATATAAGATCGTATAAATCCAATAAATTATATGGAGGTCAGCATATAAATGATTCCAGAAGAGTCATTTGGGAGGGGCAAAAGGATATTTTGAGATTGGGTAGTTGCTTTATTTTACTCTCCAGATAAAGTAGATCCTAGTAAATTAGGTTAAGGGACTCTTAGGGACCTCATTATAACCTCATTTTTTAAATAATTAAACTAAAAATATCAATCAGTTGGTTAGGATAATAAGCACTATGGGCAAAATCAGGGGGATACCCTGTTGTGGATATAAATAAAAATATTATACTTGGATTGGGAAGTTTGGAACTATTAACTATTTGAAATATTTTGACATAGAAATTCCTTGAAATGTCTAGTAACGTATTCTGTAGATATATTTGACCAAGTAGCTAAAGAGGTTCAATATAGTATTATATATAGTATTATATGTCTATACATTGAAATTACTCTGCAGCCATTAACAAGCATCTCTATGAATTGACATGAAAAGATGTCAAACATGTGACAGAACAGTATGTATTATAGAAACTTAGAAAAATATATGTCTGTATGCAAAAATGTACATGCCAAATTATTAATATAGGCTCCCTCAGGGAATGAAATTGTGTGGATATGAGGGTAGAGGGATGGGAAAAAGAAGAGGAGGCAAAATGTAATCTTTGATTTATATGCTTTTATACATGTTTTGCAATAACGTGTACCTTGTAATTATCATTTTATATTTGAGAGTTTGGAATGGAAACGTAGGGAGTTACAATATTCCTCCCGAGGGACAATGTCATGTGGAAGTTAAGAACACAAGCTCTAGAGCCATGATTTGCCTGGACTTGAATCCTGCCTGCATCATTGCTGAGCTGTGTGTTCAAGCAAGTCCATAGACTTAAAAATAGAATTAAATAAATAAATAAAAGTAGAATTAGATATTTAATTTAAATTTAATTAAAACAAATTTTAATTTAAATTTAATTAAAATAAATAAAATAGAATTAAAAATTTACCCTAGGCATCCAGAGTCTAGGGTTAGCAATTTATGAAAGGTGAAGATATTCTTTTGATATTAAATAACATATATATATTTAAAAAGTGAAACTTTGAGAGGAGACAAGTGACTGGATAGATAAAGATGAGAAACACAGAGGCACTTACCTGTAACCAAGGCACAAAGTCCACAGCCTTGAACTAAACATATATCACAACAGGAACACAAAACCAACCGACTGAAACTAGCAGATTGGGAGACTCAAAGGAGGGGGGAAAATGTTTCATAAACTTCAATCATCTCACTTCTTCCCAGCTAGTCTTCTAATTCTTCACCTTATCTGTTCTCTCCTGACAACAAGTCCTGTATTTAATTCAGATTTTATCTCTTTGTGGGACAGCTGATTCGACAATTATATATAGTTCATCAAAGGGCTGGAACATTCTGCAGAATAGTGAAACAAGTCACTTGGAAATGGGAAGACATGCTCAAGGATGAATGCATCAAAAGAAGCTACTATAAATGAATCAGTAGGAGTGAGGCAAAAACAATCATTTGGTAGAGAATGCTTAGGAAACCAGGGTAACTTGACCTCCAATCCTAAGACTTAATTGAGCTAAGGAACTGAGTGCTGCAGGATCATGCTCTGTGGTTGCTTAGATGAAAAGCCAGCCAGGCTGTAAGAACAGTGACTGATTGACATTGACAGCCTTCCATCTGGAGCTTAATCTGTCCGCATACATCTGTGACAGTGTTGTGTCTTTCAGAGCAGGTTCATGTAATACTGAAGGCCAAACATCAAGCAAGAAGCCAAAGTCTCAGTCATTAGTCACACATTTGGGCCATAGGGCAATTCCAGGACATTGCCTTTACTTGCAGCTGGAGAAGATATGATGGCCCATAATGTGGTACTTAATGAGGAGTACACACAGATGACAGGGCTAAACTGCAGCAGCAAGTTACTGCTAGGAAATAGCTCCAGCTTAGGGGAGTTTCCCTCTGTGCTTTTTCCCAGAAAGCTGCTGGCTTTCTTCTCTGAAACACAGATATGTCTCCTGATTGACTGTCGTCATAGTAGCTCATTATGGTTTTGGGTGGCAGCCTGTTCAGCTATAGTAAAGTACAGTAAGTCCTTACTTAATGTCATTGATAGGTTCCTGGAAACTGGGACATAAAGCAAAGCAACATATAACCAATTTCACCATAGACTAATTGATATAAATAAGAGTTAAGTTCCTATGGCATATTTCTGGTCACAACTATACCATCAAACTTCTAAATAGACCAAAACACTTTGAATATTTTACATTGAAATCTATGCGAACTATATACACATTTAAGAAAGAGTAATAAAAACAGGTAAGATAATTATTTATATTCCAGTTGAGGGTCTCGGATGGCTGCAGCATGTCCCAGCAGCTCAGGGTGCAAGGTGGGAACTCACCCTGGACAGGACATCATCCCATTGCAGGACCCACTCACCTACACACCTACACACACACACTCATACTCACTAAGATGGGGACCATGTAGACATGCCGGTTCACCTACCATGCTCATCTTTGGGATGTGGGAGAAAACTTGACTGCCCAGAGAAAACTCATGCAAGCATGGGGAGAATGTTCAGACCCTACATAGACAGGGGCCCCACTGGGAATCAATTTATTTTCTGTCGGTGTTATAACCAGATGGCATTGAATGAACTTTATAGCAATGCAAGAATGGGCTAATGCAAGAACGACGTTGAGGACCTGTAGTGCAGAGCTGCAAAGTGTTCAGGTTGTTCCCTGCCCTTGATGGCCTGATGACTAGTGTCTCCTTGCCTCAAAGACAATCATCAGTTGTTTTCTTTGAAGGAGGTTTGAGGGACCTGAAGTTTCCTTGAAACACTTAAGGTCTCCATTTCCTCCTACTTTAAAGAGAATATGTGGCCATTATTTACAAATGAAAATACTGCTCAGATGAGGTAATTTAAGAAGAGAATAAACTTTGGCAGACTCTCTTTTAAAAAAGCACAAGAATAGGTGTAACCAGACACCCCAAATTAACAGATTTTCTTCAGTTTATGGGTATTCAATTTATCTCACTGCTTTCTGGCAAAAAAAAAAAAAAAAAAAAAAAGGAAAAAGCAAAGAAAAAAAGCCACATTGAATTAAATGGCTTTCATTATCTGTCAAAAGCAAAGCATACACTTTTTTTGAGAATAAAATTCACATGTGAATTACTTTAGTTAGCTGTGGTCGATGGGATACTGTGTAAAATGTTGGACAGTGTTTTCAAATTGTTTCATTTACCATTTACGAAAGTTACTATAACTGTTCAAATGGACGATTTTAAAATTGACTTTCTATCTTAGCTAACAGCATAACAAATAGTAGCTTAGGGAAATGCTTAGTTGGGAGTGAAACATCCTCATTTTCTAGGGCCAGACATTGGGGAACCTGGAGGAATAAACAATTATGTGACCAGCAGTTCCCAGAGTTCCTCTTTACTGGACACAGAGGAAGGACACTTGTTTGGAGGAGTAGAGTCTTGTGGTGATTAAGAAGGTAGATTCTAGACTGGGACTACTTGACCTCAAATCCTGGCTGCATCATTTATGAGCTGTATGACCTTGAGCAAGTCCATCCTCTTCTCTGGACATTGTTTATTTGTAAAATAGGGACAATAATGGTACCTACCATGTAAGGTTGTTGGGTTATGCTCTTTCTGTAGACCCATCTGCATTAGTCCGTTCTTGCATTGCTATAAAGAACTACCTGAAACTGAGAAATTTATAAAGAAAAGAGGTTTAATTGACTCACATTCCACAGGCTGTAGAGGAAGCATGGCTGGAGAGGCCTCAGGTAGAAGGTGAAGAGGAAGGAGGCACCTCTTACATGGTGGGAGCAGGAGAAAGAGACTAAAGGGGGAAGTGCTGCACACTTTTAAACAACCAGATCTCACTCATTATTGCGAGAACAGCAAGGAGGAAGTCTGCCTCCATGATTCAGTCACATCCCACCAGGCCCCTCCTCCAACACTGAAGATTACAATTTGACATGAGATTTAGGCGTGGACACAAATCCAAACCATAGCACTATTCATATCTTTCCTCCTTAGGAACTATATTGGGGAGGGGAATGAATGAGAATGATGTTATCTTACCGACCATCTCAAATATACTTTACATGTATATAAATTATTGGAAACTATCATGGAATATGTAAAATGTGGAGACATCATCCAGGGCTGTAGAGTTGAGTAGAGCAGTTTGTTGTGCCATATGTGGAGACTCATGCTTATATAATCATAGACCTATAGCATCATAAAACTCATGGCTCACGTTTATGGAGAACTTATTACGTGCCAGGCAGTGTTCTAAGTGGTCTATGAGGATTATCTCAGTGAATCCTTTCAACAACTTTGTAATGTAGGTGTTGTTTTGTCTTTTTTTTTTCTGTGATATTAAAGAACTTGCTAGGTCTCAGAGCTAATCTCTGTTAGAGGTGATTCTTGAACTCTACCCAGTTTGATTTCAGATGCCAGCTCTCAGCTGCTACAGTGAGAAGTTTTGGAGGGTTCTGTGACCCAAGGAGCCTTCCTCACCAACTGCCTGAGCTTTTCAGATAGTCGTCTTAGCTCTTGTTTACATTTGTTGGCATAGAACAGTGTTGTGTTGTGAGAAAAACTTTTCCTTGCAGGTGAAATAATTTAGCTGGATTTGTTTTGCATTTTTAGTGACGCTTGACTCCTCATCTGGCTCTGTGTTTAATCTGCCACCCGAGTGCAGTGAACCTTTCATTATAGCTTCTTCACCCTCTCTCCCCCGCCACATACTTTCCACATTTAATGTTCCAATGGCCTGGGTGTTCTGAAGGAGAATTAACCAACATGTAACATAATTTATGGCCTTTACGTTCCTTGGTGTTCAGAGAATAATAAAAGTTACAGTCATTAGGTATATCTGATTTGTGATTTTTTTTTTCCTACCAAAGATATTCATCTCCCTTCTTTCCTGTACTTACTGTGTGTTTCATTGGAAACCATCCAGAGCTATCACCTGGTCATGGTTCTGGAAAACAAAGGCCTTTTCCACCACCAGCTTTCACTGTGACCAACCTTGAGTAACATATGGATGCCATTCCAAGGGAAAAAAAAGTCTTATGAACCCCCAATGTTAACTTAATGTTTTTGTTATTGGATTATTGAACCACATGAAAATACAAAAGTAGGTATGAATTTCTTTGTGTGGTTCTTAGACAAATATGAAACCATAACACGTTTACAAATTACATGCAATCAAAATGACAAAACTAAATTCAAATGAGGAATATTGCATTAACAAGATGAATGATATTATTTGTTTAAACAGAATCATCTCTGGAAACATCAATACGGGATGTCTGTTATGTCAAAGGTTCTACACAGCTTGTCATGTTTGTGTTAGCCTAGGCTGTGTGATGACTCAATTTCCCTAACACTTCCAGCTGCTATTACTGGGACAATTCATATGTACTCCACCCCTACTCTGAGATCATGAGGCACAAACACATTATTTAAGTAGTAAGTTTGTTTTTTTTATCTTTTGCTTGTGACAGCTAAAACAGCAATACCTGATACCACCACAATTATAAATGCAAACATAAAGGAGTCACAAAACTTTTGTGCTGGTACCCGTATTTTAGGTGCTATGTAGCTGATGCAGAATACACTTGAACTATTTTAAGTGAGTATTATCTAAATAAAACCAAAAATAAAAAGTCTCATCAAGAACATTCAGATCCCTAAGAACATGCTCAGAGACCCCAGTTTGAAAAAGGTGTGGGTCATCTGTCCTTCCTCTGTGGAGAGGATTGCTGTTCTCTGTTGGGAATGCACTTCCCAAGGCGTGTTACATGGCTCACTCTTTCGCTTCATTCAAGTCATTGTTCAGTGTCATTGACATGGGAAGGCCTCCCCTGACCACCTTGTCTGGGGTAGCACTCTCATCAGCTTCGCTTCTTACTCTGCCCTGTTTTTTCAGAGCACTCATTATAACCTGGCATTGTTGTTTGTTTGCTTTCACCTGTCTCCACAATTAGAATGTAAGCTGCATTGAGAATGGACTTAGGTTTATTTATGCCTCACACAGTAGGTGACAAAGATCTATTGAACCAAGGAATAAACACTCTTGCTCTTCAACCTCGCTTCCTTTTGGCTGGGTCCCTAATCCCAATCTTCACCTGGGTAAAGACTCATTTTTTTCCCTTTTTGTGGAGCATGGTGTCTTGCTATATTGCCCAGGCAGGTCTGAAACTCCTGGGCTCAAGCTATCCTCCCGCCTCTGCCTCCCTGAGAGCTGGGATTACAGGCGTGAGCCATCCCACCCAACAGGTAAAGACTCATTTTAAAAACTGTCCCCACTGAAAGATTAATGGATACAAAAAATAGTAAGAAAGAATAAATAAGACTTAGTATTTTCTAACACAACAGGGTGACTAGAGTGAAAAACAATTTATCTGTGCATTTTAGGATAATAACTAAAAGAGTTTAATTATTTGTAACACAAAGGATAAATGCTTGAGATGATGGAGACCGTACCCTGATGTGATTATTACACATTGCATGCCTATATCAAAATATCTCATGCAACCCATAAATATATACACTATGTATCCACAAAAATTAAAAATAAAACTTAAAAAAAATACCCCCACTTAAGCCTACATTCTCTCTGTCCCTCATTAGAACACCTAGAATCTGTATTGGGACTCCTTTTATGTCACTCATGGATTCCACCTCATGATATTTTTTCTTCACTTTTATCTCTTCTCCCAGATCCTGAGCTCCTTGAGGACACCATCTGTGTTTGATTAACCTTGAATTCCCCCAGTATCTGGCATGAATGCAGAAATGTGGTTATACATGGGAATCACCCAGAAACTGTAGAGTACTTGGTTCTAAATATCATTCACTTCTCTTCCACAGTATCTTGCAGAGGGGCTAGCACGTGGTTGGAGCTTGATGAGGGTCAGTGGATAGCATATGGTGAAAAACACTATAAGCTTTGGGAACTGAATTCTCTATGACTAACCTGATGTTAACACTACAGTAGGAGAAATTAAATTTATTTCAACTGAGTTTTTCTCATCTCTATTATGGACGAGACCCTAATTAGGCATTATTGTGGCTACAATGAGCACTGTATTACCTTTGAGTTCAAGTTTAGTGGAGAGGACAGATAGAGGTAGGGAGAGACAGACAGAGATAGTGTTTGTTCATTCATTCATCCATGCATTCTTTCTTCAGATATGGAGCATCATGTCCTTGCTACTAGATTTAGGAAAACTCAACACAGACCTTGTCTAAAGCCTAGCCCTAGTGGAAAAGAGACGCATCACAGATGCCTTTTTTTCCTGAAAAACAAACAAACAAACAAACAAAAGATACTAACAACAACTGTGGTTAGTGCAACAAAGGAAAGGAATGCAGAGGTATGCAAATGCACGTGTAATGTGCCCTGTTCCAAAGCAGGGAAGGTTCTCCTTGAGGTATAACGTTGAACTGAAACCCCAAGGATGAGTGGGCCCTAACCAGGGAGAGCAGCAGAGGAATAGCATGTACAAGGGGGTCTGAAAAGTAAGAATGTAATAGAGGGACCCCAAAGTGTCCCAGGGGTATAGGGTGTGAAAGAGTAATCCTGGCTATAGGTCTGGAAAGCTTCATAGAAGGAGGGTTTTGACTGGGCCAACAGGTCATTCTTAGGTACATGGAAGAGGAGGAGACAGCTGTCCATCCAGACCAGGAGACCAGTGTTCTCTTAGGCACAGAGGTAGAAATGTCTAGATCTGGCTTGGGAACTGTGCAGGGAAGGGAATGGCTAAATTGCAGGGTTTATACAGAACCTCTCTAGTAGAATAGTTATATTGATGAAATACAGAAATATCTGAAAACCATGAGTCACAAATCAAAAACATTGGTTGGTCAAAAACGAAAGCTTGTTATGTTTAAAATGTTACTGTGTATAAAGAATCAGCAAAGATAATTCTTAGCTGATGCTACTATTAACATTTCTATCAATTAAAGATCTTTATCATTAGCACTGTATGTCACCCTTTTAAAGTAATTTATCATATGGAATCACAGATGCCTTTTTTTCTGGAAAAAAAAAGAGATAATTTGTTACAAAAACATTACAAATTATATTGAGTTGACATCACTCAATTATAGCTACATTACTGAATTACACCTGTTCAGCCCAGAGCTGGGGAATTTATTAGCACAACCTCCATTAGAGCTAATGGGAAATACAGTTCCAGTGCTCTTTGAATCCACTGCATAATCTGTAAGAAGTGTTTTTCCTGTTGGGATTGTTCTCTGGCCTTGACAAGGTGAGCCATGAAGACTTCATTTCTTATGAAGTTTGGGGATACCACACCAGTGCTGTTTATTCACACAGGCTGTGACATCAGGGACTAGCTGGGCTGTGAGAGCCTGTTCAGACAGGTCTCTTCAAGCCTCTGGACAGATGACCCTGTCATCAGCTGCTCCTTTCCCAGCGCTTGCTTACCTGCATTTTAGTTTTCATTACCCAGCCATTATGCTCACTGCCCACAGTCACCTCTGCTTATTGATTTGGGACCTGTGCCAGTTTCTAATTGTTTCCTTTAGATTGGGTTCGCTCCAGATTGCTGATTCTTGTCTAGTAATTTCTCTCTTCCATATTGTGCCTTTCCTTGCCCTCCTTTACTAATTTCCTGAGTAGCCAGAGAAGCTATGGGTTTGACCCATCAACTCATACCAAGGCCATATGAGCTATGGTGACTTAAAAAAAATTAACTTGAAACTTTAAACACAATTTTTTTTTTCTTGAGACGGAGTTTTGCTCTTGTTGCCCAGGTTGCTGGAATGCAATGGCACGATCTAGGCTCACTGCAACCTCTGCCTCCTGGGTTCAAGTGATTCTCCTGCCTCAGCCTCTTGAGTAGCTGGGATTACAGCCATGCGCCACCACACCCGGCTAATTTTGTATTTTTGGTAGAGATGGGGTTTCTCCATGGTGGTCAGGCTGGTCTCAAATTCCTGACCTCAGGTGATCCACCTGCCTCGGCCTCCCAAAGTGTTGGGATTACAGGTGTGAGCCACCACACCCAGCCGAACACAATTTTTTTAAAAAGCCCCAAGAATCATTAACTTCTTCTCCCATCCTCTTTTTCTTTCCAGGACATTTTTTTTATGTATGTGAATGTATTGTGGGCATCATTCTTGTTATTTACCTGAGAACTTCTCAAGAGGCATGGCAGGTTGAAGAATTCCATGTGTCACCATATATTTGAGATCTCTTAAGTACATTTTTTAGTTTCCCAACAGCCACTCACTTTTCAGGGTGGATTTGGAAGAGAGTCCTTCCCTGCAGTGGATGGGAGGCGGGGGCACCTGGTGCTTCTAGTCCTCATTCCCTGGTTTCATTATTATTCATTGTTCCCTTGGTAAGGAAACATATTTCAAAGTTTCACATTTTCTGTTAATATTTATCAAAATACCACAGCAGTTGTATCATACAGCAGCAGAAAATTTCACAAGTTCTTTATTTTTGTTGACTTTGGAACCTATGTCTGATATCTTGATGAATCTTTATAGGAAAGAAGAAAATGC
This sequence comes from Homo sapiens, assembly GCF_000001405.40. NCBI lineage: Eukaryota > Metazoa > Chordata > Mammalia > Primates > Hominidae > Homo > Homo sapiens. The sequence continues at coordinate 61,052,877 of NC_000003.12, read as the reverse complement.
TAAAAGTCATCTTCATTTAAAAAAAAATAGATTAATTAACATCTAAAAGAATTACCAGCCTCTCAATAGGTGGAGGGATCTTGGAACCTTATTATAAATGTGTTCATTCTAAGCATGGATCTAACAATAAAGTGTAGTGCAGCACTACTCAAAGGGTGGTCCTTGTCCTGGTGCCAGTATGCAACAAAATAAGCATATAAATTGAGAGTAAGGATTTAGAAACTCGTGGGCAATAACAGCATAAATTTGTCTGTTGACTCCAATAACAACTTTTGACTTTTACTTTGAATGCCTTTATTCCCCAGTGATTCATTTTCATTGCACTTTGTAAAAGTATTGATCTGCGCTAGACTGCAGGTGGGTGTGGTTGGCAGGAACAATGCTGATCCTCCATCACAGTTCATTCATGTAACACTTGTGTATTTAGGTGAAAAACACAAGCCGCAAGCACCGATTTTTCATAGCCGTGGGTGTGAGTCCTGGATATGCTATTTACCGGCTGTCGAACTTGGGCCAGTTAGCAAGTCTTTCTAAAGGTCATACTCTCTATCCTGAAAATATAAGTAAGGTGGTACTGTTCTTTGCAGGGTTGCTGCTAGGATTAGTTGAGATGTTATAGGTACATCTGCAGAGTTACTGCATCAGGGTTCAGCCAACTTTGGCAGTCCTGGGAAGAACACGAGTGTGGTACTTGGTGCGTAATAAAATTTAATAAATGTTTACCATGATTTGCTTTTAAGTAGAATTTGTATATGCCTTATAGCCTCTCTGAGGGATATTGGGAAACAAAATTCAGTGGTAGCCTCATTTAGGTCACACATTTACAAACCTCTCTCAGGACATGGACTTGAAGGAAAAGTTTATGTTTAGGCTCCAACAAAAGTCTTTTCTCAAAGATTATATCTTTACTGGTTTTCTCCATCTTCTATCTTCTGATGGTGTGTGGAAATTACTAGAATATGTGTATAGAGAGCAGCTCCAGGGAACAGATGTGCATTCTTACTCATCATTAGATGCAGTGTAACTTTTGCCCTGCCTCATGAATTTTGACTCTACTTTGGAAAAATAGTCACACACAACTTCTTGATAGAGTTTCCAAAATTAGCTTCCAGAACTTTATACAGAAGGGCACGAGACTCCCCACATCTCTTTGCATGTGTTATATTTCTTTTTTGGCTTAAAATTTGCATATTTATTATTCATGCAACAAACATCTATCAGAAACATTTCCAGGGCCTGTCATTTGCCAACCCAGTGGTAGTTGCCGTAGCTTCTAGAAAAATGGAAGTATTTTAGCCAGTGAGATATGTCAGTCAAAATAACCCAAGAAGCCAGGGGTGGTGTCTCAGGCCTGTAATCCCAGAACTTTGGGAGGCTGAGGTGAGCAGATGGCTTGAGGCTAGAGTTCGAGATCAGCCTGGGCAACATGGTGAAGCCTCGTCTGTACCAAAAATACAAAAATTAGCCAGGTGTGGTGGCGCATGCCTGTAGTCCCAGCTATTTGGGAGGCTGAGGTGGAAGGATCATCTGAGCCTGGGGAGTGCCTGCCACTGCACTCCAGTCTGGACGAGGGATTGAGACCCTGTCTCAAAAACAAACAAACAAACAAACAAACAAACAAACAAACAGAGATAGTGGTACTTATGGAGCCAAAGCAGGAGATGCCTTGTAGGTATTCAGAAAATCTCATTGTCATAGACATTTTTATTATAACTTCATCTCCAGGTCTCTTTCTTCATAGATTTTTTTAACGCACATTTTTTTCACATTTTAATCTTTGAAATTGGGATATATGTCATAATTGATAGTCACTTATAATCACTTCAGATAGGTAGCAGTTGGGACAACTGTTGTTTGTCTGCACGTGTATGAGTATTGAAAGGGAAGCATCAAAACTCACAAAATAGGTGTCTATGGCTCGGAAGAAAATCCAAGGAATAGTATTGGAGCATTCTTAGAAGAAATATCTGTGCACTTGATGACACAAAGGAGGGCAATGTGCAGGCTGTAGTGATCTGCCCAGTTTCTCCCAGCTGGAAGTGAAAGGGCTGGTCCAACCAATGTCTGACTCCTATCTTGTGCCTTAAAAAACTGTATCTTGGAAAATTTCAAATATACACAAATGTAGAACTAATAGCATAATGAACACCCATGCGTGCATCATCCAGCTTTAATAATTATCAATATCTTGCCAATCTTACTTCCTCTGTCCCCATTTTATTTTTTCGTTCTTTCTTTTCTTTTGCTTGAGCGCATTAAAGCATATGCTGGATATCATATCTTGTCACCTGAAAATTCTTCAGTAGATATCTCTAACTGATAAGGGCCTTACCTCCTTTATTTAAATTCCATGCCATCATCACATTTAATGAAATTAATAATAATTCCTTAATATTTTCTAATATCCAGTCCATATTTGCATTTCCCTAATTGTTCTTTTGTTGATGGTTTTGTTCAAGTCAGAATCTAAAAGAGATTCACACATTGCATTGAATTGTTATGTTGCTTGTCTCCTTTTTTTTAATTAGTCCTCTTATCCCCTTCCTCTCAATAACTTTGATTTGTGAGAGAAACTGGATCATTTGCTCTATATTTTGAAGATGGCTGTTCGCTTTTTTGTGGCAGTGTTTAATTTATTTCTCTGTATGGGAAAAGAAATACCTTTTATTCCCATCCTAGTTTTATGATGGAAGCCGCTATAACAAAAGATAGATTTACAAGAGAAAAGCAAACCGATTTATTTAATATAAGTTTCATGTGACATGGGAGCCTTCATAAGGAAATGAAGGCCCAAAGAAATGGTTAAACCGTGTACTTTTTATGCTAGGTTTGATGAAGAGTGGGAAGAGGTGAAGTATGATTGGACATATGATTGGGAGTGTGATCTAATGGTAATAAACTGGGGGAGGGAACTTAGCAAGGCCTGTTTGTTCAGCTTCTTCTCTGTGTCCCTGTGTCTTCAGAGGTAAGGATGTTCCTTTCCTCCATGTATAAGGAGGGCACCTCTAAAATGGTCTTATGACCTGCTCCAGGGGACGCTCAAAAAAATCCTTCCATTGGTTCATGACCTGCTTCAGGAGAGAACGGCAGAAGGTGAGAGTGACCTTCCCGCTTCTGCTGTTTTCTTAAATACCAAGGTGTCATATTTTAGGAAAGCATGTCCTGAACCCAATCACCACTATAACCTGGTATTTAGTCTGGAGTCTTGGCTAGATTTTATAGAGATTTTTTAGGCAAGAATACTTCATAGATGGTGCTATGTATGTCCTATTTCATCACAGCATGAAGGAAATAATGATATATGTCCTTTTAGTGAAGATAACATGAGTTAGTTCATTCAGGTATTGTCAGACTGTTCTGTTACCAAGTTCCCTATCATGCTTACACTGATGGTTTTATGTCCACTCATAGTAGTTTCCTATATCTGGATATAGGTCTTATATCATTAGGGGATGCAAAATAGCAGTTTTCTAGTTGTGTCATTTCTCCTGCATTTATTCATGGAGATCTATAAAAAAACTTTTTCTTATCAACCATTTGGTTACTCTGATATACAGTTCACATAGGCAGGAAATTAATTGTTTATCATATTTTAATTTTTAATTAATGAATGAATGCCTAATAACTTCTATTTGGTAACATTGGTTACCAACTAGAAGTTATTAGGCATTCATTCATTAACGTCTAATGAGTTTTCATGCATGTGTCATTATGAAGTTATGGATTTTAAAAATATATATACATATATTTTAATTATGCTTTAAGTTCTACGGTACATGTGCCCAATGTGCAGGTTTGTTACATATGTATACATGTACCATGTTGATGTGCTGCACCCATTAACTCATCATTTAGCATTAGGTATATCTCCTAATGGTATCCCTCCCCACTCCCCCAACCCCACAACAGGCCCTGGTGTGTGATGTCCCCTGCCTTGTGTCCAAGTGATCACATTGTTCAATTCCTACCTATGAGTGAGAACATGCGGTTTTTGGTTTTCTGTCCTTGTGATAGTTTGCTGAAAATGATTGTTTCCAGCTTCATCCATGTCCCTACAAAGGACATGAACTCATCATTTTTTATGGCTGCATAGTATTCCATGGTGTATATGTGCCACATTTTCTTAATCCAGTCTATTGTTGGACATTTGGGTTGCTTCCAGGTCTTTGCTATTGTGAATCGTGCCGCAATAAACATACGTATGCATGTGTCTTTGTAGCAGCATGATTTATAATCCTTTGGGTATATACCCAGTAATAGGATGGCTGGGTCAAATGGTATTTCTAGTTCTAGATCCTTGAGGAATTGCCACACTGTCTTCCACAATGGTTGCACTAGTTTACAGTCCCACCAGCAGTGTAAAAGTGTTCCTATTTCTCCACATCCTCTCCAGCACCTGTTGTTTCCTGACTTTTTAATGATTGTCATTCTAACTGATGTGAGATGGTATCTCATTGTGGTTTTGATTTGCATTTCTCTGATGGCCAGTGATGATGAGCATTTTTTCATGTGTCTGTTGGCTGCATAAATGTCTTCTTTTGAGAACTGTCTGTTCATATCCTTCACCCACTTTTTGATGGGGTTGTTTGATTTTTTTCTTGTAAATTTGTTTAAGTTCTTGGAAGATTTCTGGATATTTGCCCTTTGTCAGATGGGTAGATTGCAAAAATTTTCTCCCATTCTGTAGGTTGCCTGTTCACTCTGATGGTGGTTTCTTTTGCTGTGCAGAAGCTCTTGAGTTTAATTAGATCCCATTTGTCAATTTTGGCTTTTGTTGCCATTGCTTTTGGTGTTTTAGACATGAAGTCCTTGCCCATGCCTATGTCCTGAATGGTATTGCCTAGGTTTTCTTCTAGGGTTTTTATGGTTTTAGGTCTAACATTTAAGTCTTTAATCCATCTTGAATTAACTTTTGTATAAGGTGTAAGGAAGGGATCCAGTTTCAGCTTTCTACATATGGCTAGCCAGTTTTCCCAGCACCATTTATTAAATAGGGAATCCTTTCCCCATTGCTTGTTTTTTCATGTTTGTCAAAGATCAGATGGTTGTAGATGTGTGGTATTATTTCTGAGGGCTCTGTTCTGTTCCATTGGTCTATATCTCTGTTTTGGTACCAGTATCATGCTGTTTGGGTAGCCTTGTGGTATAGTTTGAAGTCAGGTAGCGTGATGGCTCCAGCTTTGTTCTTTTGGCTTAGGATTGACTTAGCAATGTGGGCTCTTTTTTGGTTCCATATGAACTTTAAAGTAGTTTTTTCCAATCCTATGAAGAAAGTCATTGGTAGCTTGATGGGGATGGCATTGAATCTATAAATTACCTTGGGCAGTATAACCATTTTCATGATATTGATTCTTCCTATCCATGAGCATAGAATGTTCTTCCATTTGGTTGTGTCCTCTTTTATTTCGTTGAGCAGTGGTTTGTAGTTCTCCTTGAAGAGGTTCTTCACATCTTTTGTAAGTTGCATTCCTAGGCATTTTATTCTCTTTGAAGCAATTGAGAATGGGAGTTCACTCATGATTTGGCTCTCTGTTTGTCTGTTATTGCTGTATAGGAATGCTTGTGATTTTTGCACATTGATTTTGTATCCTGAGACTTTGCTGAAGTTGCCTATCAGCTTAAGGAGATTTTGGGCTGAGACGATGGGGTTTTCTAAATATACAATCATGTCATCTGCCAACAGCAACAATTGGACTTACTCTTTTCCTAATTGAATACCCTTTATTTCTTTCTATTGTCTGATTGCCCTGGCCAGAACTTCCAACAGGATTGGTGAAAGAGGGCATCCCTGTCTTGTGCCAGGTTTCAAAGGGAATGCTTCTAGCTTTTGCCCATTCGGTATGATATTGGCTGTGGGTTTGTCATAAATAGCTCTTATTATTTTGAGATACATCCCATCAATACCTAGTTTATTGAGAGTTTTTAGCATGAAGGCCTGTCAAATTTTTTCGAAGGCTTTTTCTGCGTCTAGTCAGATAATCATGTGGTTTTTGTCTTTGGTTCTGTTTATATGATGGATTACGTTTTTTGATTTGCATATGTTGAACCATCCTTGCATCCCAGGGATGAAGCCAACTTGATCGTGGTGGATAAGCTTTTTGATGTGCTGCTGGATTCAGTTTGCCAGTATTTTATGAAGGATTTTTGCATCGAAGTTCATCAGGGGTATTGGTCTAAAAGTCTCTTTTTTGTGTTGTGTCTCTGCCAGGCTTTGCTATCAGGATGATGCTGGCCTCATAAAATGAGTTAGGGATGATTCCCTCTTTCTCTATTGATTGGAATAGTTTCAGAAGCAACGGTACCAGGTCCTCTTTGTACCTCTGGTAGAATTCGGCTGTGAATCCATCTGGGTCCTGGACTTTTTTTGGTTGCTAGGCTATGAATTATTGCCTCAATTTCAGAGCCTGTTATTGGTCTATTCAGAGATTCAACTTCTTTTTGGTTTAGTCTTGGGAGGGTGTATGTGTCTAGGAATTTATCCATTTCTTCTAGAGTTTCTAGTTTATTTGCATAGAGGTGTTTATAGTACTCTCTGATGGTAGTTTGTATTTCTGTGGGATCGGTGGTGATATCCCTTTTATCATTTTTTATTGTGTCTATTTGATTCTTCTCTCTTTTCTTCTTTACCAGTCTTGCTAGCAGTCTATCAATTTTGTTGATCTTTTCTAAAAACCATCTCCTGGATTCATTGATTTTTTGAAGGGTTTTTTGCGTCTCTATCTCCTTCAGTTCTGCTCTGATCTTAGTCATTTCTTGCCTTCTGTTGGCTTTTGAATTTCTTTGCCCTTGCTTCTCTAGTTCTTTTAATTGTAATGTTAGGGTGTCAACTTTAGGTTTTTCCTGTTTTCTCTTGTGGGCATTTAGTGCTATAAATTTCCCTCTACACACTACTTTGAATGTGTCCCAGAGATTCTAGTATGTTGCGTCTTTGTTCTCGTTGGTTTCAAAGAACATCTTTATTTCTGCCTTCATTTCGTTATGTGCCCAGTAGTCATTTAGGAGCAGGTTGTTCAGTTTCCATGTAGTTGAGTGGTTTTGAGTGAGTTTCTTGATTATGATTTCTAGTTTGCTTGCACTGTGGTCTGAGAGACAGTTTGTTATAATTTCTGTTCTTTTACATTTGCTGAGGAGTGCTTTACTTCCAACTATGTGGTCAGTTTTGGAATAAGTACGATGTGGTGCTGAGAAGAAAGTATATTTTGTTGATTTGGGGTGGAGAGTTCTGTAGATGTCTATTAGGTCCACTTGGTTCAGAGCTGAGTTCTATTCCTGGATATCCTTGTTAACTTTCTGCCTTGTTGATCTGTCTAATGTTGACAGTGGGGTATTAAAGCCTCCCATTATTATTGTGTGGGAGTCTAAGTCTCTTTTTAAGTCTCTAAGGTCTTGCTTTATGAATCTGGGTGCTCCTATATTGGGTGCATATATATTTAGGATAGTTAGCTCTTCTTGTTGAATTGATCCCTTTACCATTATGTAACGGCCTTCTTTGTCTCTTTGATCTTTGTTGGTTTAAAGTCTGTTTTATCAGAGACTAGGATTGCAAGCCCTGCCTTTTTTGTTTGTTTGTTTTCCTTTTGCTTGGTAGATCTTCCTCCATCCCTTTATTTTGAGCCTGTGTGTGTCTCTGCATGTTAGATGGGTCTCCTGAATAGAGCACACTGATGAGTCTTGACTCTTTACCCAATTTGCCAGTCTGTGTCTTTTAATTGGAGCATTTAGCCCATTTACATTTAAGGTTAATATTGTTATGTGTGTATTTAATCCTGTCATTTTGATGTTAGCTGGTTATTTGGCTTCTTAGTTGATGCAGTTTCTTCCTAGTATTGATGGTCTTTATAGTGTGGCATGTTTTTGCAGTGGCTGGTACTGGTTGTTCCTTTCCATGTTTAGTGCTTCCTTCAGGAGCTCTTGTAAGGCAGGCCTGGTGGTGGCTAAATCTCTCAGTATTGGCTTGTCTGTAAAGGATTTTATTTCTCCTTCACTTGTGAAGATTAGTTTGGCTAGTTATGAAATTCTGGGTTGAAAATTCTTTTCTTTAAGAATGCTGGATATTGGCCTCCACTCTCTTCTGGCTTCTAGAGTTTCTGCTGAGAGATCCGCTGTTAGTCTGATGTGCTTCCCTTTGTGGGTAACCGGACCTTTCTCTCTGGCTGCCCTTAATATTTTTTCCTTCATTTCAACTTTGGTGAATCTGACAATTATGTGTCTTGGATTTGCTCTTCTCGAGGAGTATCTTTGTGGCGTCTCTGTATTTCCTGAATTTGAATTTTGGCCTGCATTGCTAGATTGGGGAAGTTCTCCTGGATAATATCCTGCAGAGTGTTTTCCAACTTGGTTCCATTCTCCTCATCACTTTCAGGTACACCAATCAGATGTAGATTTGGTCTTTTCACATAGTCCCGTATTACTTGGAGGCTTTGTTCATCTCTTTTTACTCTTTTTTCTCTAAACTTCTCTTCTCACTTCATTTCATTCATTTGGTCTTCAATCAGTGATACCCTTTCTTCCACTTGATCGAATTGGCTACCGAAACTTGTGCATGTGTCATGTAGTTCTTGAGCCATGGTTTTCAGCTCCACCAGGTCATTTAAGGACTTCTCTACACTGGTTATTCTAGTTAGCCATTCATGTAATCTTTTTTCAAGGTTTTTAGCTTCTTTGTGATGGGTTCGAACATCCTCCTTTAGCTTGGAGAAGTTTGTTACTAACAATCGTCTGAAGCCTTCTCTCAACTCGTCAAATTCATTCTCCATCCAGCTTTGTTCCCTTGCTGGCGAGCAGCTGCGTTCCTTTCGAGGAGAAGAGGCGCTCTGATTTTTAGAATTTTCAGCTTTTCTACTCTGGTTTCTCCCCATCTTTGTGGTTTTATGTACCTTTGGTCTTTGATGATGGTGACGTCCAGATGGGGTTTTGGTGTGGATGTCCTTTCTGTTTGTTAGTTTTCCTTCCAACAGTTAGGATCCTCAGCTGCAGGTCTTTTGGAGTTTGCTGGAGGTCCACTCCAGACCCTGTTTGCCTGGGTATCACCTGTGGAGGCTGCAGAACAGCAAATATTGCAGAATGGCAAATGTTGCTGCCTGATCCTTCCTCTGAAAGCTTTGTCTCAGAGGGGTACTTGGCTGTGTGAGGTGTCAGTCGGCCCCTACTGGGAGGTATCTCCCAGTTAGGCTACTTGGGTCTCAGGGACCCACTTGAAGAGGCAGTCTGTCCATTCTCAGATGTCAAACTCCATGGTGGGAGAACCACTGCTCTCTTCAAAGCTGTCAGACAGGGACGTTTAAGTCTGCAGAAGTTTCTGCTGCCTTTTGTTCAGCTGTGCCCTGCCCCCAGAGGTGGAGACTACAGAGGCAGGCAGGCAGGCCTCCTTGAGCTGCGGTGGGCTCCACCCAGTTTGAGTTTCTGGGCCTCTTTGTTTTCCTACTCAAGCCTCAGCAATGATGGATGCCCCTCCCCCAGCCTCACTGCTGCTTTGCAGTTCGATCTCAGACTGCTGTGCTAACAGAGAGCAAGGCTCCGTGGGCGTGGGACCCTCCGAGCTAGGCGTGGGACCCTCCGAGCTAGGCGCGGGATATAATCTCCTGGTGTGCCATTTGCTAAGACAGTTGGAAAAGTGCTGTATTAGGGTGGGGTTGTTATGATTTTCCAGGTACCATTTGTCACAGCTTCCCTTGGCTAGGAAACGGAATTCCCTGACCCCTTGCACTGCCTGGGTGAGGCAATGCCTGCCCTGCTTTGGCTCACACTCCATGGGGTGCACCCACTGTCCAACAAGCCCCAGTGAGATGAACCCGGTACCTCAGTTGGAAATGCAGAAATCACCTGTCTTCTGCGTCACTCAAGCTGGGAGCTGTAGACAGGAGTTGTTCCTATTCGGCCATCTTGGAACCTCTCCCTGTTGTTCTAAAAAAAATTTTGTATGTTTTAATTTGTTTCTGTTCTTAACCTTTTTGATGCTCAGATATTCCCTTCCTAGGCCAGTGGGAACTCCAGGTATCCTTACTTTTTAAAAAAAAGTGTTTAATTTTTTTTTTTTTTGAGTCAGATGCTCACTTTGTCACCCAGGCTGGAGTGCAGTGGCACCATCTTGGCTCACTGCAACCTCTGCCTCCTGAGTTCAAGCAATTCTCCTGCCTCAGCCTCCCAAGTAGCTGGCATTACAGGTACCCACGACCACACCTAGCTAATTTTTTGTATTTTTAGTAGAGACAGGGTTTCACCATGTTGGCCAGGCTGGTCTCGAACGGCTGACCTCGAGTGATCCGCCCACCTCAGCTTCCCAAAATGCTGGGATCACAGGTGTGAGCCACTGCACCCTGCCTGTTTAAATTTTTATTGTGTAAAATGTCAAATATATACAGAACTAGAGAGAATATGTGATCAATTCTCATATACCCATATTCTGTTTTAAAAATAATCAGCTCATGGCCAGTTTTGTTTCTTTTATACCCCAACTTACCTCCGAGGTTCCATACTGCTTATGATTTCATCTTTGAACACTTTAAGTTTCAATCCTGTTGTCCTTTAACTTCCATCTTACTGCCCTACAAGATGTCCCAGGTAGGTTATATGCTTTTAACCATTTAATTTACTTCATTAATTAACCAGGGTGATACTAGCTGCTTTAGCATTATAGACTCCAAAATGTAATAATGGCTTAAACTAAATGGAAGTTTTTTTTCATTTACGTAAGAGTCTGGTATCAGTGCTTCTGCAAAAGAGTTTTCTTCCTGGGATATTTCATATGTCTCCCATCTTGTGTTTCTGCCTTTCCCTAGGTCCGTAGTGCTATCTACATCCAGACGGTGGAAGGGAGAGAAAGAGAAAGAAGGTAAAACCATTTCTTAAAATACTTAACAGAATTGGCACATATGCCACTGGCTAAAGTCACCTGGCCACACAAGCGGGTCTGTTCAAAAATAATAAATATTTAGAAGGAGAGATATATGAATTTTTGGTAAACAGCCTTCAGTTCTCACATTATACTGCACTATACTTTCAAGAACTACACAAAGATTTTGAAATTCTCACTTTTTTCATTATTATCATAATTACTTTTGTTATATCTTTAAGGTATTGTTCTGGTTCATAACATGCATTTTATTAGCTCAAAAGAATTACTGCTTTCCAAGTAAGGGCATTGAGGGAATCAGTGATGTATAAGCCTTGAGTTGAGCGGATTTTTTTTTTTTTTGCTTTATTTTTTAAATTGTGGAATCATACCTGTCTATAAATTATAGATGGGCATTTCTATCTTCGTAAGGAGGAAAGGGTAGATATCAGCAATTGTGAGTTTGTCAGATTTCTGAAAAAGTAGGAATTATATCAGTAAAAAGAAGGGCTGATTAATATCCATGATCACACATAGGTAGAAGGTCAAATAGTGTTGCTAATTGATAGATAAATCAAGAGACCCAAGAGGAATGATGACTCGCACAGACTTGATCTCCATTTCTTAGGAGGTGCGGATTCTCGGTAGTCTTGTAAATTTTTTTTTTTTTTTAGATGGAGCCAGGCTCTGTCACCAGGCTGCAGTGCAGTGGCGTGATCTCAGCTCACCGCAACTTCTGCCTCCCAGGTTCAAGTGATTGTCCTGCCTCAGCCTCCTGAGTAGCTGGGACTAGAGGCGTGCCACCACACCTAGCTAATTTTTGTATTTTTAGTAGAGGCAGGGTTTCCGCATGTTGGCCAGGATGGGGTCGATCTCTTGACCTCGTGATCTGCCTGCCTCAGCCTCCTAAAGTGCTGGGATTACAGGTGTGAGCCACCGTGCCCAGCCAGTCTTGAAAATTTTAATATGAGGTTATTAAACCTTGTTTTAGTAAGTTCTAAACTGAGTTGAGACATCCAGTGTCCAAGATGCATACCAGGGCAGAGAGGGGATGTCCTAGGGGAGGAAGGGGAGGCAGGGAAAATGGCTGCCAAGGATAAGAAGCCCCATCTCTGCTATATTGCTGATTTATGGACATGCTCCCTCCCTGAGGGGTTACCAGTCAGGCCTGGGCCCTCAGCTGGTTATGGGCTCTCTGAAGAGGCAAAGAGTTTCCATCGGGGGAATAAGGTATAAGTGGCTCTTATTGTGTTGTTGCCATATGATTTGAAGGATAACTGAATAGGGATGGGATGTCTGAAAGTGTTCTTCTGCTAGCATATACCCATGCTTCATGTGCAAATGTTTAATAGAAGCAACAGATACCACACACATCTCCACTACCCTTGGGCCGTGTGTAGTCTGCTTCATTCTGTGTAGATCCCTTCATCAAGTTAAAGATTAACGATTAGAAAACTCTGTGTTGCCTCAATTCAAACATGCCAAAATATTAACATTAGAGTATTTTAAAAAACAGTGACAATATTCAGATTGATGTGCTATTTAACAAATTAGATAGTCTAGCTTATAAAAATTCATCTTTCTTTAAGGGATTTAATAAAACCATTATCATTCTGGATAGACAAATAAATTGGTGGCCTATCACCTTATCCATTTTTCCTAAATTGCTCTTTGTGCAAAATAAGGTTTGCACTGATCATGCTGATCCTCAATAGTACTTTCAATCCAATGTTTAAAAAACAAAATAAGGCGGAGGAATTCTCTGGGTCTGTGAAACTTGATTTAGGTAACAGGCTATAGTAGATGCTGGTATGTGTTTATTGTGATTCAGCAAATGTTTTAGGTCATATACAATAATCTAACTTTTACATTTGCTTTCTTTTGAGAAGGTTTTATTCCAAAGAAGCTTAATTTGGACATTTAAAGGGGAGAGTAAGGTTTCGTTAAACCCCTTTGAGGTTTGCAAATGCCCTTTCTCATTCAAGAAAAACCACAGTATTATTCACCATGATTGAGACCCACAAGGACTTATTTCATTCTGATGCTCTTTCTTTGCTACTGTAAGTGATGTCACTTGAATTACAAAGAGGAGTCTGGCTTTCAGAAGAATCTTCAAGTTAGTAATAATATTCTGTTCTAAGTGCTGTTGTGGCCCACAGTTGATATCCCTTACAAGTTTTTTTGTTTGTTTGTTTTTTTATACTTTAAGTTCCAGGATATGTGTGCAGAATGTGCAGGTTTGTTACATAGGTATACATGTGCCATGGTGGGTGCTACACCCATCAACCCGTCATCTGCATTAGGTATTTCTCCTAATGCTAACCCCCGCAGACTCCTACCCCTCAAATAGGCCCCGGTATGTGATGTTCCCCTCCCTGTGTCCATGTGTTCTCATTGTTCAACTCCCACTTATGAGAGAGAACATGTGGTGTTTGGTTTTCTGTTCTTGTGTTAGTTTGCTGAGAATGATGGTTTCCAGCTTCATCCATGTCCCTGCAAAGGACATGAAGTCATCCTTTTTTATGGCTGTGTAGTATTCTATGGTGTATATGTGCCACATTTTCTTTATCCAGTCTGTCATTGATGGAAATCCCTCGCAAGTTTTAAAGAATATAGGGCACAAGGGAGCAAAATACAATCAGAAATATTGGTAAGAATTGTAAGACTTTCTGTATATAAGTAGATCTCCCAGTAAGGATTTCACGATGTCTAAAGTAACCTTTCTGTAAAATGTTGTTGTAGTAATCTCTATAAAACGTTCATGTTTCTTACTAGATACAAGGGTAGTCTTTGTCAAAATGGTAGTGCTGGTGGTAGCAACAGTAGTAGGAGCTAACCTGAGCATTTGCTGTGTGTCAGGCACCACATTGAGTGTCTTTCATGATTACATCAGTATCTTGGAAATTGCGGCCAATTGTAGCCTTCCTGATTTTTGCTATTTCCTCATATAATCTTTACTTTATATATATATATTTTTAAGTGATCCCCTTTAAATTATTATGGAAGTTTTCCAAATATGCACCAAGTAGAGTGAATAGTGCAATTAATTTCCATATTATCTAACACATAGAGCAGGCTTCATGTGCATGCAGCCTGAGAGTTGTTCAGAGCCCATGGCTTATGAAGGCCCACATTTGGTTTAATGTGGTTATTTGGTTCTTCTGTCACTGTTTTGAAATTCTTAAGCAGTTATAAGAGACCCTGCATTTTTATTTTGCTCTGGGTCCTGCAAATTATCAAGCAGGTTGTATACCTAGATTCAATAATCATCAAGATTTTTACTACATTTTCTTCATATTGTCTTTTTCCCTCCCCTCCTTTCTTTTTCTCTTCTGAAGTATTTTAAAGCAAATTGCAGACATCACTTCACTTTACTCTGATGTATTTCAGAATGCAGCTGTAACAAATATGGGCATTTTTGTACTTAAGCACAATGCCATTATTATATCAAGCAATATAAACAGTAATTATTTGGTATTGTCTAATCCAGCTCCACATTGAAACTTCCCCAACTGACTTGAAAATGTCATTTACTGTTTTTCCTTATTTTCATATTCAAACAAATTCAAACATTATATTACATATGTTCCTTAAGTCTCTTAACCTAGAGAAATCCTGCCTCCATTCCCACTGTAGACTTGTTATAGAAGCAGGATCTTTTGTTCTGTAGGAAGTCACACATTCTGGTTTCATATGCTCTTCTTTAATGTGTTCCTTCACCACTCTTATTTTTTCTTAAGGGATGCTGTCTCTAAATTTGATTTAACGTAAATGTTTTTGGCAAGAATGCTTTGCAGAGGGTGTCTTTACTACGTTTATTAGGAAGCATCCACTATTCAGAACCTGTTTTATTGAAGCTGAGATTCATCATTGGTTTTGGCAGGTAACAGACTGACTATTCCATTTTAAAGTTCCATATTAATTTTTCATGTGATTGTTTCTTCAATTGATGATTGTTACTTAAATCAATTATGTCATTAAGTAATTGCAAAAATCATGATTTCTAATTCTGTTAATTATTTTCCATTTGTCAACTAGACTTTTTCTGTAAAGAACTTTCCCTGACTGACTAGGACTGTTTGGAGCGCACTTCTTTTCCTTGACTTAGATTTGTCCTACGCAATAATTTTAGTGTGGTGTTTTAGTCCCTTTTGTGCTGCTATAATAGAATATGTGAGACTGGGTAACTTATAATGAATAGAAATGTATTTGTCTCATGGTCCTAGAGGCTGGGACATCTAAGATCAAGGGTCTGCATTTGGCAAAGGCCTACTTGATGAGTCATCCAATGGCAGAAGGATAAAAGACATGCACACATGAGTGAGGGAAAAAGGCCTAACTCATTCGTTTTATCAGGAATCCATTCTGGTGATAACTAACCCACTTCTCTGATAACATAATTAATTCATTCATGAGGCCAGAGCCCTCGTGACCTAATTGCCCCTTGAAGGACCCACCTCTGTTGCACTGGGAATTAAGTTTCCAACACATGGACTTTGGGTGACACATTCAAACCATAGCATTTGATGTGCTAATTATATATATTTTAATATGCTGGGAATTAAACACATAATTGTTAACAGAAGAAGAAAACCACTCATGTACCATCTAATATCATCTGGTATACTCCCAGTGGTATATGTGCCAGGCTTTGGGAAACACTATTATTTTTCTTGCTTTACAGTTGAGGAAACGGAGAGAAAATAAGGTTAAGCGACACTCCCTGGGTGGATTTTAGCTAGAATCCAAGCACTCTGACACCAGAGCCAAGCATAACCACTCCAGTCTTGTAGCGCTTTTCTAAGCGGTCAAAGTTTGCATAAAAAAAGCAGACTGGGCCGGGCACGGTGGCTCACGCCTGTAATCCGAGCACTTTGGGAGACCGAGACGGATGGATCACGAGGTCAGGAGATCGAGACCATCCTGGCTAACACGGTGAAACCCTGTCTCTACTAAAAATACAAAAAATTAGCCGGGTGCAGTGGCGGGTGCCTGTAGTCCCAAGTACTCGAGAGGCTGAGGCAGTAGAGTGGCGTGAACTCGGGAGGCGGAGCTTGCAGTGAGCGGAGATAGTGCCACTGCACTCCGGCCTAGGCGAAAGAGCGAGACTCCATCTCAAAAAAACAAACAAACAAAAAAAAAAAACAAAGCAGACTGATCTTTGAGGTGAAACCACGAAGGTAATTTTTTAATGGCAAGTCAGTGAGAAAGCCCAGAACTCTCGGGTAATTGATCTGTGTTCTCACTTTCAGCTGGTGCCACCTCCATGACCAGTGTGATTTATTGTGCTCACCGGTTTAAATCAATAATCTGAGTATATTAGAGCCTAGATTGACCTAATAAACTCCTCAAACTTCCCCAACATAATGCTTTGTAGCTTCTGGATGAAATGCTTAAAACATTTTTTAATCTTTTATTATTCTTAATAATATAAAACTCATCTTTACAAGACAACAGATAGAAACCACTATTGTTTTTCAAAAGGAAAGGTCATTATAATACCAGCCTAGTCTAGTAAAAGCAGAATGCCAAGCTTTTGGGTCAAATTATTGTTCAGCCCCTTCAATGATAAGAGGAACATTTGAAGTGCCCTTGGATAGTTTCTATACTACAATCTGAACACTCGGTTAGTGATATAGTTTGGATGTTTTGTCTCCTCAAATCTCATGTTGAATGGTAATCCCCAGTGTTGGAGGTGGGGCCTGGTAGGGGGTGATTAGATCAGGGGGGGCTGATCCCTCATGAATAGCTTAGCATCAGTCCCTTGGTGCTATCCCCACAATAGTGAGTGAGTTTTGGAGATCTGGCTGTTCAAAGGTGTGTGGAACCTACCACACTCTGTTCTGCCCCTGCTTTCCCCATGTGAAGTGCCTGCTACTATTTCGCCTTCTGCCATGAGTCAAAGCTCCCTGAGGCCTCCCCAGAAGCCGAGCAGATGCCAGTGCCATGCTCGTACAGCCTCCAGAACTGTGAGCCAATTAAACCTCTTTATAAATTACCCAGTCTCAGGTAGTTCTTCATAGCAATGTAAGAATGGCCTAATCGAGTTGGGAAACTTAGATACAGCTTTAAATTTTGAGCATTGTCTCTAACCATTTCATTTGATTTGCCCTTTCACATCAGAGAAATGAAACTGAACACCTTTGAGGGATTTTATCTATTGGAATATGCATGCTAAACATTACTGAGGAGCCAGAAGAGTGAGGTGGAGGGACTAACTAGAGTAAAAGCAGGGCCTACCTTCCAAATTTACTTTTTACTGGAAAAAATGTCACATCATCACTATCTGACAATTACTTCTTCTTGGATAATATTTTAAAAGGAGATGTTATGTCATTTATGGAATTTTAAACCCTCAGGAATAATTTAGTCTAATCCTTTCAGTTTACATATGAGAAAGCTAAAGCCAAGCTAATTTAAATAATTTCTCCCGAGATTACCAGCTAATTAGATGCAGACCTAGAATTAGACCTCAGGCTCCCTGACTGACATACTAAGGTACCATATCAATTAAAGTTATGTGATTGCAAACAACAGAAACTAATTCTGACTAACTTGTGCACAAGAGGGATATATGCAAAGTAAATTTTGGGTAGTTTAACAAAATCTAGTGTCAACTGTAATGTAATTTTTTTGGAGGAGAAGTGAGGACTAGAAATAGTTAAGTAATGTAAAATGTATTTTACATTTAAAAGATCAGAATTGTGACATGTGAAATGCAAAAAATATATGATTTAAAAATTTATTAAGATAAGAGTCATATAACAAAAAATCCATTTTAAAGTGAGCAATCCAGTGGCGTTTAACTCACTGACAGTGCCGTGCAATCATCATCTCTATCCAGTTCCAAAACATTTCCATCCTTCTAAAATAAAACTCCTCATTTCAATGCAGCTTCTCCTCATTTCCCCAAACCCTTGTCAGCCACCAATCTGTATTCTATCTATGTGGATTTACCTATTCTGGATATTTTATGTAAATGGAATGATACAATATATGATCTTTTGTGTCTTGTTTCTTTCACTTGGCATGTTTTCAAGGTTCACCCAGGTTATAAGATGTATCAGAAGTTTATTCCTTTCTTAGGGCTGAATAATATTGCATTGTATGGATATATTACAATTTGCTTATCCTTTGATTCATTGATGGGTGTTGATGGACAAGTGGGCTGTTTCCACCTTTTGGCTATTGTGTATAGTGCTGCTATGAACATGTATGCACAGGTACCTGTTTTAGAACCTGTTTTCAATCCTTTTGGATATATACCTACCAGTGAGATTTCTGGGGTACATGGTAATTCCATATCTAAATTTTTGAGAAACTACAAAACTATTTTCCACAGTGGCTAAGTCACTGTATATTCCCACCAGCATTGTTGGAGAGTTCCAGTTTCTCTATATCTTTACCAACATTTGTTATTTTCCATTAAAGAAAATAATAGCCATCCTATTAGGTGTGAAGTAGCATGTCATTGTGGTTTTCATTTGCATTTCCCTAATGACTAATGATGAGCATCTTTTCAGGTGCTTGTTGGCTATTTGCATGTTTTTTCTGGAGAAATGTCTGTTAAAGTCCTCTACCCATTACCTGGTTTTTTTGTTGTTTTTGTTTGTTTGTTTTTATTGTTGTTGAGTTGTAAGAATTTCTTATACTGTATATTCTGGATACTAGACCCTTGTCAAATATATGATTTACAAATATGTTCTCTCACTCTGTAGATTGTCTTTTCATTTTTTTGATAATGTCTTTGATGTACCAAGGTTTCTAATTTTGAGGAGGTACCACTTATCTATTTTTTCTTTTGTTGCTTGTGCTTTTGGTGTCATATATAAGAATTCATTGCCAAATGTGAGGGTAATGATTTTACCCCTATGCTTTCTTCAAAGAGTTTTACAGTTTAGCACTTATATTTAGATCATTGCTCCATTTTGGGTTAATTTTTATATATGGTGTGAGGAAGGGGTCCAGCTTTATTCTTGGCATGTGTGGTTATTCAGTTGTTCCAGCACAATTTGCTGAAGAGATTATTATTTCTTCATTAAATGACTTGGTACCTTAGTTGAGCATCTATGTAGATCATGAAACTTCAGAGTGTCTCCTTTGTGGAGTTTGCTTAGAGTCTTGCTATAGTAGAAAGAATGTTGGTAGGCAGCAAATATCCACTATGCAGCCCAGCCACTGACCCATCTTTGTGTGAAATTCTGATATACACAGATTTTCTTCTGTTGAATTTTCAGCAATAGTGACCTGCAAGAATTTCAGATTTGTGTGTTTGTTAATTTAGGATAATTATTAAAAGAAAGACCTGGGGTTGGAGTATTAAAAACAGACATAAAGTGGAAGGTAGAGTAAGAACAGAGTTTTTCTATTCAACTTGTCTCCAGGGTCTGTATACATACTGGAGTCTTTCCTTCTGTGCCAGGCTGTCCAATAGAAATATACTGTGAACCACAGATGTAAGCCCCATATGTAATTTTACATTTTGTAGTAGCCACATTACAAGGAGTAAAAAGAAACAGATGAGATTAATTCTAATAATATATTTCACTTAGCCAAAAATATTAAAAATATTAGTTTTTTCCCTGTAATCAATATAAAAAATTATTGATGAGGTATTTTACAGTTTTTTTCCTACTCAGTCTTTGAGGTCTGGTGTGTATTTTACCCTTACACCATGTCTGAATTTGGATAAGGCACATTTTATGTGGCCAGTGGCTACTATATTGGACAGTAGAATTTATATCAAAAGCAGCCATAGACAATATGTAAACAAATAACTGGCTGTGTTCCAGTAAAGCTTTGTTAACAAAAATACGTGGCAGGACACAAGTGATGGTTAATTTTGTGTCAACTTGACTGGGCTAAGAGATATGCTCATTATTCCTGGGTGTGTCTGCGAGGGTGTTTCTGGAAGAGATTAGCATGTGAATCAGCAGACTAAGTAAAAGTCACCCTCATCAAGGCGACTGAGCATCACCCAATCTCTTGAGGACGTGAATAGAACAAAACGTGCAGAAATGGCAAATTCACTGTCTCTGTTTGAGCAGGTATATCCATCTTCTTCTGTCCTCAGATATCAGAGCTCCTGTATCTTGGGCCTTTGATCCAAAGGGACTTACACTATTGACTCTCCTGGTTCACAGGCCCCTGGGCTTGGGCTGGAACTATACCTCCTGCTTTCCTGGGCCTCCAGCTTGCAGATGGCAGATAGTGGGTCTTCTCAGCCTCCATAATGGCATGGGCCAATCCCTCACAATAAATCTCTTTCTGTATATCTACATTTATCCCATTGGTTCTGCTTCTCTGGAGAAGCCTGGCTAATATACTGTCTTTGGCTTGTAGGCTCTGTTCTAGGCTGTTCCTTTTAGCTCTGTTTGCAACAGAGAGGATCTTCTTTTCCCCAAAGCTGATTGTTTAGGTCTATTAGCCCCTTTGCTTACTTCCAGTATCTTAATATGTCTGGCCTCTGGGAATGTGTTTTCCCTGCTCCTTCTGGTTTTGCTGTGCCAGAAATGAGGTGGGATGAAGAATGCTTCAGTTCTTAGGGGTGACTTCTGTGGGTGGATGAGGGAAATGAAAGAAGCTCTTAGGTGCTCTGGCTTCAGGATAGAGAATATAAAACTTACTGCTTACATACACCTCTTACCCTGTGAAGATTCACCTTCTGGTAGTACACCTTATGTTCCTTATCACTCTAAAACAGTCTCTGAATCCTTCCCATCCATGAAAGACCTCTTGAGGTCTCCTAGCTCTGGAAGGTTCCTGGCTCCAAGAGGGAGCCATGAGGAGGTTAAAACTGAAACTTTAAGTTTCATGTGGACAAGTTTACTGTATGTAAAGTTCTGTATTTTTAGCAGACAGAATATTATTTACCTGTAGGAGTTCCTCAACACATATTTGTTGAATGAATGAAGGAATACACGAATGAACTATCAAAGCAGCTCCAGTTCTGGACTCCAATCACTGACGTTGGTAATAATTTGGTTGCTAAAATCTCCTCTTATGTTCTATAGCTCAAAAATGCTATGCCCAGATGCTTTAAAATGATGCCAGTTGATTCACTCACCGGCCATGAGCATCTGAGCAGTTAGTTCCCAATGACCCAACATGCCTTGATTTATTGTTCATTTGATTTAACTTACAGAAGGTGAACTTACTTTATTTTCCTGCCAGAATTCTGGCTGGATCACAGTTGGTGGTGGTCCTCAGGGAATAAATCTCAGGCGATGGCGCTCAGTCATTTTAGGGTTGCCTGTTCAGTATAACTTCCATGTGGCTGTCTTAGTGAACACAGGCCTTGAAGCTGATGATGGCATTTTGTAGACAGGCTACAGTGACCTACAGTTCATAGAACAGTAGCTGGATTACCTACAAGATAACAACATTCTCACTTGTGGGTAAAATGTGTCATTGTTTCTGGGAACTGAACTTTGAAAAATAAATAAAAATCCCTACCTTGATTCCCAAAGCTTTGACATTTAACTGGGATGTTAGAGTAGATGAATTCAATTTACATGAGTTGGGGTAAAAAAGAAAAAATTGAAACTATTTAACAGATTTTCATCTCTTTCTCTCTATAAAGTAATCAACAAATTTTCAGGTTGAGACACTCAAGCAGAGTTCCACCTTTTGGGCAATTGGGCAACTCTGATTTTGCATTCCTCAGGATTTGCTGAAAAGTTTTATAGCAAAGATGGCTACTGGTTCTGGGTGGTAACCTGTAAGACCTTGTGACTCTGCATATTCATAGAGGATTTTGAAAAAGTATCTGAATTTTACAGTGATAAATTTTAATAACTTGTTTGTGTATCATTAACAAGCTTCTCATGGTTACCAAAACTTGTAAACAAAGTCATTTTGCCACTGCAGATAGTATCTTTCTACATCTGAACATGACCTTGAATTAAAAAATAATAATAACTTTTACTTATAGTCATTTTTTGCTGAACGAGAATAACTTTTGAGATCGGGTTGAAGCATGTTACCTGTCTGCTCAAAACACTGCAAGGACCCCTTATTTCGTTTCATGTAAGTGCTCAAATCTTTGACAATGGATAAGGAAGCCCTTTCCATACCCAGGATCCATACTCCTCTGTTCTCCTACCATTTTACTTGCCTTCTCCCCTTACTCTCCTGCAGCCACATGGGACCCTTGCTGTTATGGAAACAGACCTGCCCTAGGGCTTTTGCACAGGCTTTACCCTTTGAAACTACCCCCCTGCCCCCATCCCGGGCAGCTCACGGCCTGCCTCTCCTTTAATGTAACTTTTTCATTGAAACTACCAGACCTGCCATATTTAAAATTCCTGTCTTTCCATCCTCCTGATCCCTCTAAGGCTGCTTTGTTTTTTAATTTTTGTCCTTAGCCTTGAACTGTCCGTCCAACATACCATTTAACTGAGTCACTTATGTTTATTGTATCTGCTTTCCCACCACTAGAATCTAAACTTTGTGAGTACAAAGATCTTTGTCTTCTTTGTTCAGTGATGTGTCCAATAGAAGTTTCTGTGATGATTAAAATGTATATGGCAGACATTAGCCACATGTGCTAATTGAGAACTTAAATGTGGTTAGTGCAAATAAATCCTTGAATTTTAATTTTATTTAATTTTAACTAACTGAAATGTTAATAGTCACATTTGGCTAGTGGCTACATACCATAAATGACACTGCAGATCTCGCAAACGTATTGAATGAACGAATGAATGTCTCTTTAGAGCATTGCTTCTAATACTTTAAAGGAATTACCTGGGGTTCTTGTTAAAAATGCAGATTCTGGCCAGGCATGGTGGCTCACGCCTGTAATCCCAGCAATTTGGGAGGCTGAGGTGGGTGGATGGCTTGAGGCCAGGAGTTCAAGACCAGCCTAGGCAACATGAAGAAACCCTGTCTCTACTAAAAATAGAAAAATTAGCCAGGCGTGGTGGTACATGCCTGTAGTCCCAGCTAATCGGGAGGCTGAGGTAGGAGGATCACCTGAGTCTGGGACGCAAAGGTTGCAGTTAGCTGAGATAGTACCACTGCACCCCAGCCTGGGCCACAGAGTGAGTCCCTGTCTCAAACAAACAAACAAACAAACAAAAATGTAGATTTTGATTCAGGTCTAGGGTGGAGCCCAAGAGCCTGAGGTTCTAACAAGCTCCTAGGTGATAGCTCTTTACACTTTTCATAGCAAGGCTCTGGAAGACTAATATTGCCTTGCTTTTAGTTTGTGTGTTTATTAAAATAGACCAAGCAGTTCCTCTTTTCCTGGACAAGAGGGATTACTAAGAATAACCTGTTAGACTCAAATAACAGTTGGTAGGCCCAAAAGACCACCAAAAGAAAAAAAAATTCCTTTGCTTCTGATAAGAATGTAATTCTCTTCCTACCTTTTCTCTCTAATTTGGTTGAACTCAGTTGTGGTGCATTTAGAAACTTTTTGGTAAATGCTGTTTTTTTGTATGACAGTTTGTAGCTGCCTAATATGCCTGCCTGACTTGCAGTCCATTTTTTTCAGGTCACTGAAGATGTGTCCCTCACAAAGAATTTTTAAGTGGTACTGGATGGCTTAGTTTTGCATCCTCCTATTATCTGAGCTAGCCGGCTAAATCAGATTCCCACAGTAAAAAAATCTCATCAATCTTCCATTGTTATAATCACATTGTTCATCTACAGAATAAACATCACCTAGTTATTCCCTCGGGGAGGAGTTTAAATCTTGTTCATACGCGTTAGATTGCTTCAAACCCTTGGTCGTTCTTAATTATCATGTGCTCTTTTCCAGGTGGTTTTTTGTCAGAGCAGTAAATCTTGGTACAGATCAATTTTAGGTGTTGTTAGTATTTAACAACAATTAAGGTACTGATGAATATATGTAATATTGCCTGATTTATCATTCCCTTATAGGCTCTTCAAAATATATCAGAGACACAATTTACAGTACCTGTCAGAAGAAAAAGGGTATCATCTTAAAAGCCTGATTTTGTTTCGTTTTTCTCAGAAGAGCATGAGGAATGAGTGTATATTTGAACCATTCTGGAAGAGCCTTGGTCTAGCCTCAGTCTTTATTTGCTGTAGCTGTGCCTGACCTAGACCTCCAGGAATATTCTACTACCTCAGGACTACTAAGTGGGCCCCTGTATGTAATCTCTGTTTTTTTTTTTCTTTTTTTTTTTGTTGGTGGGGGGTGCTTATTTTCTTCCTTCTGCCTGGAATCCCTCTGTCTAGTTCCTGCACCCTCCTAGTCCCCAAAGTCAGCCATTTCAACTCTCAAGGCTATCAACAACCATCACAGTAGTAGGTAATGTTCATTGAGTGAGCACTTTTGAATTATGGGGCACTGGGGTAAGTGTTTCACAGATGTTGTCTTATTTGATCCTCACTACAGTGCTCTGGGTCAGGAGTTACTATTCTCCTTTTTTAGATTAAGAAGCAGAGGCTTAGAGAGGCCAAGTAACTTGGACGTGTTCACACAGTTAGTGAAAGAGTCTGGGTTTGAGCACAGGCTGCCTGATTCTAGAATCCTTCTTCCTATTATGCCATACTTTATAGGTTTCTCCTTCTCCCTGGAACCTGCCTCCTTGCCCTTGCTTCTTTTGAGGCAGGTGAGACTGGTGCCATTAACCAGGACCTGAAGTGTAAACTCATGGGATCTCTCCCTTGTCATCCCATAGCACGTTGTATCTATCAGTGCTGTGCCTTTTATATTATAGGTTTATGTGTTTGTCCTCCCTGCTCAACTGTCTTGGAGGCAGGAAGGAGCCATATCTTACTTCTTTGTATGTCTCCATAGTTTTTGTGAATTGTAGAAAGCTATCTTGACTTTCCCTAAGTTGCGTTTCCATAGAATAAATTTTTCTGTAATAATGGTGGAACTTGAAGCTATGAGCCTACTTCATCATTGTGCAGGATAGGAATTGCCAACATAGTATATTTAAATACAATGATCTAATTTGGTAGCCTTACCTGAAGCTAAAACCATTTATAACCCAACCTTAGTGATTTGAAGATGAGCCTAGGGCTCTGCTTAAGAGCTTCTAGGTTCCTCTTAGTTTAAAATAATGGTCAATTTAGTGGTATGCTGGTAAATGTTTAACAGCTGGCTCTCAAGGAAAAATATGTGTATGTGTGTGCATGCATGCCCTAATGTGCATGCTTGCATGTGTGTTTATTATTAATTTTACTGATATAAAGGACATGTAACATGTAATTTATAAATATGAATAAAATAATCACTACTCTTGATTGTAAATCCTGGATAGCCAGTAGATTCTCACACACTGCTTTGGTTGATTTTTGCCAAATTCTTATATCCATAGCCAGTCTATGTTTGCAACTGATGAATAATCATCTTTCTGTCATACATATTGTATGATAGTTTATAATACTGGAAGAATGGGTTCTCCATTTGTGTGTGTGTGTTATTCAGAATATAACAGCCACAGATATGGCACACTTTAAGTTAATCTGCATATTCTCCATCACTCTCAAGTCAACGAAATGATATTGAGTCTTGATTTGTGGCATTTGCCAGTTTGGCTGATTTCAAGCTACCAATGTGAATTTACTGCAAGTGAATTAGGAAGAGATACATGTAGCACTCTATTATGTAGTGTTTCCACTCTACAAATACAATAGGTGCAAATAAGCTTAAAGAGTATAGATAATAAAAGTATAAGGGCCGGGTGCGCTGGCACAAGCCTGTAATCCCAGCACTTTGGGAGGCTGAGGTGGGTGGATCACCTGAGGTCAGGAGTTCGAGACCAGCCTGGCCAACATGGCAAAACCCTGTCTCTACTAAAACTACAAAAATTTGCCAGGTATGGTGGCAGGCGCCTGTAATCCCAGCTACTTGGAAGGCTGAGGTAGGAGAATCACTTGAACACAGGAGGCAGAGGTTGCCGTGAGCCAAGATTGCGCCACTGCACTGTAGCCTGGGCAACAGAGCCAGACTCCATCTCAAAAAAAAGAAAAAAGTATAAGGACATGACGAGCTTCATATATTTATTTATTTAAAATATTTTTATTTAATTGTAACTTTTATATTTTAATTTGTATAATTCTATAATAATTTAAAATAATGTCTGTGTTTAACAGCTGGTATGCAAAGTTACTGAAATTTACCAATTGCAGGTAAGCCTCAGGGAGGCAGCTCCAGTAGGCAACTGTTTCAATCCAACTCAAAAGTGGTGTTTGGTTATCAGAGCTAGGATGTGGGAAGGTGAGGTTTGAATTCTAGCTCTGCTTTTTACTATCAGTTTAAAAATTAAATTACTGTTTGTTAAAGCTCATTGTAAGCTTTAGCAGCGGCGTCCAATCTTTTGGCTTCCCTGGGCCACATTGGAAGAATTGTCTTGGGCCACACATAAAATACACTAACGGCAACTGATGAGCTTAAAAAAAAATTGCAAAAAAAAGGTCTCATAATGTTTTAAGAGAGTTTAGGATTTTGTGTTGGGCTGCATTCTAAGCTGTCCTGAGCTGTGTGCAGCCTGTGGGCTGCAGGTTGGACAAGTTTGCTTTAAAGTATTTTATAAATCTTAAGATTTCTATGATCAGGTAAGGCTGGCGAAAAAAAGTGCAGCAATGTTGGTGGGTATTCTCTTTGAGCCAGGCGCCATGGTAACAGCTTTACATGCATTATCCTGTTTCTTCTTGACTTCTTGTGAGTACCATTATTATTGTCGTTCTATAGAAGAGGAAACCAAGGCTCGGAGAGAATTGGAGGTACACTGGTCAGAGGTGGAGCTGGCCTCAGACCTAGGCCCCCCAAACACTCTTGGCTTCTGCTAAGGAAAGCAGAAATGAGAGGAAGCAAAAAACAGCAGACAGAGAGTACAAAGCTGACTCCTTTACCATATTTCTCCTCTTTTACTCTTCATTCTTCTTCTTGAAGTGGGCGTAGTGGTGGGAGATGGCTTTTTTCTTCTCCCTGAGCATAAAATCATTTCATGCTTGTTGCAGAACAGCAGAAAATGCACAAAAGTATAGATGTAAAGATAAAAATGATGTATGATCCTATCACCCAGAGAACCAAGATTTTAACATTTAGAAATATGTACCAATAAATTTTTGTGCATATAACATATAAAATGAAAATAATATATAATAGGGTAAACATCAACATATACTTTTATTTAACAATTATTTCTTTCCATTGTTATTTCCTGAATTTAGAAAGGGTAGCTCTTTTGAGAACAGCAGCCCTTAGCTATTTGGAAAGTAAAACTTAGGAGCTAGAACTACAGTCACAAAAGCTACGTAGAATCACCAAACCTTTTCCTATTATTCCAGTTTTTCCCTCACATAAGATAGTCACCAGATATATTAACAAACAGTACCTGAGTAATTTGAGCTTAACTTCCATTTCTTACTTTTCTCCCTTCCTTGGTAGATGGGAAGTAGGAGAGTCAAAGTTTAGATGGTTTGTAAACTCAATATTTATTTATTGGATAATTCCGTATTTGATCTAACATTAAGAATATTTTCCATATTTCTGTGTCTGATCTGTAAATCTGAATTCTGTTAGTGCCTTGTTGATAAGGAAGAGAGAAGATTTTCATGTTCAATGTGCTTATCCATTCAAAGGGTAAGAGCAAACTAAAATTCATTCCTTGGTTCAAGCTGGAGTTTCACACATTTAGCACTTTGGAGACATTGCCCGTGAAGAACAAAATCATATAGAGTGACATTTGGTCACTGACCTAACTAAGGGTACTTTTGGGGCCTTTACTCTACTGCAGCAACAATCATATTTGACCACAATCAGTGAAACGTTTAGCCTTTTACATTCAGTTGTGTGATCAGGGAAATAATTTAATACGCTCTGTCCTACAGCCCATAACATATAAGTCCTGTGTGGTTTGGCCTAATAAATCTTTATCCCTGTCTTGATCTTCGGATGTCTAACAGGTCATATTATTCTGAAAGAAATGTTTTCAGATTTTGCACATAAGAATATGTTGGTCATTTTTCTGTTTAAGGTAGGCAAGCTATATAGGGATGAAAACACAATGTCTAACTGGAAATGGAGAGTGGAGAGAAGGTGAAAAAGGGATATTTTTTGCTGACAGTTCATAGATATAGACAAGGTAATGTCTAAAACGTATCTTTACAGCTTTTATAAACACTGTCTTGAAAACAATGGTATACTGTAAGGTTAGTGCTCAGAAAAAAAAAAGCTGTCACTTGTACATTAATCAGAGTTGCTCTATAAAGAATGTTTCCTGAGAAACTAGTGGTTACTAACAGAAGCAATGTTTAGCATATTTTATTTTACAGCATATTGTTAATAGCTATGATCATATTTCATTTTGAAGATAAACTTTAAAATCATAAAATGCGTTGTCTTTTGAAATATTTTGGTAGCTTCATTTAAATTACAGTTTTGTTACAGTATTTATTCAACTGGCATTGTTAGACTATTCCATCTTTATATATTTAGTCATAACCAGCTTCTTGACAATGTTTTTCTTTCTTTGCCTGTACTTTGCTCATACATACAAATGTAACAATAAACCTATAATTATATAGAATTTTTTTCTTAAAAAGAAAAAGAAAAGCCAAACAGAAGCTCTTCCCTTAAGAAATAAAACTCAGCCTTTGCAGGAAATTTAAAGCTTAGGAGAATTCTTAGCTCAGCCTCTTTGAAGACCTAATCTTACCAGTTTTCTAGTGTTGAGTGGAAGAAAGTTTGTATTTAAACGTTGCCTCTCTATTGTTTGGCTAGGTTATTTTGTTGGGGGAGAAGGGGGGAAAACAGGGTTGAATGTCATATAAAAGTCTTAGTATTATAATTTCTTTAGAAAGTCCTTTGAAGCTTTGCTTTCTCCCTCCTTTTCCCCCTCACTAGCAGATTTTTAAGAGTTACTCTGTGTAGGTTGTTTTGAAAAGATGCGAAGTTATATTCTTGGGTAACAAGAATATAACTCTCATGAGTAGCAGAAGCTCTTCTGCTTGCATCACAAATTTACATTTTGTAAAATATACTATGTTATTTCTCCAATTTGATTGGCTTTTATAATACTGTCCAACATGAAAATAGTATGAATAATTTAATTAGATCCCATTTGTCAATTTTGGCTTTTGTTGCCATTGCTTTTGGTGTTTTAGTCATGAAGTCTTTGCCCATGCCTATGTCCTGAATGGTATTGCCTAGGTTTTCTTCTAGGGTTTTTATGGTTTTAGGTCTTATGTTTAAGTCTTTAATCTATCTTGAGTTAATTTTTGTATAAGGAGTAAGGAAGGGATCCAGTTTCAGTTTTCTGCATTTGGCTAGCCAGTTTTCCCAACACCATTTATTAAATAGGGACTCCTTTCCCCATTGCTTGCTTTTGTCAGGTTTGTCAAAGATCAGATGGTTGTAGATGTCTGGTGTTATTTCTCAGGCCTCTGTTCTGTTTCATTGGTCTATATATCTGTTTTGGTACCAGTATCATGCTGTTTTGGTTACTGTAATCTTGTAGTATCGTTTGAGATCAGGTAGCGGGATGCCTCAGGTAGTGTGATGCCTTCTTTTTGCTTAGGATTATCTTGACTATATGAGCTCTTTTTTGGTTTCATTTGAAGTTTGAAGTAGTTTTTTCTAATTCTGAATAAAGTCAATGGTAGCTTGATGGGGATGGCATTGAATCTATAAATTACTTTGGGCAGTATGGCCATTTTCACAATATTGATTTTTCCTATCCATGAGCATGGAATGCTTTTCCATTTTTTTGTGTCCTCTCTTATTTCCTTGAGCAGTGGTTTGTAGTTCTCCTTGAAGAGGTCCTTCACATCCCTTGTAAGTTGTATTCCTGGGTATTTTATTCTGTTTGTAGCAATTGTGAATGGGAGTTCACTCATAATTTGGCTCTCTGTTTGTCTATTATTGGTGTGTAGGAATGCTTGTGATTTTTGCACATTGATTTTGTATCCTGAGACTTTGCTGAAGTTGCTTATCAGCTTAAGGAGATTTTGGGCTGAGACGATGGGGTTTTCTAGATATGCACTCATTTCATCTGCAAACAGAGACAATTTGACTTCCTCTCTTCCTATTTGAATATGCTTTATTTCTTTCTCTTGCCTGATCGCCCTGGCCAGAACTTCCAACACTATGTTGAATAGCAGTGGTGAGAGGGCATCCTTGTCTTGTGCTGGTTTTCAAAGGGAATGCTTCCAGCTTTTGCTCATTTGGTGGGATATTGGCTGTAGGTTTGTCATAAATAGCTCTTATTATTTTGAGATCTGTTCCATCAATACCTAGTTTATTGAGCGTTTTTAGCATGAAGGAGTGTTGAATTTTATTGAAGGCCTTTTCTGCATCTATTGAGTTAATCATGTGGTTTTTGTCATTGGTTCTGTTTATGTGAGGGATTATGTTTATTGATTTGTGTATATTGAACCATCCTTGCATCCCAGGGATTAAGCCAACTTGATCGTGGTGGATAAGCTTTTTGATGTGCTGCTGTATTCAGTTTGCCAGTATTTTATTGAAGATTTTCTCATTGATGTTCATCAGGGATATTGGCCTGAAATTTTCTTTTTTTGTTTCTCTGTCAGGTTTTGGTATCAGGATGATGCTGGCCTCATAAAATGAGTCAGGGAGGAGTCCCTCTTTTTCTATTTATTGTTTGGAATAGTTTCAGAAGGAATGGTACCAGCTCCTCTTTTACCTCTGGTAGAATTCAGCTGTGGATCCATCTGGTCCTGGGCTTTGTTTGGTTGGTAGGCTATTAATTACTGCCTCAATTACAGAACTTGTTATTGGTCTCTTCAGGGATTCGACTTCTTCCTGGTTTAGTCTTGGGAGGGTGTATGTGTCCAGGAATTTATCCATTTCTTCTATATTTTCTAGTTTATTTGTGTAGAGGTGTTTATGTATTCTCTGATGGTGCTTTTATTTCTGTGGGATCAGTTGTGATATCCCCTTTATCATTTTTTGTTGTGTCTATTTGATTCTTCTCTCTTTTCTTCTTTATTAGTCTGGCTAGCAGTCTATCTATTTTGTTAATCTTTTCAAAAACCCAGCTACTGGATTCGTTGATTTTTTTAAGGGTTTTTCGTGTCTCTATCTCCTTCAAATTTGCCCTGATCTTAGTTATTTCTTGTCTTCTGCTAGCTTTTGAATTTGTTTGCTCTTGCTTTTCTAGTTCTCTTAATTGTGAGGTTAGGGTGTCGATTTTAGATCTTTCCTGCTTTCTCTTGTGAGCATTTAGTGCTATACATTTCCCTCTAAATACTGCTTTAGCTGTGTCCCAGAGATTCTGGTACATTGTGTCTTTGTTCTTATTGGTTTCAAAAAACTTACTTATTTCTGCCTTAATTTCATTATTTAACCAGCAGTCATTCAGGAGCCCATTGTTCAGTTTCCATGTAGTTGTGCGGTTTTTAGGGAGTTTCTTAATCCTGAGTTCTAATTTGATTGCACTTTGGTCTGAGAGACAGTTTGTTATGATTTCTGTTCTTTTTTTTTTTTTTTTTTTTTTTGAGACGGAGTCTCGCTCTGTCGCCCAGGCTGGAGTGCAGTGGCGGGATCTCGGCTCACTGCAAGCTCCGCCTCCCGGGTTCACGCCATTCTCCTGCCTCAGCCTCCCAAGTAGCTGGGACTACAGGCGCCCGCCGCTACGCCCGGCTAATTTTTTGTATTTTTAGTAGAGACGGGGTTTCACCGTTTTAGCTGGGATGGTCTCGATCTCCTGACCTCGTGATCCGCCCGCCTCGGCCTCCCAAAGTGCTGGGATTACAGGCGTGAGCCACCGCGCCCGGCCTGATTTCTGTTCTTTTTCATTTGCTGAGGAGTGTTTTACTTCCACTTATGTGGTCAATTTTAGAATAAGTGCGATGTGGTGCTGAGAAGAATGTATATTCTGTTGATTTGGGGTGGAGAGTTCTGTAGATGTCTGTTAGGTCTGCTTGGTCCAGAGCTGAGTTCAAGTCCTGAATATTCTTGTTAGTTTTCTCTCTCGTTGATCTAATATTGACAGTGGGGTGTTAAAGTCTCCCAGTATTATTCTGTGGTAGTCTAAGTCTCTTTGTAGGTCTCTAAGAACTTGCTATATGAATCTGGATTCTCCTGTATTGGGTGCATATATATTTAGGATAGTTAGCTCTTCTTGTTGCATTGATCCCTTTACCATTATGTAATGCCCTACTTTGTCTTTTTTGATCTTTGTTGGTTAAAAGTCTGTTTTATCAGAGACTAGTATTGCAACTCCTGCTTTTTTTGCTTTACATTTACTTGGTAAATATTCTACCATCCCTTTATTTTGAGCCTTTGTGTGTCTTTGCACATAAGATGGGTCTCCTGAATATAGCGCACCGATACAGCACACCCACGGGTCATGACTGTTTATCCAATTTGCCAGTCTGCATCTTTCAATTGGGGCATTTAGCCTGTTTACATTTAAGGTTAATATTGTTATGTGTGAATTTGATCCTGTCATTATGATGCTAGCTACTTATTTTTCCCATTAGGTGATGCAGTTTTTTCATAGTGTTGATGGTCTTTATAATTTGTTATGTTTTTGCAGTGGATGGTATACCAGTTTTTCCTTTTCATATTTAGTGCTTCCTTGAAAAGAAATCAAAGTGAACAGGCAACCTACAGAATGGGAGAAAATCTTTGCAATCTATCCATCAGACAAAGTGCTAAGATCCAGAATCTACAAAGACCTTAAAAAAATTTACAAGAAAAAAACAAACAACCCCATAAAAAGTGGGTGAAGGATATGAACAAACACTTCTCAAAAGAAGACATTTATGTGGCCAACAAAAATATGAAGAAAAACTCATCATCACTGGTCATTAGAGAAATGCAAATCAGAACTACAATGAGATACCATCTCACACCAGTTAGAATGGCGATCATTAAAAAGTCATGAAACAACAGGTGCTGGAGAGGATGTGGAGAAGTAGGAAAGCTCTTACACTGTTGGTGGGAGTGTAAAATAGTTCAACCATTGTGGAAGACTGTGTGGCAATTCCTCAAAGATCTAGAACAAGAAATACCACTTGACCCAGCCGTCCCATTACTAGGTTATACCCAAAGGGCCTGTCAGGGTTTGTGGGGCTAGGGGAGGGATAGCATTAGGAGAAATACCTAATGTAGATGACAGGTTGGTGGGTGCAGCAAACCACTATGGCATGTGTATACCTATGTAACAAACCCGCACGTTCTACACATGTATCCCAGAACTTAAAGTATAATTAAAAAAAAAGAGAAAATCATATGAATAAATGAAGATGTTACCTTGACATTCCTTTTACCATTGTGCCTGGAGACTAGGTAGTCTGACTTGAATAGAACAAGAAATGACAGCTTTTCACAGAGAGCTCTGAGTAGGAATGTGAAAGAGGTTCATGGGAGCTTGTTCCTGTGTAATGTTTAAAGCCATAGAGAAAAGAATCTGTGTTTGCATTAAAATATCAAGGTATAAAGAGAGCTAAGTGTGCTATATAGCGTTATATTACACAGAGTATGAATGTGAAAGAATCTACAAGTTACTGCATTTTTGGAACCTCATTAGGTGCCACTAAAACAGCATTTTCTCTGTTTCTGCATATGGCAATCTATTAGACTTCCTATTCACGGTAATGAAGAGACTCAACATATACTTAATGATTGGGCTTATTTTCAAAACTTATTATTGGCTTGCTGTTTCCTTCCTTACTCCCACCTGTTGCATGCCCCTACCAGCCATAGAATAGTACCTTGCAACATTCAAGACATCAAGAGGAAAATAACACAACTAAACTATTTTATACTGGGAACTTTCCAAATACGTTTTAAACCCGACTAATATAATTCTTTATAACCAATCTCAACTCTTTGAACTAATCTCTAATATATTTCATAACATATTGCTTATAATAGAGAAGACATACATATAAATATGAGGTAAATATGGGTACATTGTTGCTGATATATCAGTTGTTATGATAGATTTAAAAATAAGCACACATTCCTTCTAAGAAAGATTTCTCCTAAGGAAGGCCAGACAGCCTAATTTTTTCTACTGTGTAAAAACAGGAAAAGCAAAGTTTAAATCAGAAATTGTCTTTTAATGTAATTATTCATGCTTTATTTATTCCATTACTGTCAGGATGACTGCCGGTTTATCTCATTTAGAATCTCAGTGCTAGTCTGTCCAGTTTATTATCTTTCAGGTTTATCAGTTGTGTTTTACTGAAGATAGACACATTAAAGTAGAATGAGGATCTAGGGGACAATGGAAATAGTTTCAACAGGGGCTTAAGTGAGAATGTGTATCTATCCCATGGGTGAAAGAAATGCAAAACTAAAACAAGAACAAAAATTAAAAAAACAGACAGTGATTAAATTAGAAATGCTGTGATTTATAATTTAGTATAAATTAGTCTTTTCTAATTTGGTTTGATAGCAAAGAGAAATATACTGGAAAGATTCTATTCCATTTTATCTCAGTAGCCTTAGAAATCTTTCCTTTGAACTTTCCTTGCTGGGGTGATATACTGTGTTGATGTTCTGCACAGGCTGTTACTTGTGGGCATCTGACTGTCTAACCATATCTGAGAACTACAGAGAGTTTTGTTTCACAGTCAAATCCCTTTTGGGGTCAAACTTAGGAAAACTAGAATAACTGTTTAGAGAAACTAAAAGTTGGACATTTACTTCTTTTTCAAACTAATGTAAATGGTAATGTGCATGACACTTAAATTCCCAACAGCAAGTTGGTTTGCTATTTGCTCAGAAGTGAAGGTTCTAGAATTCTCCTTCATCTTTTCTAAATTGGAAAAAGAAACAAAAATCAAAACTCTTTCTTTTTCCTTGATTAGTCACATGTATCTTAGTGTTGCATTGATTAAGGAGTCAGACAGACATGTTTTAAAGTACTGGTTCCATCACTTACTAGGTGGGTGACTTTGAGAAAGTTACTTACTTTTTATCATCGTGTTTGACTATCTGTATAATAAGGATGATAGAAGTACTTACCTAAATGGATTATTATAAAGATTAAATTAGATCATGCATATATAGTACCTGGCACATAGTAAATGTTCAATGAGTAATTGCCATTATTTTAATTTTTATCAGTTTGTCTTAGACCTCAAGTCCTATTTTTGAATTTCAGTAGTGCTGTCACTATTGACTCCTCTCGTATCTTCTTTTTCTCTTTTTGGTAGGGCTGCCCAACTTTGAAATTTGATTTGTTACCATCTTTTCCAGTATTTTGTGGAAATTTTTTCTCTTTAGCCACTTCTGTGTGAGACAGCTGTTCCATTTCTGTATCAGCTGATTATTTCTTGTGATTCTGAGTGATATTAAAGAATAAATCAATGTCTTTATGGAAGAAGATAATGCCCCTCCTCATTGCCAAATTCTTCACAATGTTATCTCAGCATATCATTTATTTGTTCATTTATATCTTTCCTAGAGATTTTTGCAGCATATTAGACACCCAAGTGGCAACATTGAATGAATTTTGGTCCCTGTATTCAGGGAGTCTAATGTGAGCACAGATATGTCCCTAATCAAGGCTAATGGGAATACAAATTGTGTGAATGATACATCGGATTCCTAGAAATGGGAAAAACAAAATTGTCCTGAAACAAGGCCTAATTTTTTCAAAACTTGTGTTACCAGCCTTCATGGTTCTTAAATGTGTCCTGAAGTTCTCTTAAGAATCTCTGAAACTGTTTTTCTATCAGCTTGTTTTCTAACTAAATTTGCTTTCCTTTGAGCACTAACATTCAAAATAATGAAAGTGCACACACACAGTCATTATCTTCTATTTTATTTCTATTATTTGTTTATTTTGAGACGAAGTTCCACTCTTGTCGCCCAGGCTGGAGTGCAGTGGCGCAATCTCAGCTTGCTGCACCTCCACTTCTTAGGTTCAAGTGATTCTCCTGCTTTAGCTTCCCAAGTAGCTGGGATTACAGGCACCTGCCAGCATACCTTGCTAATTTTTTGTGTGTTTTTGTTAGAGACGGTGTTTCACCATTTTGGCCAGGCTGGTCTTGAACTCCTGACCTCAGGCGATCTGCTCACCTCGGCCTCCCAAAGTGCTGGGATTACAGGTGTGAGCCACCAGGCCCAGCCTCTGTATTTTATTTTTAGTTGCTCTCATTACTACTCTTGCATTAGGGTTGTTTTTGTGATATTTTGCCCTTGCAAGTATACAGGTCATCTTTTGTGGAGAAACCTGGACATATACACCCATTTTGTTATTTCTGTCTGTGTTCCTGTTACTGTGCAGACTTTCAGAACAGATAGAGTTTGTAAATTGCCTGTATGCTTCACATGAATTTGCCTTTAGTTTGTGCACACACATAAGTAATTCACACATAAAGTTCACATGCTCTGGGGAGCCAAATTTATGCTTGATGGTTGCTATGAAAATCCAGGACTTGTTTCATTAGTGATGGAGCCATGGAGCTGAGGGTTCTTGTGAACTCTTATGCTACAAATTACATTTCCCACAGAAAGAAATGTTGAACAAACACAAAGGCTGGTGTTGGTGTACCCGGATAGCTGCAGGCTCTTATCTATTAATGACCGTTGTCATAAGTAACTTTTAGGACACCAGGCAACATAAATTTATTTTTGTTTAAACAAATAGCTGCAAAATGGTAAGTTCCAAAATCCCCTGTGTCTTTAAAATAAGGCCTATCCTAAAACCAGCATTTCTTTGTCTTGCTCTGTTTCTTTGTTCTACTCTCTTATTTTACTGTTTTGACAACGTGGTACTTATTTTTGTTGTTCCCTGTTTTCTACCCTAGGGATAAACTCTTCATTACTTTTTAAAATCTATGTTCCATTAATCACGTGATTTCCATTTCATCACTCATTACTGTCCTTTTCCTCCACTTCTCCTCCCTCTGGTTTTATTCTGCCCATCTGCTCATTACGTAAAATATGGTTAATGTGATGAGAGGCCTTGCCTAGGAAATCAGGTGGCTTATGAGCTTCAGATAATTTCTTAAATGTGTTTACAACTTTTATGAAAACACATCCTCTTTGGGCCTGTTAGGAAGTGGCCTGTACACATGGCACAGATGTTCACAGAGGCCTAAGAGAGTAGCCTAGTGAAGGAGAAATCTCAGAGCAGTTATGTTGTTGAACACTTTAGCAAATAGTCTTCACCACTTACTACACTGACAAAGTTTTTTAAAAAGGAAGTAAAAGAAAAAAAGTTCCTCTGAAGATCTGTATTGTTCCTCTGTGCTTTGACATGTGCCAGTCCTTGGACTGTCCTGGCTTTTTTTCCTTGCTTTTCATCCCACTTGACCCTCAAGTAAAAAAGTAAATACCTGCCTACCATCACGATGCTAAACCCAAACTCAGAGGCCTGTAATTGCTATACTAAAGTGGAATAGAAAGGAAGGGAAAGAGAGAGAGAGATTGAACCACATTCCTTCATGTTCTTCACCTTATTTCTTATTCTAATAACCAGGAGTTGCATTGTATCCAGCTGAATGCATAAAATTGCTAATCTGAACCAAGTTCCAGAGTGCTGATTTGCTTTAAAACAAACAAACAGAAAGCCATAGTGACATTCCTGAAGGCATGCCTCCAAGTTCTTAATGTAATTACTTCTTGGTTCCTGAGATGTAATTAATTAGATAAAAAGAGATCAAGCGTAATCCAAAAGGATATAGAATATTTTCTAAATGGGAGTGACTGTGGGCTTCAGAGCCATGAAAACAAGTCACTAGATCCAGGGACACAAACATCTCCCTCAGCCCCTCACTGTGGTGGGAAAACCTCTTGAAGGCAAGAACCACTGAAAGTTACATACAGAGAGGCTGGTCAGAGGGATAAAAAAAAATCCCCCTTCGAATCTGCAGAAGGTTTTCTTAATTTTTTTTCCCGAGTAGTCTTTCTCTACCTGGGGTTGTCTGCCCTAACTGACATCAAGGCCATTTTATTGAAAATTGTTCAGATTGTCGATGAAGCACTTAGTCTGACATACTTTGTCTATTGTTACTGTTAAATTAAGTTTCACTCTGACAGCTGACCACCAAGTCAGGCCCCATTTTGTCTAGGAGCTTCTTTGATTCAGGAAAAGTACCTTATCTAGTAACCTCATTGTTTTGTAGCTCCTTTTTACGCATACCTTTTAACACACTTCAAGATGAGAGAAAAGAGGATCTTTTAAAATGTCATATATATGGATGTGTGTGTACACATATATATATGTATATGGATGTATGTATAGATATACACATATATACATGCATATATATACATATATATACATATATAAGGATGTGTATACATATATATATATATATATTTTTTTTTTTTTTTTTTTTTTTTTTTTTGAGGCAGAGTCTCGCTCTGTCACCCAGGCTGGAGTGCAGTGGTGCGATCTTGGCTCACTGCAAGCTCCGCCTCCTGGGTTCACGCCATTCTCATGCCTCAGCCTCCCAAGTAGCTGGGACTACAGGTGCCCACCACCACGCCTGGCTAATTTTTTTGTATTTTTAGTAGAGACGGGGTTTCTCCATGTTAGCCAGGATGGTCTCAATCTCCTGACCTCATGATCTGCCCGTCTCGGCCTCCCAAAGTGCTGGGATTGCAGGCATGAGCCACTGCGCCCAGCCGGATGTACGTATATATATTTTTAAGCTTAGGGAGTTGTGAAGTCATGAAAATACAGAGCTACAGATTAATATAGCTCTTGAGCATCATAGCTGCTGTAAATATGTCCCTCCCTCCATCTCTCCTTTCACACCCCAGGCATATATACCTCATACTGTTCTAGGCAGCAAGGAGCAAATAGTGATGCTTGCCAGAGACAAAGGAAAGGAGAGAAGAAATACATGAGTAACAATATGTTTTCTAGTCATAGCCGAAGAATCATGGTATCTCATTGCTGGAAGGGATCTTTAAAGTTATGCATGGTGTTTCCGGCCATTTGTCCTCTTCCAAGGAGAGAACACAAATTCCCACAGCTGGAGTTCTCAGCATCCATAGGGATAGTGGTGCAGCTTGAGTAGGAATCTGGAAAGTCATGCAGAGTGTGGGTATTCTGTCGAAAAATTCATCCCTTCCTGTGATTCTTCTCATCTGCCCTCCTTGCCCCGTCTCTTGCCCCTCCTCAAATAACTGGTTTAAATCAACTTTCTTATTTTACAGATAAGAAAACTGAGGTCCATGGAAAGGTCAAAGGACTTATAAAGATCATTAGACACTGGGAAATATATTTTTCCCTTTGTTTTATTAGGGTATTTCTTGTCTCAGAAAGAAAACTGTGAAAGAAATCAGGCTGGTATTGCTGTTGAGGCAGGGACTATATAAAGCAATAGGTATCTTTGTTTTCAAATGAAATTTAATTCATGTTCTAATCCTATTGTGAATTAGTGATAAAATTTAGCCATCTTCTATTTGAAAGGGCCTTGCTGCTTTAAATTATCCACCTCCTTCTCTGATATCATGATGGCATTTCATCACCTCCTCTTTTTTCTCTCTCCCTTCTTTTCTATTTTCCTTTTTTGCCTTGTTGGACTAGATAACATATTTGTAAAGACACTTAAAAAGGGATTACTCTCAAAAATCTGCTACAGAATCAAAGCAATGCATTTGTATTTTGGACCTAAATAAAATGAAAAGCCTGTAAATAGAATGCAAGGTGAATTTTTATAATTATAGAACCATATTTCAAAAGCACTGGAGAAGATTGTTATTTGAAAGAACGCTGTAATGAGTCTTAGGGTAAAGCAAATAATTAGAATCATATTTGTTTGGAAAGTTTATCATATCCACAATTCAGTGATCTGGAGACCTTAGCTATTCAGAAATCCAATTTCTAAGGGGAGAGTGGATCAAAGAGCAAATCTGAAAGTGGGGCCAGGAAAGCATATCTTCTAATTCCAGAAATAATAACAAGGCAGGAGAAACAAAGCAGAAAGCTCCTTTTTTTCTTCTTTCTTTTTTTGCTCCCTGAACCTTGAAAGACTTCTGGAAAAACTATAGGCTTCCAATTTGTTATAAGTTTAAAGAGTTGCAAAGAATATAATTTCTGGCTTATTATTGACATTTAAAAATTGTTAAATATTTTTTAAGTATATCCGTTTGGAATCTAAATACTATAATGAGTTGAGTCTCACTATTGTCAATTTAACAATATAAAAACAAATTCTTTATTCATTGAAAATTGTGCACCATTCCTTTCTCTATAAGTCATATTTCATTCATTTGTCTCACAGAATTTTATCAATGTAATATGCTTGAAATATTTTATGCATCATCATATAGTCTCAGAACATTAAATTTTTTAAAAAAATTTTGAATTTATAATCCTCTACATTTCAAAAATTACATCTGGATTGAGCTTTTATCACTATTATTAGCACAAGATTGATCAAAACAAAAAATATGTATTTCTTATATTTTTTATATATTAACAATTATTAAATATAAAAGTTAAAATTATTGAAACCTCACCTAATAATGAGATTGTCAGGGCTTTTTTTGATTTTTTAATTCATTCCTATATCAAGTCAAATATTATTTGTTTCAAAACAAAACAGGATTTAGCACAATCCCAATTTTTCAGTTTTCTAGATATAAGCATTGAGAAATCTTTCTCACATACATAAGCAGATGAGATTGGAGGTATTTTTATGTCATTGAATTTTTTAAAACTTCTTGCCAGTTTTATGCCAAAAATCATATAGTAATTTCTCATCAAATTTTTTTTTATGATTCATCCTCTGACAACTCAATTAGTTCTACTTCAATTTTATTGAGAGAAAAACTGTCTTGAAAAAGAATTTGTTGCTCAGTCACTCAAGATATTCAATTTCTCTTTTTCCTGGGAAGTACACCAAAGGCTTACCAAAGCTTCTCAAATGCCCATTAATTATACCTATTCCTCTTTCTCTTAGAGGTGCCATATTGAATCTGATAGACTCAGAGGTGGGAAAACTGAAATATTCCAAATTTCAGTATACCTCTGCAAATATGATTTTTAATTTTTGGACAAGATTCTCTTGCTTAGTACATTCTTTGAGTAGTGTATTTCCTCCAAGCCTTGGAACTGCAGATTTAACTCATTAGCTTTATGAAAAATGTCCACTTTATAGTTTATTTTGAAAAACTTATTTGCTGAATCAATCAGCTAGGTCAGGCCTACTTTCTTTCAACTTGGGTTTTCACATTCAATTAAACTTCCTTGTGGTCCTTCCCATGCCTGTCATTTCACTTCTGAGTTCTCAGTCTGAAATAGATTGGCTGATATGGTGAGGAGGTTTGCAGTGAGTCTGCTCCTGAGAGAAATAAGACACCATCGCCATTGTATTTTTTACAGATTCCCATTTTGCTTTGCTCTCATGGGACTTTTTTCTCAGGAGCAATGTATTCTTTGACAATTGTTTGCAGATGAAAAGGCGAGATCTTTAAACAGAAATTGTCATCCCCATGATACCCTTACTGCAGATACATTTTCAGACATATCAATTTTAGGAAAAAAGTTGAGGATCTTGAAATGTATTCTTTTAAGAATATCTGATTCCATGAACTCCAGTTGGAAGACTTTATACAGTTATAGACTGTATAAAGCAGAAGAATGAAGGTACGTAACAGCCTAAGTTAGGGCCATTTAGTGTGTTGATGATTAGTGTTAATCCCCTTCATATATGTTCTGAGGATTTCAATAACTGATATTCATATTGGTGATCTGGATTCATCAAGAATTTATGAGGGCTGGTTTCTTCCTAAAACAGCATTTTGGATCAATTTTTATGTGAGAGCAAGCTAAAAATGAAAGGTAAATTATTTGATACTGAAAGTGGTAAATCTTTGGAATCTATGTCTTTTGCACCTACGTTTCTACAATGAAATTTGTAACTTGTCATAAATAGGAATCTATTCAGGTTCAACATTGTGGAATTCCACAACCACAGTTATAAAGGATTTGGAAAATTCTCTAAGCTACACAAGAAAACTTTTATAATCTAAAATTAAGAATGAATAAGTAAGTCAGTGCATATAATTTCTCTGGTTTTTCAGTAGCCCATTACTTCAAGATTTCCACCTTGTGGAAAGAAAGGAAACATTCGAAGTTTACCTTAAGTGAAGAGAAATTTCTCATGTTAGAGAATGTGAATTAAAATTATTTTCCAAGAATTTATCTTTTACCTATAATTATAACAACAATATATCATTATGCCATTACTCCTACATATACTGAGAGTTCAATGGAATTATTTAGGTTATATTTTTTCTGACTCTTACTTTCTATAAAACATGGAACAGTCAACTCTTGATATTATCTACTTCTCCTTCCACAATTCTGCTACAATGAGAAATATTTAGGTAAACCTTAGAACCAATTAACTTATTTTGTGTGCAGTTTAGCTGGTGATATAAGAAATATCAGAAGGGACTTTAAATACATTTCTTAAAATATTGGCAGTGTCAATGCTGACAGGACTGAAAGAAAGCTTGTAGTCTAAGGACAAATGTGCAGGCATTTGCACAGTATCTTCCTTGGCCATCAGGTGGAACAGAATATCAAGCCTGATCCCTGTTGGTTGTTTAGTCCAGATTTACCAAGCAGCAGATAAACCCAGATGCTGTGTGGCTGTGCATGTTACTTAACCTTTCTAAACATTAGTTTTGTCATCTGTAAAATGACAATGGTAATAGTACTTATTACATGGGATTGTTGAGTCACATAAATGAATGAATGCATGTAAAGCATTTTGTAAGAGCTTAATATTGTTAGCCATTATGATTATCAGTAGGTCTGCAATAATACCCTAAGTGGAAAATATGGACTAATGGGCTAATATTGGATCAGTTGAGTTAAATGTATTTACAGTTTGATACAAATATAAGATCACCCCAGATCCAATAAATTCAATCAGTTGTTTACCATTTACTTTTTTTTTTTTTGGTAATCAAGTGTAGGAATGCTTTGTCATCAAGTATATTTATAGCATAGACATTTTTGGTAATAATTGAAGATATGCGCAGAGATACCATGCTTCAGGTGATGTGATTATTCTTAGAACATTGAGGCTTGTTGTTATTTACCATCTCTTTCTAGTTTCAAGGTGCCACTTAGGTAGATGAAACTTCTGGCTGTATGAAAGATTGTTAATGTAAATCTTCTGCACTAGTGACTATTAGGGTAGGTCTAAAATATCACCTTGTCATAGAATTCTCTCCAAAATAGAAAAGAAACCTTCAAGCTCTTTTCGTTATTTCCTAAAGGGTATTTGTAACCACAGTAACTATGAAAGGCTACCCAAATATTATATTTCCCATTTTTGTCAAAGATTAGGTTACCTTCATGTTGTAATTTCATTATTTATTTATTAGAAGTTCCATCAGACAGGATATGTATTTTTCTTAATAATACCAAAAAGGAAATGAATTAATCGTTAATCTTGGATAGATGAAATATTTTCAAACATGTACTCCATTCTCAAATCATAATAAAAGGAGTCCTTGGTAGTGAGATTGTTAGGAAGCACTTCTTTGAGTAGGTTGATTTGGGAGCAGTGGGGCAGGAGTAGGCATTATTATTATGTAGTATCTATATAATAACTCTAGTATATGAATTTGATCTGTATTATAGGAATATGATTTTACAGCAACCAGTTAAAAAACAATTTCATTGACTTTCACTAAGGCATCAGTTTAATAACCATTTGGCCAATTGGTCAAATTTGAAGACTCCTATTTCTTAAGATCAAATTTCATATATGGTAGTGGAGGAAAGCACTTTACCGTTTCAGAGAAGAAAACACAAAAACAGGAACTAAGGACGAATTAGGGAACCCAAAAGAAAGAGAACCAGAACATATATCACGTGGCCTTCTGACGCTAAGTGAAGCTCATGCCTGCACCCCTGCTGCTCTTCCTGTTCCTTGTCAGTGTCAGCCGTTGTTTTGAAAGAGACACAATGGGACCCAGTCTATTGCTTCTTAAGCTGGGGCAGAGTTTATGTTTTGTCTGAATGGCTGCCTCCTTATTCTTCAGAGGGCCCAATA
Organism: Homo sapiens; assembly: GCF_000001405.40. Taxonomy (NCBI): domain Eukaryota; kingdom Metazoa; phylum Chordata; class Mammalia; order Primates; family Hominidae; genus Homo; species Homo sapiens. Next base: position 61,009,097 of record NC_000003.12, on the reverse strand, counting down.
AAATATGTTAAATACTACTGGTGAGTAAAATTGCTGAGGGAAGAAACACAATTATTGGGCAATGTTTCTTGGGAGTTTCAGGATAATAAAGCAGAGTTTGGAAATAAGACTGTGTGAACTATCGAGTAGCTGTATCAGTTTGTGGAATTAATTTACTGAGGCGGTTAGCTGCCAGTTTTCCGCACACACACACACACAAAAAGCCCAAATTAGTTCCATTATTTTTTAACATGTGCTAAGTGCCCATAGCATGTTGGTGCCTTCACATGATATCAGAATGCACTATGGAGGGAACTGAACTTGTTATTGGATTTAATTAATCTCTCAAGTTAATTGCCAATGTGGGCCACATTTCTTATGTGAGTAAAATTGGAGTGTGAGAAAAGATAATGTCCCTCCCTCATTAAGCTGTCCACGTTAGATTTACAGGGTGACAGTCAGGCCCACTCAGGCTTAGTTTTGATAGCTTTCATTACTGACATCACAGAGTAAGTGGTGATCTGTCCTTTCATTATTAGACTCAACCCAATAACTGTTGCACAAACACAACCACCTCTATCAGGGAGGCTTCAAAGAGCTGTTTGTAGTTTAATGCTTCGCTTGTCATTTTTTTTTTTCTTCCTAGCCCCAGACTCCTTTTGTTCTCCCAATGCAGGGAGAATTGTAGTGCAGAGCCCTGCCTGACACCTGCCAAGAAGGGCAGCCCTTGCCAACTGCAGCCTTCCCTGGAGCAGGAATCAGTTAGTGACTTCTGCAAATGATGTGACTTTGTAGATCTTAGGAACTTCTTTTCACACAATTACATAACAGGCATGTGATTCCCCTCCATCCCCAACTTGTGCTTATAAAACACTGTGGACAGTACCTTTTAAAATGGCTGAGATATTGATTACCTGCAAAAACTGGAAAACCATTTGTATGCCTGTCTGTTCTGTAATGTTTGCTTCTACAGGGTCTTTGGTTGAATTCCCTAGAACTGGAGATGGGTGTGCAGGTGATTAGTAAGAGAGGGCTCTTGGGAGAAACCAGGAAGGGAGTGAGGGAATTAGTATAAGGAAGTGGAAGAAGCTACCAAGGTTGTGGTTTCAGGTGAAATTAACCTGATCACATGGGGAGTCTTGGGAGCATGAAACATACTACAGGGTCAGTTCTGCCTTGAGACAGGAGTGTAGACTTTTGTACCTTCCCTTCCCACCATTCAGTCTTTAGCTATGGACCCTGGGTGGGGGCCGAATTTAGTGATATATCTCCCCAGAACCTCTGGGTGTTGCTCTGGTCACTCAAGGGCAATTCTTTGGAGAAGATGGGCAGCAACACCTGTAGGGAGGAATGGGACACCAAACTGGTAAAAGGGATCCTACAGAGATCTGAGTGGAACATCAACAGCTTCTGAAGTGTAGGGAACACATTCTGTAGTCGCATAGGGCATTTGCATGCATAAGGGAACCCACGTTTCCTTCAAGTTACACAATTTTGTGTCAGAGTGAGAAAGCATTGTAACTATTGACTCCTGATTTTGTGTTGTGACTCCATCTTTGGTAGGAGATTAAGAACTGGTAGACAGATGAAAATCATATATTATATTTTTTAGGTTTATGGAAGATGAAGTTAGTAGTTCTCAAATAGGTATTCACCTGAGAAAAAGAATATGAAACTTCTTACCTCCACTGAACCTAATGAATTTATTGCTCCTCCATCGATTTCTAGTAAACTGTTGTTAATGCCTGTAAAGGTAATTAAACATGGCAGATGAAAAAACGATTACACTCTCAGGCCAAAGAGGGAGTAAGTTATGCAGAGTGTCTGGGGGCTACAAAATACAGCCTCTTGTTCCATCGAATGACAGGGTCTAACTTTGTGATGTAAACACATTATTGCAAATGTCAGTGCACAGAGAATTGTTTAGACAGACTGCAAAGATGATTACTAAAGAAGAAGCAAAGCAATAAAATACAAAACAACAACATTTCATTGGCCCAGTTATAATTCCAACTTTTTATCTGTTTGGATGAACAATTTCATATAGAGACTTTTCTATGATAAGCTTTTAAAAAATAAGACAGCAAGATGAAAGAGGCAACAATTAATATTAAAATGTTATGCACATTAATGTAAATGATAAAACATTTTATATCTCAAACTGCAAAGAATATATTCTGTGGTTAATTTTTCTTTCACTATTTCCCCTCCTTCTTTCCAATCGAAAGTATCAACAGCTTAATATTATAGATCAAATTATTAAACTTTCTACTATGTAAGTTTTTGAACTTAGCCATGTATATATTTGTATCTAGATAATTTCCGAAGAATGGAGTAAAGATGCTTTATTCATTCTGTATATTTTATTTCAAAAATACTTTTTCAGCAGTAATTCAGCAAACTTAAGGGTTTGTAAAGGTTTTTCTATAAAGAGAAAATGTGTTATGTATATTTTATTTAAAAGTGTGATGCAGTTCTCCAAATGCAGTTAATTGTAAAAAAAAAAAAAAAAGAATATGTTTTCCAAATCAGTGGGGGACTTTTTTGGTGCCTTCTTTTGATTTTTCATACTTTTTTTTCAGAAAGGAAATTTTATACATAAAAGTTGGTAATGTCTCATTACATAAATCTCAAGTGCCAAGTGTCATCCCTAAAATATTTCTCACCTTGGATTCGTGAAATATTTTTAATTTCATGGATAATTTTGCTTTTTAGCATTTGTTATGGTCATTGATGTTGCTGTTTTTATGACAGAATAATTTTTAATAACGTTTTTGTTCAGCTGCGTTCAAATGATAAAAGGAAGAAATTTCCTTAAAAAATACTGCTTGAGGTTACCTTCTGAGTCTTCTTTTGGCATCTTAATGTCAAATCCCATATTTGAGAGCACTAATCCATATTAAAAGAAGGTTCAAAATTGAAATTATACCATTAACCTTGGCCTTTTTCAAGTGAAACTGTTTTACAAGTTCTCTTTGCCATCAGCATGTTTACCAAGCTCTTTATTTTCAAATGTGACTTCAGGCAATTTTTTTTTTTTAAAAACCTTGTTTTAAGCATGGTGGTAACTGCTCTTCCTGCTCCCTACTTACCACCCAAGAGCTGTTTTCCACTGCTGCCTTCCCTTGCCTGCTCTTCCTTCTTTCACCCTCAGATTCTAAACTGTGTAGATGAGTGGAGTGGGTGAGGACACAGCTAGTAAGGAGAGGGGCCATTTCCACTTCTGGGTCCTTTCCTCAAAAGAAGACTTGCTGAGAGCCCAGCCATGTTGGAACTAACCTCCCCGACAGTAAGTGGCTATCTTGACCTAGTGTTCGCTGTGCTCCAGGCTGTTCCAAGTGTTCTAAATGCATTCCTTTCATTCTTCACATCAGCTCTAGGCACCACATATATAATTATTGCGTTTCACACACAGGGAAACCGAAATTCATAGTGGCCCAGCCATGCACCACACAGCCTGCTCTGAAAAAGCTTCTTCTTGGATTGAGGGACCAGGATTAACAAATATTTATCAGTTCCACTACTTCAACTATATACTGAAACCTTATTTAAGGAATTCTTCGTGTCTGTTGCAGAAGTTCTTTGCTCCTAGGTTAAAGTAGGGTGGTTCTTATCATCACTATTACCACCATCATTTGTCACCGCTGCCATAATTATCATTGTCACCATCACCATCACCATCACCAGTACCATCACCATCACCATCACAATCATTATCATCCTGCTCCTCCTCATCATCATATATAGCAGTTACTGACTATCTCTTCTGTGGCAAGCCCTAAGTTAGATGCTTAGCTTTTAGCAAGTTTTTCTCTAATTCCCCTCAACGTGATAAAAATAAAATTATCTAATATGGACAGGTAGCCCATCTACATAAAATAATGGAGAAGTCATTAGCTTAGGAATTTGACAGATCTGAGATCCTAATTATAAGCAATAATTATAGGCAACATATCTGAGCTTCATTTACTCACCTTTCCTAAGAGCTTAATAATTCCTATCACATTCTTTCTAGGGAGAATGAAATAAGATGGGATATATAGCAAATGCTTAGCACTCTGCTGCAATCATACTAGCCACCCAGGAAACATTGGTTCTTCTCCCTCTCTGCTGTACCTCTCATGTGGGGAGAAAATGGTGGGAGGCATAGATAATTGCTATATTGAATTGTATAATGAAAAATATCCCATATTATATATTTAACAACTTACATTTCTCATTTACTTACTATGTTTGAGGTATGTTTGAGTGCATAATGTGCTTTACATCATTTAATTTTCACAGCAGTTCTCTGCGGTTGGCGGCTGATTGATTTTCTTAATACCAGGAATCAGGGATGCTATCCTTTTCCACCTGCTGACCTGTATGCTTCATCAGTGGGTTTTTTTGCCTTCTGGCCAATGGGGGGACCCAAGCAGGAGACTGGAAAATGGAAGGAGAGTGAGGTCAAGGTATTAGTTGCCTTGGATCACTCCCTGTGGGGTCCCTTTGAGCTGGCTATGTTCCTCTATCAAAGCAGATAGCTCTTCTCGAGGTTGACCTCTCCACCAGACTTTCTCTTTCCAAGTTCTGGTCAGTGCTCCTTCCCCTTCTCCCTTTATGTCGTGTGATGATAACAGTTCCAGAGTGTTGAATGTCCCTTATGGTTTTCCTACATACTACCCAAAGTTTTATAAATAGTCCCTTTATTAAACCTTCCTCAAATTATTCTAATTTCAGTGGGCCATCTGTGTCCTGCTCAATTCCTACCAATACAGAAGAGGAGAAACCGGGCAACTTTTTTGAAACTGCATATGTACACTGGGCAAACACTTTATTTGGGGTGGCTTGGGTGGATACTGGTAGAGTTGATTGGGGAGCTAAAGACACTCAGGCCATTTTTGCCATTAACATTAGCAGGATCTATTTTTATCAGTCTCAACAGATATTCAGAACTTTTGTTTCACCATGGACATAATCTGTGCTCACCTTCTTTCACTTGCACAATATTCATGTGGCTCCGATACTAGATTTTGCACTCCTTTAGGGTAGGGATTCTTCTATTCGTCTCGGTGCCCTCAACACAAGTACACCACTGTGCTTAGTAGACACTCAGTACAGTCATTATTTAATAATCTGTCTGCCCACCCCCAAGCATAAGGATGATCTGAAGTAAGTACACAAGTACACTCACAGAGCATGTTTTGCTTCTTGAGGTTAGCTTCCATAAAAAACCAAACTGATGTATTGCTGATGTGTTATATCTGTAAATATTACAGAAATGGACATGCCAGATTTCTCTTCTTTAGCATCTGCTATAAGAGAAAAACTAGGCAGATGCCTGGAAGGCATGGGCAATTGCAACTTTTCAGTAAGATATACTGATCTGGTTTTAATTTGAAATAATAAAGAACATTTTTTCTTCTCTTTGGACTTTTTTACCTATTAAAATTGGTTCCAAAATGTTCTCAAGTACTGGATATTGATATTTCTTACATTGAAAGCTTGATTGCAGATACCCTGGTAATCGTGTTTTACCTTTTAATTAATGATAAGCACTGGAGAACTCAGTACTAGAGCAGTCATAGCTTCAGCTTTTAAGGGGCATAAACACAATGTGGTAGCTAAATGGACATTATAAGTGAATATTAGAATCATCAGAATTCTTTAAATGAAAGCTTTCATCACTAATGTTTCAGTACATTTAAATAAAAGTAGGATAAAAGCTTGGTAGTGCTTGGTCAATTCAGTGGCTGTGTTTTAAAGTCTAATTTGTAAAAGAATAAGAATTCAGTTATCTTTTAAATTAGGATAAATTTCTTAATATTACAAAGGAATAACAGTGTGGCGTGCCCCTTTAGATAGATGGCTTTTCTTTTGCAGATTGCAAATGGCTATCAGTGTGCTGAATTTACAGGCAAATGGTATGGGTCTCAATGGAGAGACACTTTCTGTAGACTGACATAGATTCCTCTTGGGAGAATTTATAGACAATAAATTATTTATATAAAAACCTAAGATTCTTCTCCTGTGCTTTAGTTTTAATTTTATATCACTGCAAAATGCCACAAGTAATCAGAATAGTCTGTGTTTGATAGGCACGAACTACAACAAAAACCCTTTCAGCAGCATTCTTAATTGCACCAGACCTTGAGAAAGGGATTACAACAGAGGTGGGCCAGGGTCAAGAAAGTGTTGAAGTGCAACCCAGGAACTGCCATAGAGTTTGCTAAGCCATTGAAGGGATTCCAGGCAAGCAACTATCAGAAGGGGTATGGAGCAGGAAATTGGGCCGGGAGTAGGAGAGGTTAATGGAGGTGTGGGCATCTGAGATGGGTTTGCAATCCACTTTCCAGTGATAGATGCAGATGCTGGCACATTGCAAAGGAAGAAATACCTAGAATTTTATTACGATTTCTTACCCTGAGCAATCAACGGGCCTAATTAAAAAAAAAAGAAACAAACTTTAATTTTTGTCATAGAAGTAGTGAGTGGAATGGTGGTCACTAGAGGCTGGGGGATAGGGAGAGGGAATGGGGAGATGTTGATCAAAGGGTATAAAGTGGCCAGGTGCAGTGGCTAATGCCTGTGGCTCATGCCTGTGGCTCACAGCACTTTGGGAGGCCGAGGTGGGAGGATCACTTGAGCCCAGGAGTTTGAAACCAGCTAGGGCAACATAGTGAGAACCTGTCTCTACAAAAAGTAAAAGACTGGCCTGGCATGTTGGCACATGCGTGTAGTCCCAGCTACTCGGGAGGCTGAGGTGGGAGAACTGCTTGAACCCAGGAGATTGGGCTGCAGTAAACTGTGCTTGGGCCACTGCACTCCAGCTTGTGTGACAGAGCAAGACCTTGTCTCAAAAATAAAAGCAAAAACCAGGGTACAAATTTGCAGTTAGTCAGGAGGAATAAGTTTTTGAGATCTATTGCACAGCATTGTGACTATAGTAAATAAAAATGTATCACATATTTTAAAATTGCTGAGTATAAATTTCAAATGTCTCACCACAAATAAATTATGAGATGATAGATATGTTAATTACCTTGATTTAATCATTCTACATTGTATGCATATATCAAAACATCACATTGCACCCCCTAAATATATACAAGTATTATTTGTCAATTAAAGTAAATTTTAAAATTTGAAATAACAGTAGATACACAGAAACAAACAAAGAAATGTAGAGGGAGGGCCTGTGTACCCTTTTTCCAGTTTTCCCCAATGTTAATATCTTGCCTAACTAGAGGACAATATAAAAACCAAGAAATTGGCATTAGTACAATGCATATCCATAGAGCTTATTTAGATTGACCAGTTATGCAGGTACTCATTTGTGTGTGTATATGTGTGCATGTGTAGCTCTACGCAATTTTATCATAAGTGTAGCTTCATGAAACCACAACCACTATCAAGATACTTCACTGTCCCATCATCAGAGACTCCCTCATGCTACCCCTGTAGAGTCAACACCTATTCCCTACCCCATTCTGAACAACTAGCCACCACTACTCTATTCTTGATCTCTATGATTATCATATTTCATGAATGCTATATTAAAGTAATCATATAGTATGTATCTTCTTGAGATTGGCTTTAATTTTTACTTAGCATAATTTCCTTGATATTCATCCAGGTGTGTATCAATAGTTCATTCCTTTGTATTGCTAAGAAATATTCCGTGTTATGTTATATCACAGTTTGTTTGACCATTATCCATTGAAGGATATTTGGATAATTTTCATTTCTTGGGTATTACAAATAAAGCTGCTACGAACATTCATGTTTAAATTTCTGTGTGAATATGAGTTTTCGTTTCTCTGTGACAAGTGCCCGAGAGTGCCACTTCTGGGTAATATAGCAAATTTATTTTTTGTTTTAAAATGAACAGCTGAACTATTTTCTAGAATAGCTGTACCATTTTACATTCCCATCAGCAATGTCTGAGTGATCTAGTGTCTCTGCATCCTCACCAGCATTTGATGTTATCACTGCTTTTTTATTTTAGCCATTCTGATAGATATGTAACAATATTTTTGTGGTTTTAAATTGCATTTCTCTTATGGCTAATGATGTCGAATATTTTTTTGTGTGCTTACTACCTGTATATGCTCTTTGGTGAGCTGTCTCTTCATATTTTCTGCCCATTTTCTAACTGTTTATTGTTTTTTTTTTCTGTTGAGCTTTGAGAATTATTTATATACTGTAGATAGTAATTCTTTGTCAGATATATGGTTGGGATGGCCTAGGGCCTCACTGCCCATCGCTGCCCTAGTGGTAGAGTAGGGGCTGGGGCTGGGGCTTCCCCACTAGGTCTCTACTGGACTTCTTTACTGGTCATTTGACCAGAGGGAGCAGGCTCTCCCTGTTGCTGTTTTGGGGTTGCAGCCGTCTCTGGAACCCGGCATAGGGTATATTGGAAATAAAAAGGAAACCCCACGGAACTCACCAGGTTGTTGTCCCTCAAGTGCTAAGGCCCCTAGTCAGTTTCTATCTCCTTTTTTTTCCAGGTTTTAGAGTTCTTTATCACTTCCCGTTGAATAACTTCCAGGGTATTTAGAGGGAAGGAGTAGAGAAAAATGAGTTCACTCTACCTTTTTTCAGAACAAGCCAGCAGATCTGATACCTAAGAAGCCATTTGGTATCAAAGAGCAGCAGGACTGATTTTCCTGGAGATGTTATCTGATGGACAGTAAGAGCATTATATGCTTTGACCTTTTAATGTCTTACCATTGTGTCTCAAATAGCCCTTGTATTATGATGGTTGTCTAAGATTAAAAGCTTAAAGGTGACTGTCCTTACAGCCAGAGCTTAAAAATATTTTATCTAGCCTGGAACAGAAGTGTCGCATGGACTCTGTAATGCACTGCTCAGGTCCTCCTTTAGGAGCTAAGGGCTTATCACCCTACTTGCTGTGGTGCTGCCCATAGACAACCCTCTCCCAAAGGCATACCTCCTTCATGAGGTGGCCTGCTTCCAGTGACTGATCACTGGAGGGTAAAAAGGCCCCTCCCTTCTCACCCTCACTCAGGACATTCCATGCTATGGTCTCAATGTTTGTGTACCCCCAACATTTCTATGTTGAAATCCTAACCCTCAAAGTGGGGCCTTTGGGAGGTGATTAAGTTGTGATGGTTCCACCCTCATGGATGGGATTAGTGCCTATACAAAAGAGGCCCCAGGGAGCTTGCTAGTCCCTCCACTGTGTGAGGACAGACAGAAGCCATCATCTGTGAACCAGAAGTGGGCCCTCACCAGACATCAAATCTGATGGTACCTTGATGGGCTTCCCAGTCTCCAGAACTATCATAAATAAATTTCTGTTGTTTATGATATTTTTTACAACTGCCAGAATGCGCTAAGGCACCCCATCTTCATTATTCCCCACAAGCTACCATTGGGACTTCTCCTTCAGCTCACCTGCTTCCTCCTCTATTTCCCTTTCCTTCTGCAGGTGTTGATCCCTAAAGAATTCCTTTTAAACCTTTCTTCAAGCTAAATGCATGAGGAATCTGTTTCCCAGGACCTTAACCTACCTCAAAAGTGCTTTGCAGATATTCTATCTTTTTCTACATGGAATTGTTCATTGTAAGGAGATCATATACTTCCTATTCCAGAATAATAATGTCTTTTTAAAAAATGTTATGATGACCATACTAGATAGTAATCCTATTTGCTTTCAAAATCTTCACTTTGGAGAATAAAAAGCTGGGATGTTATGCATTTCTCTCCAGTGTTTGAAATCTATAAGCTAAGAACTGTAGCTTGGAATCCTGTTAGATTTCTTGCAACTGTTTGTTTTTATGAAGAGCCATCACCAAACACAGCTGGTTTTGTAGATTATTGTTTCAGAAAGTTTACTCAAATCTGCAGTGATATCTTCTGCAGTTGCTGTTAATATTTAGACCCTGCATGCTAAGTGTATTGTATTCTATTGTATTGTATCCCTAGCATTGTATTCTCCATGTGGCTCTCTAGTCTGAGTTTATTTGTTTAATCAGGAGGTTCAGAACAAAAACATGGCTGTGGCAGTGTCCTTACTCATCTATAAGCTTTTTGCTTGGCTGCCAGCTGATTGCAATGTATAAACAGTAGTTTGCATGTTACTCAGTCATATACATGTCCTGCCAAGAGCTGGTTACTCTTTCACGTATCTCCTTATTTATTTCCCACGGTGTCTCTAAATTACTATGTGGAGATCTCCTGTGCACTTAAAGTCACTCATCTGCCCTCTGCTTGTTCATTTAGACTTCGCTACCTGAATTATGGTGAACCATGAAAAAACTTAAATAAGTCTACCTTCTCTTTTTAAAAAAAGTTACTATGAAGGTGTTATATATTTGACTGTATGCAGTAAATGTGTACCTAAAGACACCAATAAATTGAATGTCTGTAAGCCTAATAAAATGTAAATGCATTAAAAGAGCTTACTATTCCTATGGAGAGTTTGTTCCTAAAGGTAAATGATAAACCTTTAATTCATGTTTAAATCAAGCTTTTAACTCTATTAGGTTCTTTGTGGAAAAAATGTATGTGACAATGAGCCAGATGAATTCTCATATTTCTTTCTGAATGGCACTATGGTTCAAATTAGCTCAATTAGGGGTAGGGAGGGGATTAATAAAAGTAGACTTTAATAAAATTAAGGACATTTGTTTCTCATAGAAGTTACTTGCTGATGACAATCTCTAAGAAAATAATGTAATGTTGACAAACATTTAATGAGAAAGTGCGTCCTCAAAAGCTTTAACCCTACTAGTTTATTAGAAGTCCAAATGAGTACCTATTACAAATATTTACTTAAAATATTTCCTTTATATTACAACATGTAATACCCTTTAAAAAATGTTGCTCTTGAATAACAAGCAAACAAACGAAAGCTCAAAGAAGCTGCTACTCTCTATCCAGAGTATATCCTTGGAAAGTGATGGCTCATCTTACTGGTTATTGTTTCATCATGTGATGTCAGTTGTTAATAGTGTCTTCATAGGTGTTAAAATTATGGGAACTATCTTGAAAGTTGACTTTTTAAAAATGTCAGCATTTGGTGTTGGGGCAAATCCCTTGGTCCTTTTCAGCCTGAGTTTCTTCATCATCAAAATGGCTAAAGTGATATTTATCTCAGAGGTCACATGAGATTTAATTCAGTTGAGAGTGCTTTGTGATCTTTATAGGTATAATCAGATATAGGCTGTTATTTCTGATTTTCTAGATATTTCTTCTGAAAACAAAATTACAATAATATTATTCCTTGGCCTAATGCTTTCCAGGTTTGGAAACCCCTCCATAGATTTCTTTTTGGAGATTTGCAATTGCAGTGCCAGAGAAGGCGTGTTTTGTTTTGTTTTGTCTTTAATCTTTTTTAAGAGAAAACTGAGGCTCCAAGGCATTATGCAATTCACGAATTCATGCTAGGTCATATATTTAATAAGCAGCAGACCAAGGGCTAGTATCAGGCTTTCTGACTGCTAGTTACTTCTTGCAGGTCAGTAATGTAAATACTGTAATACGAGGACAAAGCAGGTAATGGATATGAGTGAGTATAAAACTATAGGGAGTGGTGGGAACACTGGCAAACTAGAGCCAGTTTTGATCCAGAGATGACTAGGAAAAGTGCACCATCCACACCCCCCTCAACACTCCCACCCCACAGCTTCAGCCAGATGTTGCCAAGTAGTCTTTCTGGTCCAGTATGCTAAGATCTTCTGATTTTTTTTTTAAGAGAAGTCAGAAATTTAGATCTTTATGTAAAATATTGACACCTACTAAAAAGAAGAAAAGAAAGAGACAGACAGACAAACACAAACCAGGTAGTACCAGCACTTTACCTTTCTCTGTTGCAGCCTGTGGCTGTGAGGTGCACCTTCTCCCTGGTTTTGGATCCATTAGATGCTGTATGAAGGAGAGGGTAAGGCACCCAAGGGCAGGGATTCTGCCACATGTATTGTTTCATCCCCAAAGTCTAGCCAGGTGCCTAAAATTAGGAAATGCACTAGGAAATGCCTTTCAATAAAGAATAAAGAACAGCAACAACAGACCAAAGAGTTCCCAGAGAAACCTTGGAAACCTGAGTCAGCACACAGGCCTGCAATGTGGAGTTAGTTTTACTCAATAATGCTGAGAAGCCCATTAGAAATATTCAGGGAGTTAATAATTTCTCTTATTGTTTTTCAAATGGAAATTTAGGAGTGGCAAAATGAGGGTGAAATTTTAATTCATTTCTTGAATTACTAAACACTATTGATCACACTAAATACGGCATATGCCAAACATATTTTTATTAAGTTTTCTTCAATGATTTCTGTCTGAATGCTCATAACTTTCAGGCATAGTGGTGTGTGAAAATGATAACTTTATTCAAAGCATTCTCACTTCAAATGCACCCATACTTAAGCAGGAATTCATTTATCTTAAAATGTTTCAGAGGATCTCTTTATTATAAAGGAAAAAAATCGCCATATGACCCTTTGGTTAATGTTGATTATATGTATGTGAGTATGTGGTCGTGGATTCAAACACGTAATTCTAAAATGTTTAGAAATGCTGCATCTACTGTATTATGGACATTACGATTTTTCATGACCAAAGCTTGTTACATTATTTTCCTTTAAACAATCAAATAGAAGCAATAGTATTTAGGTTGAGTCCTCACAGCAACAACAAAATGCCACAATTAAGAACAAAATCATAAGGGTGGATGATAGGAACCTGTATCCTATCTGTGGTTGGTTTGACAAGATAGAGTTATAGATTAATGTAATATTTTATTCCACCTTTAGAACATTTCATCATCCCATTTTAATTAAGATTAAGAGTTAGAGGAGCACATATCTAGAACCGTGTCTTGCACCGCATTTTGCATCCGGGCTTTGGATAACCTGTTGAAAGCAAAACAAAACAATCTACCTCCCACCATCTCGTCACACTCTGACTTCAAGTTCAGCTTCACAGTTAAATAACTTGCCAACTTCGAATTAGCAATAAACAGCAACTCAAGACCTGTAGGGCTTATAAGCAAGTGAGAAGTGGTGCTTGGAATGATTACATTCCTAAGCCCACAATTATCACAGTTCAGAACTAATTTTTATGCCTTAAATAAAACCAAAAGAATCTACACAAAGCACTTCATTTTCTGGGAAGGTTAAATTAAAATTAAAGTGTTCACTGGAAAGTCATCCTCTTTAAAATGCATTTGCTAAGAACCACTTGAGGAAAGAGTAGCTACTGTAATTTTAATTTTTCAGGTGTAAATCCTTTTACTCCTTACAATAGATACAGAGAGGCCACTAGTATTTATTTTTTTAGTGTGATATTTTAAAAATCCTTTTTCCAGACAGTTCTTCCAGGCTTACAGATTGTATACATTTACACAATATGATAATTTATTAACCAAAATGGGTAGTAGCTGAGAGTGCCTGAAATGGAAACAGACAATATTCCAGAGAGACCTAAAGCGGGCAATGGATAATAGCCGGAGTAGCACCTTGGTTTATGTCACGTGTCTCCTGTAAAAAGTCCTTGTGCTTTTGCAGCTCTCTTTGAAACATTCTGCATAACATCCAGGTCACGGTCTGGGGAGAGGGAAAGACCGCTGGGACACCTGTAGTCGCAGCAACTGTGTTCCTACAGCATGAAGAGCTGGGAGGAGGAAGAGGTAAATCTCCCTCTTCATCTTTGGCAGCTCAACTGTTTGGGGGCTTGTGGGAATTTCATCTGAGATCCCCGTTAACTTTCATATGGTAGAAATCTAACAAGTTACCTTGTTGACCTTTGAGGCAGCAGCAGAGTTATTAAACTATTATTATTATTATTATTATTTTGAGACAGAGTCTCGCTCTGTCCCCCAGGCTGGAGTGCAGTGGCACGATCTCGGCTCACTGCAAGCTCCGCCTCCCGGGTTCACGCCATTCTCATGCCTCAGCCTCCCGAGTAGCTGGGACTCAGGCGCCTGCCACCACGCCCGGCTAATTTTTTCTATTTCTTAGTAGAGACAGGGTTTCACCGTGTTAGCCAGGATGGTCTCGATCTCCTGACCTCGTGATCCGCCCGCCTCGGCCTCCCAAAGTGCTGGGATTACAGGCGTGAGCCACCGCGCCTGGCTGGTATTAAACTATTTTCCCGTGGGTTCTCTCTGGAATAATGAGTGCTTTTTAAATTAAACTAAATTTTTTAAAATTTCTAAACATTTAAAAAGCTGGATTTCTAGATTCTCTTAGAAAATTGGAAAACCTGGCAACACTGTACCATTATTATTCCTTCATGGGAACGACTGGCTGGAGCTCAGCTGCAGCTGTGATGTTTCCATGAAGTGTGAGCTGCTTATGTGACACCAGCTCCCTTCCTGGTTTTAGTGTTTTCTCACCTGTGCGGCTTGCTTGCTAGGACACTTGCATCTATCCATCTTTTTATTGGTCTCCAGGCTCAGATTCCCATTGCCCAATGGACATTTTGGTCTCAATGTCCCTTCCGCTCCAGGTTCAACATCTCCGGTGCCAAGATCTTTATTCCCAACCGTGCCCAATGTTGCTTTAAGTACTTGATCGGCATGATCTTATTTAATTCTCTAAAAGGTGAGTATGCTTATCTTCCATTTTACAAATGGAGAAACTGAGGTTAGAGGCAGAATTCTAATCTGAAATGGTTTGATTTCAAAGTCCATTTTCAGTCTCATTTCTGTCTCAGGAGGGTGAAGGACTGTGCATGTTTTTCTTCCTTCTTTCCATTCTTTTTGTAATGTGCTTAGGAAAATTGAAGTATAACTAAATATGTAATACACTTGGTGACTTGATTGCTTCCTCTTCCCCCACGTTCTCCATCCTTTAAGACATGCGTAACTGTTAGGCTTGTAATTACCCATTTCCACAAGGAGAGAATCTTAGCTTTCATAGCAATTCAGAATATCTAGATCATTGTCATCCAAATGAAATACATGTGAGCCACATACATAACTTAAAAAAATGTTTAATAACCACATTAAAAAAGTTCAATGGAAGAAGTAACATAAATTTAAATAGTATATTTTATTTAACCCAATATCTTTAAAATATTATCATTTCGGCATGTACAGCATGTAATTAATATTTGAACATTATTAAAGAATCATATTTTATATTCTTCTTTTGGTAGTAAATCTCTGAAATCCTGTGTGTATTTTATACTCACAGCACATCTCATTTCAGACTACTCACATTTCAGGTGCTCAATAGGCACGTGGCTCATGGCTACTGTCACTGGCAGCCCAGGTGTATATCATTAGCCGTACATACAAAGGGAGAGTAAGATAGAGGGATCAGGTTCCTGTTATAGCCAAGGCATAACTCAGAATTTCTAGGCCCTCGTTCAGACCTCCTCCTACAAACCAATGTTATGAGCCTTGAGATGTGCAAAAAAGAGTTTTGGAATGAATTATTTATTCCTTTTTTTTATGGATGCAGCTGCCTGATGTTTGGTAAGCCAAAGAATTGGTATAATTTTAGTATATCTTTCCTGCTTTTAGTGCAGTTCTAGAGTTTTAATGGAGAGAGTTAGGATATGATTTCATAGGAATATGTTTTATCTCCCTGGGTGGTGTGTATTGCCTTGCAAGCCTGAGGTGAGATCATAAGTCTAAATCAGTTCCCTTCTAGAAGTTACTTTTTGCCTACCATCAGGGACAGTCAGTAAACACACAGAAAGAAGGAGGGTATAACATTGTTGGGTATAGCAGAACTTCACTGAAGAAGCAACTGAAGAACAATGCAGTAAAGTGTGCAATAAAGGTGCTCAAGCCGTTTCAGGCAGTGCCAAGACGGACAGTCTGAATCCGGAATGAAAGCTTGTTCGATGCGCTAGTAACTGTGATTTGTAATACCCAGAGACGAAGACTAAAGGCAATCAATTATGTATGGCCTGTTATTACTTTGTGAAAACTGGTCCTGAATTGTTTTATTATTTGATAGTGTTTTTCCAGGAAAATAAGGTTTCCTTTGCTAACATTTTTCACTGAGATAGATGCAGAAAAACTCTGAACCATTCTAGTGAGCATGTATTTCTAGCTAGTTCACCAATTTGAATTTCAGGTTGTGATGATATGGCCATAAAAATCTGCCCTGGGCACATTTTCGGCTGATCTTAGCTTAAAAGCATTTTTTAATGCCACGCGATGGGACTTAATGACTTTGCATTGTGGGTTGGGTCACTCTATCAGGAAAATGAATCCATTCGGATCCTGTTCTTATGCTGGAAGCCCTCTGAATTTCCTTTATTGAAATGCCAGAAAGTACTTTCTAAATACATGTTCCATACTTCAGTTGTTCCACGGCCTCCTGTTATTATTTTTATTCTTTATAGAGCACACAGGTACTTGAGCTATATTTCTAAAACAAAAAAGAAGTGATCCTGCCCCCTCGAACTTTCATTTAATGCAGACAAATTCAGCACAATTGAAAGGTAAGGCATTAAGCAGGCACTGGCAATCACCAGAGAGGGTTTTGGGAAGTTGGTCATGGTCCCAGTTTAACACACTTCCCCATTGTCCTGCTGCTAAGCCGAGCTTTTTCATCACCTGCCCTGCGGTTCTTTGCCATTGCTGTGGCTGACATTATGTGCAGAGCTGTTTAACTTAGAAACGGGAAGTAGCTTTGGAAATTAACTGGCTCCTAAGTAGTCCTGAGGTCATCGTTTTCCTGAAGAGAGCAGTCACCATTTGTTTATTTATGTAGCTGACTTTCTGATCCCCTGAAATACATATTTTTTTAAATTAAGGTATAACACATACATCAGTAAAAGTTTATAAAGTATGCTAATTTAAGTATATGGTTTGATGATATTTTTACATATGTATATCCATCATGTAACTGCCATCTAGATCAAGTTATAGAGCACTTTTCAGCACCCTGGCAGGCTCCCTTGTGCTCTTTCCAAATGTTTTCCAAATACGGTCCCTTATAATGTTACCACTGCTTTGATATCTACCAACAGCAGTTAGTTTCACCTGTTCTTGAACTTCATCTAAATGGAATTACACAGCATGTAGTCTCTCCTGTCTAGCTTTCCTCAATCAACATATTTGTGAGTTGCATCCATGATATCAAGATTCATGTTCCTGTTGGTGAGCATCTGAATTATTTCCAGTTTTTCCAGAATTCTGTTTTGGTCTAGATTCTACCTAATGTCTTCAGGACATTAAAGAGGTGACATTTGTCCAAGGGCCTGGAGCACAGAGATGCTCTATGCTGATGGAAACCTCCATCCTGTCTCCCATAAGTCTGTATTCTCACCTGAATGATCAGAGTAGTTGCTGAGTGCTTTACCTTATGCTTCTCTTTCTTCTTCCTAATTTTAATAATAATAATAATAATAACAACAACAGCTATTATTATATGTATCAAGTACTAGGCACTAACACTACTCTGTATTATGTGTTATATCTCATTTAATTTTCACCAAGACTCTGGGAAGAGTTATTATTATAGTTTTCACGTGAAGACTTTAGTAAGTTTGATGGAGTCCCTAAGATCACATGGCATATTGATGGCAGAGCAAGGATTCAAACCTAGGTTTTCTGACTAGCACTATGTTCTTAATCACTACCCGTACTGACAAAGACAGGGCCTTGGGATCTGTAAGGGAAATGCTATCTTTGAGTGGAACACAATTTTGTCCATTTTCTTCCCCCATGACGCCCAGACAGCTGTAATTTTTAAAATATCAAATAGAATCTATCATTTCCGAGATTTGAACCTTCGGTGGCTGTCCTTGTCATTAATATAAAATACTAAGTCTTCATTAGGCCTGCAAGGCCCCACCTGATCTGCTCCTGCCCCCACTCCCTGACCTCATCCCGCATCCACTGGGCCCTCCTCAATGCCCTCGGGTCATTGAACTTCATCTGTTCTTGAACAAGCCCGGCTTGTCCCCGGCACTGGGCCTTTGCATTTGCCATTCCTTCTGCCAGGAATGCTCCTCTCCAGATCTTTTTATGGCTGATTCCTTCTTGTAATTCAACTTGTTGCTTAAATGTCACCTTCCTAGAGAGTCCCTCTCTGACCGCCCCTCCACCCCCGTCCCCATTAGGAAGGACCTGTCTCTCTATCACGTTGACTTACTTTATTTTTTTCCCAACACTTACTACTACCAAACTTATTTTGTTCATTTGGAATATTAATAATTGTCTGTTTTCCCTCATTGTCATATTCACTCTAGAAAAGTACCTGGCGCTTAGTAGGTACTCAAACGGGTATTGCCTGAATAAACAAAGGAATGGAAAAATGTATGTTTTCAAAGGTCTGTGTAACTCTATAAGACATTTCCTTATATATTTTATAAAGGAAGAAAGTTTTATTTTAAAAATGTGACTTTACATGCTGTGGGAGGTCCAAATTTCATATAATAAAATGAAGGCAGGAGGGGAGCTGGGCACATTATTAATTTTATGTGTGGAAGATGCTCGCAATCGCGGGAATTGACTTCTGGCAATGAAGCAATTTCCCAAATGTCAGAACTAATCATATGATCCTGGAAAGTGGTTCTCTTCTTGTTGTCATTGTTTATTGTTTGTTTATTGCTTATTATAAAAATACTAGAATGGGGACACTGTTTCCTGTCCAGCCCTGGAGCATAGCATGTGACACAAATCATAACAATTAACACATATTTTTATATTGGAGTTTAAAAATAAGAAATGTCACAAGGAAAGCATATATAGATGCTCTTTTATCATCGCCACCCCATTCTAACATGACAAGCCCAGGAATCATTAACGATCCTTTGTTCTGCTCAATGCGTGGGGTTGACATGGATATCTTTAGTAACGAGCTGCTCCTTATCTTATCATAAATAACAAGCTGCCACTTTGGCATTTGGAGGCTGCAGACCAATTTCTGTAATATCGCATTCGCCACTCTCTTAGCTGCTGTTGGATTTGGTAGGAAGTTTTTAATTTAAATATCTTTGGTCCTCGGATGTAGACTTAAATTTCCTGGTCCCCAGGCAAACTTTGTCAAAGGGACTTGCAACCCATTGCTCTTAGAATCTTGCATGCCAGGCACCCTTGGGCGTACATAAGGGTTGTGGGTGTGATGGGCGGGGCTGGGACTGTTGTACCCTGTGGAGCAAAGAAAAGCAGTGTTAGGAGAAATCTAACAGTGCAGTTGAGGCTAGGAGTGGTAAAGGATTGTGTTTCTTTGCTAGCCTAGGCAGAATTTCTTATTACCCCACATCAAATTGCGTCCCTTGCCTCTGATTCAAGCCTGCACATTCATCTCTTCCTTCCACCTCAGGCTTTTATTGATGCTTCCACCTCCAGGCAGTGCACAGATGCAAACTTCTGTTTACCGTCTCTGAGTAATGATATTACTTCCACTGCCCAGGGATAATGCATTGCTTATTAAACACTGTAGCAATAACCATTAGATGGTAAATCAAAGGGAAACATAAAAGAGTCAAAAGCACTGCTAACCCCTTTAGCAAAAAATGATCAGAATTTAACAGAAGTAGAGTTTTCCTGGTTAACAGTGGGGAGGGATTAACAGCCTCACTGCTGACTTGCTGTGTGAACTTCAAAGATTTACTAACCTTTCTAACTTCAGTTGACAACGTTGATAAGCAGAATAATAATTGTGCCTACCTCCTAGAGTTGTTGTGAAGGTTAAATGAAAGATATACATTGAATCCTAAGCAAAGTGTCTTATATGTAGCAAGAGCTTAATTAAAGTTTCCGTAATATGATATCTTAAAAGACTTTCAGAGGCTGAGGTGGGAGGATCACTTGAGGCCAGGAGTTCAGGACCAGACTGAGCAACAAAGCAAGACCCCTGTCTCTCCAAAAAAAAAAGAAAAAAAATTTAGCCAAGTGTGGTGGTACACACCTGTGGTCTCAGATACTTGAGAGGCTGCGACAGGAGAATCACTTGATCCAAGGAGGCTGAGGCTGCAGTGAACCGTGATCACTCCTATGGCACTTCAGCAAGACTCTGCCTAAAAAATAAATACATAAATAAATAATGTCTTAGAAGAACTGTGTTGTCATCTTCATGGGGGTATGCTGTCCATGAACTTAGCAACAAACCTAGGAAAGATACCTTAAAATACAAATGCTTCCTTCCAACACTATAGGTGTATCCATAAACCAAAGACTTCAGTAGAAAAACCTGTCCTGTCTCTACTCAGTTACCAAATTATCTTGTTTTTTTTTTTTTTTTTTTTTTTTTTTTTAACAAAGCCATGGCCATTTGAAAAAAAAAAAAAAGCCTTTTAACAAGTATCGTTTAGAATCATGGTTATATTCTACACAGTGCATTGAATTTAAGGTTCTCAAGGCTGTCTTCCATATACTCAGTTCTATAAAGAGCAGCCTCCTCTCTAGAAAGTTGTTTAAAACTAGGAGACTTGAGATGCAAAATGCTGAGAGATTCAGCTCAAACAAATATATCACCTCTTGCCCTTTACCTTGTCAAGGCTGAACAGTCTTGAACAGGCCTCCAGGTTCCCAGCCCATGCCCTGCTACTCTCCTTTTATGTATCATGCCGATCAAATGCTGGAAGATTCTTTCCCCTTCTGTGCTGCTCGTCAGCTCTCATTTGCCCTTAAAATCTCAGCTGGAATATGGTCTCCTCTGGACAGCCTCTTGTTTCCTCAGATATGCTCCATATTTGGTTCTATGTTCACATTGCTCTTGGAAATCCTTCATTTTATTCTGTCCTGTGATTATGTAGTAATTATTCATAATTATTAAATATCCATCCTGTCCACTAGATTGATGGCTCCATCACGTAGGGATTCTTTTGTTCATCACAGTATTGCACAGCCCTTGGCACATGGTAGGTACCCTATCACACAAATGGGGCAAGTGCTAAAACTTATTCTTTATAAGAATTTATTTTCATGTGGCATATAACTAAATGGTTAAAATATTACATTACATTTTTTCTCTTATGTTGTAGCAATTGTCATCTGCTATATTTAGTTTGCCTTTGTACCATTGAAATGATCATGTGCTGGTTTTGTAGGTTAAGATTTAATAGCATCTCAACCAACAAACATCTGATTTTTAAAGCAGTAACTGTTTAATATACTGGTTTGATAGTACAAGGTGACATTCCCTCTCTCTCTAAGAAGCCTTCAGTCTTCAAAGCACATCATACAATTTCATAAATTAATCCTGGGAATAAGCGTCATAGTAAAGATATTGATTTTAGAATCCGGATGGAAAAGAAGGCAGAGCCTAATGTTTGAATTCTAAGTTGCAATCAGATATAGTAAATCACCAAGAACAAAGGACAGATACCTCAACACCTAGAATCAGGAAGATGGAAGAGAATTTTATGGACTCAATTTCAATCTCCCTTGTCTCTTCAAAGAATCATACCTCCTAGAAAGCCTTTGGTCCTTGTCTGATTGTTTCTAAGCTAAACTGGGGACTTACTGATTTGGCTCTATAAAATGATTTTAGCTTGCCAAGACCAGCTTGGTCAGGGAGACCCTAACCCAGCAGTGCTAGAGGAATTAAAGACACACACACAGAAATATAGAGGTGTGAAGTGGGAAATCAGGGGTCTCACAGCCTTCAGAGCTGAGAGCCCCAAACAGAGATTTATCCACATATTTATTAACAGCAAACCAGTCATTAGCATTGTTTCTATAGATACTAAATTAACTAAAAGTATCTCTTATGGGCCGAATTAAAGGAATAGGTTGGGCTAGTTAACTGCAGCAGGAGTATGTCCTTAAGGCACAGATTGCTCATGCTATTGTTCATGGCTTAAGAATGCCTTTAAGTGATTTTCCACCCTGGGCAGGCCAGGTGTTCCTTGCCCTCATTCCCTAAACCCACAACCTTCCAGCTTGGGTGTTAGGGCCATTATGAACATGTTACAGTGCTGCAGAGATTTTGTTTATGGCCAGTTTTGGGGCCAGTTTATGGCCAGATTTTGGGGGGCCTGCTCCCAACATTAGCTTTATGCTCTTGCTTAGGATTTTGCACTAGCTCTGAGATGCCTATTATATCATGTTTTAAGTTCTGCCTGCTTTTCAAGGCAATTTGATGTTAGACCCCACTTCAACTTGACTGACTTAATTCCAACTGCTCACATATGGTCTCATCTCTCTAACATTTTACTGCAAATGTAATATGAGGTACAAGTGACATAGTTTCATCCTGGCAACAAGATGATGAATAAGACCCATCCCTTCCCTCAAGGAGCTTATGGTCTACTGAATGAACCAAGCAATGTAGACTTATAAAGTGTATGTATGCTACATGTAAAGCACTATGGGAGATATTTTTTAAATGGACAAGACAAGAATGGTAAGAATTAATGAGTAAGTGCCCACAGAGAACTCAGAACGTTGCCAAGCACATATCAGTGGGGGAATAACTGTCAGCGGCTATTCCTATGATGCTGGTGAAATTTCTGGCTTGAGTTCTTGAGTGTGTGGTGAAGCTATCTCTGACATCCAGAGCCCATGAGGTAGAACTCAGGATAGGCTGGCCAGCTACACAAATTTGGTTTGAGAAAAATGAGAAATAACTGGGGGGCATCAAAATGGCGATAGTTGTCAGCAATAGAGAAATTTGAAATTTGGGAGCATAATTAGGTAGAAAGATTTACTGTTGGCAGTAAGGAATCCAGATAATCCTATTAACCAATACCTCTCCACTTTGGGGTTTTATCTTCACAGTTTTCTTTTCTATCAGCATTTCAGACTGTTTACCTATTCCTCCAGTTTAACTGAAAGATGTATTTACCAGTATTCAGAAAGGAGAATGTACATAGAATTAAAGCAATTTTTAAAAAGGCCAAGATCTATTCCAGCCTCTGCAACCTCTTAATCTAGTGGGAGGCAGACAGACTAAAGAATAAAATACTAGGCTGGCTTTGATAGTGATAGTAATTCATTGGTTTTCAAAGTGTGGACCCTGGACTATCAGGATCAGCATCACTTGGTGTGGTAGACTGAATAATGACCCCTCAAAGTTGTCCACATCCTAATCCTCAGGTGAAAGGACTCAGGCCTAAGTTACCTCTTATGGCAAAAGGGACTTCACAGATATGATCAAGTTAAGGGGGTTGAGAATGAGAGATTATTCTACATTATCTCAGTAGGCCTAATATAACCACAAGGGTCGTTATAAGGGGGAGACAGGAGGTAAGCGTTAGTAGTAGGAGTTCTGAGGACAGCAGTAAGAGGTTGGAGTGATGCAAGAGAAGGGCCATGAGCCAAGGAATGCAGGCAACCTCTAGAAGCTGAGAGAACCAAAAAAATGGATTCTACCCTGGAGCCTCCAGAAGGAACAGCCCTGTCAACACCTTGACCTGTTTTGGGCTTCTGACCACCAGAACTGTAAGAAGATAAATTTATGTTGTTTTAAGCCACTAAGTTTGTGGTAATTTGTTACAGCAACAGGAGGAAGCTAACGCACCTGGGAATTTATTTGAAATGCAAAATCTCAGGCCATAATTTACATTTATCCAATCAGAAACTCTGGGGGTGGAACCAATCTGTGGTTTAGCAAGTCTTCCAGGTAATTATTATGCTCACTGTATTTTGAGGGCTGCTGTTAGAATTCAGAGAAGGAATTGTACCCGTCTGTACATGAGATAGAGTATAATGTTCTGCCATAGGTCACATGCTTGTTTTTTTCAACCAATCACTGTATGTTTGTCACAGAGCTTCTCCTGTGGCCATAGGCAGTGGGGCATTATGATTGACCACAGAACCCATGAAATTTCAGGGAGTTTCTCAAAGGAAAGAAAATATTATTACCAGAAGGAGGATCGGATAGCTTGCTGGAGAGACAAAACAAAGGCTGACCACTGTAAGTATATTACTTTAGTGGTCAGATAGGGAAGGAAAGACATTCCAGCATGAAGGAAGAGTTTGTGCAAGGGTCCAGAAGTAAAAAAACACAGAACGTATTCAAACACAGAACACATTCAAAATGGCAAAAATGATTATAGCAACAGTATGGCATCAAGAAGGTGTGGGAGGAGGTGAAGAGTAGTGGGAAATAAGCTTGGAGGTCCTTCAATGCCATACTCATGAGCTTGGATTACGTTCTGTAGTGATGGGGGCACATACAGTGGTTTCTGAGCAGAGAGTAATATGAGGAATGTGGGCTTTAGAAGGCAAACTCTAGATTCTCACCATTGCCTGAATATCAGGCCCCCTTAGTACTAATCTCTGCCATCCTGTATGCATACTGAATGTTGATTCTGCATGACTCCAGGGATTCTCTATACGTAAATTTTTATCATTATGTGTTTGAATGATGGTTTTCACCTTTGGAAAACTTAGGCTTTCAAACTGTTAGATCACCTACAGAAAGAAATACATGTATATGCACACACACACACACACACACACACACACACCCCTTCATGAAACTATACCCTTTATTATTATTTGAGATATGTTCTACTATATTCAATTCTATTGTAGCTTTTAAAATTTCTCGTTACAATTTCCTAAGTTGATGTCAAGACCCACTATTGGGTTCTATCCTTTAGTTTGGAACTTACTACTCTAAGGGAAAGGGGCAGTGTTTTATTCACTTCTGCATCTATCAGTTCTTAGCACAGTTCTCTGCCTATGTTAGATCACCACTAAGGCTTAAATATCAGATCCAGTGAAGTTTTAGCCAGAGCTGCGAACATTCTTGGTACCATATGATAGCACATTTCACTTGCCAAGTATTGGATGACAGATTATTAAGACACATATACAAAGCTCTGAACATTTGGGTGGGTGTATTGGTAGGTGGGGGTGGAATGAAGGGTCAGTAGAAATGATGATGCATCTTCTCTGTAATTAATGTCAAAGCTTAAGAAGAACATTAGCAGATCAATTCCTTATAACACCACAATGAAACATTTTCCCCTGATCAGAACTGCTTTAAATGAAATAAACTTTGCTCTGTGAATTAGGCAGGTATCATTTTGGGATATGAAACCCACAAAACTGTCATCAAATACAGAATGATGAGAGCTGTGATGCTAGGTTGTACATAGAATTCCAGTTCTGGAAAAGCTGTCATTTGAATGGCATTCTCTTTTCCTGCAATATCAAGAAGATCCACAGACGCTGATTTCTGGGCTATGGAGCTGGGTTAGATGGAAGATGCTCTGGAAGGGCTTCCCTTTGGTGGATTTTTCACTTTCTGAAATTCATCATTTTCATTAGCTTTATACTGTTTTTGTCTTTATCATTTCAGGTGTGAATTACAATTTTTTTTATCTTATGCTGTCATCATTTGCATTACTGTTGTGATGTAGTGGCTGATTACAGCTCTGTATGAAGAAGTGTTTTGAGGCTGTACTTGGGCTCAGCCAGACAAAGTACAAAGTACAAAGATGTCTGCCATGAGTGCAAGCTTCAGGAGTGGTGAGCCTATATGTCCCATGCTTGCCATCCTCAAACACTACATTTGGACAGTCATCACCTTCCTACCCATCAGTACGAGACTTAGTTTAGGCCATCCTCCAGATCTGTATGCTTGCCTGGTTTGTGCTGCTCTCATGGTTACAGAGCCAGGTCACTAATGCTGCTGACATTGTTGCTGCCAAGGGCCAAAGGCTGTTACAGTGACTGCTCCCATTCTCTCAAGTCAGCCTGTCATCTCCCCCAGGGCTCCCATGTTGCCACTGAGGCCTGTGATGCACTAGATGGCTCAGCTCCCACGTATGTGCAACCTGGAATTCATCTCCTTCTTACCCTGACTTATTGTCCAAAGGAGCTGTCATTCACACAGCCTGCCTCAGAAGATGGGTCCTGGAGATCTGACATCAGTTGTGCTGAGTAACAGTGGCAGCCAGCTCAGAAATATACCCTTGTATCTATCTGCTTGTTCTCCGTCCCTTCCTCATTTCCTTCTTCTCTCCCTCTTCCTTCCCTGGATGGCACATTCCAATAAATTAGGATTATGTAAGATTTTGCCTCAGGCTGTGCTTTCTGAGGACTCTGGGCTAAGCCAACATCTTAGTAAGTGTGTGCATTACACACACACACACACACACACACACACAAGAGAGAAGGTAAATCGGATTGAGATAAAAGGAGCCATCAGAGGTTACTTAGTTAAATATCTGTCCAAGAAGGCAAGGAGTCCTTGAAAAGAAGCTTATATGTACTTTCAGGGGAGTTGGGGAGACTGAGTCAATCATGGTGTTTTTTGTCCAACCCTGCCCCAGAGAGTTGGTCTGACCTCCACAGAAAGAGGACCCTTTAAGTAAAAGCCAAATGGAAATAGACCATGAGATGAGAGATTAGTAAGATTCATCCACTTCCTCACTGTAAAAATTTAAATAGTGATGGAAGCTCTTGAAGGATCCCTGAGTCAAAATGATGTTCTAGTACTGGAATTCAATGGTAATACTTATAAAGATTAAAGTCTCATGGAAGGGAAAGACAATAAGCAGTGAATAGCCAAAGAAAGAAAATAATGGCAGTTTATCACAGGATACAAGTGATACGAAGGAAATGAAGAGTTGCAACAGAGAATAACAGAGTGAGACAGGGAGAGTCCCCATTGAGATCTGTTAGTCAGGGAAGGCCTTTCTGTACAAACGGGGAGGAGGGAGAGCATTCTGAGCAGAAAGGACAACAAATGGAAGGCCCTGAAGTGGAAAAGATGTGTTCGAAGAAATGAAAGCAGACCAGGCTGATTATATTTATGAAGCATTTACTATTGACTGGCAATATTCCTAGCACTGTATACGTTGTATCTCACTTTATTTCTAATAATCCAGTGAGATATGTAACTTTCCATGTGTAGGAACTGAAGTGCAGGGAAGCTAAGAAGCTGGCCCAAAGCTCCACAGTTCACATGGTAAACAGAAGACCCAGAATTCTGACCCAGGCTTCTCATGGGAAGCAGTGGACTTTGAGTTTATAACCTTCACTGGACAGTCTCCTGTAGAGCAAGGCTGGGGCCAAGTCCTGGAAGGCCCCGTAGGCCAGGGCCAAGGGCTTTGACTTTATTCTGAGTGTAGCAGGGAAAGCACTGAAGGGTTTTAAGTCTAGGAAGACATGATCCATTTAGTCTTTTTACAAGATCCCTCTTGCTGCTTTGTGCAGAATGAACTGGAAGGGCAAGAGTGGAAGCAGGACATTAGGAGGCTGTGGTAGAGGCCCAGGTAAGAGGTGATGGTAATTAATAAGCAACCAACAGGGTATCTGCCGAGATGGAGTGAAGGGGAGGACTCGAGGGATGTTTTGTAGGTAAAATTGACACGTCTTTCTTATGGATTAGAAGTGGAGGGTGAGGGCTGAGCACAATGGCTTTCATCCCAGCATTTTGGGAGGCCAAGGTGGGAGAATCACTTGAGTCCAGGAGTTTGAGACCAGCCTGGGTAACATGGCAAGACCCCATCTCTTAAAAAAAAAATAGCCAGACATGGTGGTGTACACCTGTAGTCCCAGCTACTCAGGAGACTGAGAAGGGAGGCTCACCAGAGCCCAGGAGTTTGAAGCTACAGTGTGCTATGATCATATCACTGTACTCCAGTACTGGCAACAGAGCAAGACCCTGTCTCAAAAAAGGAAAGAAGTGGCTGGGCACCGTGGCTTACGCCTGTAATCCTAGCACTTTGGGAGGCCGAGGCGGGTGGATTGCCTGAGCTCAGGAGTTCGAGACCAGCCTGGGCAACACAGTGAAACCCCATCTCTACGAAAATATATTTTAAAAAAATTAGCTGGTAGTGGTGGCGTGCACCTGTAGTCCCAGCTACTCGGGAGGCTGAGGCAGGAGAATTGCTTGAACCTGGGAGGTGGAGATTGCAGTGAGCTAAGATCACGCTACTGCACTCCAGCCTGGGTGACAGAGTGAGACTCTGTCAAAAAAAAAAAAGAAAAAAAAAAAAAAAAGGAAGGAAGAAAGGGGAGAAGGAGAAAAGGCCTGGTCAGAGATGTTGCCTTGGGACCTTAGCAAACTTTCACTTTTATTCAACCCAGGCAGTAGAGGGTGACAGTGTTGGGCAGAAGGGTATTATCTGCATTTCTGCATGGAACATCCCAGCATGGCTTTCATGCCAGAAGTACTGGGGCAGCCAGGGCTGCTGCTGCCTTGCAGAGCCCTTGGCTATGACCCCCTGGGAAAGGAAACACCCTTCTCCAGGAGGACACTAGAGACAGGGTCCATGGCTAGGCATTGTCCTCAAGAGGGAGGCCCTCAGCAGAGAGGAAGAGCAGGGTACCATGGGAGATTGTGTGAGTGAGAGCACGCAGGGAATTGCTAAAATAGGGGGGCTGTGAGGTGTTAATGTGACCTCATTTGTATCTAAACAGGTATTTGTAGTATGCTTAAATTTATGTCATTTTTTTTACTATTGGCAACTGCTCAGAAAGGTTGAAATTCAGAATTAAAAGGAGTCATGAAGTCAGGAAAAGTGCTAGGCTACCAGGTGGCTACAGTTTATATTGAGGCACACACATTTAGATTTCTCCCATTTTCCTGTGTCATGCTGACTTCACCTAGAGAAAGAAAAGCATCCAGTGTAAATGTCCCCATTCCCCCATCTTTTCCTGAGATGGACCCAATAAATGAGTGGGAGTGGTCTGAGACCTGCTGGGCATACATTTCTGGAACCGACATCTGGGAGTTATGAGTAGGCAGAGAGGAGATTTTCATTTTCTGTGATAACTTCCCACAGTAAGTAGGTGGGAGGGTGAGGTGATTGATGAGCTAAATTAGATAGAAAGTGGCTCACATCAGATTCTAGGTGATTGCTCCTGCCTCTCAACTCACTGTACTTATTTTCCATTCCACTCATTTAGCAAATGATCATGGTCTGTCTTGTGACATTCCTTATATTGTTGCTTCATTCTTTACATTTTTTGTGGTGTTTTTCCCCTCTTCTTTCTTCAGCTACGTCAGTTACTCCTTAGGGACAGAAAAGATGTTGTGTTTATTTTTTTTATCCTTCTTATGCTTTATACAGAGTAAATGCACAATGATTCCCTGTTGTTTGACTGATAGTTGCTGTTGGAGATGGAATGTTTTCTAAAGAATGTTGCTGAATTTATCTTGTCTTAGAAATGTGGAAAGTAGGGATAAGGAAGACGCTCAGTGCATTTCAGTTTAAAATATGCAGCTTTTGAGTAGATGAATTTGAGATAACTCTGTTCTGGTCAGCATAGCTCAGCCACAGAAATGGTTTAGTTTTTCATAGCAGTGAAACTTCCTTTCTCTAAACAGCAGATGAGGTTGAATCACATGAAATTGCCAGTATTGGAGCAACAACATGGCAATATCATGTGGCTCAATCTAATAAGACAGATGAGCTGACAATAATTTATTCCTTTGACTAAGTCCGAGATGGAAATGAGCTAATGGGAAGGAGGCCCCTCTTCTGCTGTCACAGCTTGCAGGAGAGAGAACAGCGGAATGCAGATCCTGGGACAGAGGGGGTGATGGCAGGGGCAGCAATCCCTGAATGAGCAATGATTCTTGTCATGAGTTGGCACTTCTGTGGTTGGCACATCCTTCCTGCTCTGATGCTGCCCTGAGACCCTTTAGTGTCATCTAAACAGAAGTCATGACGGGCCCAGAAGGGTCAGGCATGATCCATAGGAGTTATAACACCCATCCGCTGCCAGCCCTGTCTGCCCTGGAGAACTGCCAGAGGAGGTAGGACATGGCAGCTAATGTCACTACTTCACAATTTTCTTCTATTTCCCTCTTTGTCTCTACTACACCCAATAAAGTAGCTCCTCCTCCTTTTTCCCTCTTTATTAAACCCTGAGTTTTGAGCGCTTTGTTCAGTCTGCTGATGTGGGAAGGTTGGAGAAGGCTGGCATTAACTGTTTTTTCTTTAATTCCTCTGGTTAACTCTGAAGTATCTTCTTGATTCCTTTAGAGAAACTGAGATTCCCCAGCTGGATCACATGGGAATGAAGGGACACTTTTGCCTTATTTACTATGGGAGCAAAGGGAGCCCAATTTCAGATTGGAGGAGAGAGACTGGGAAGAGGGGAGCTTGAGAAGAAGGGAAATCTGTTGTTGGAAACAGGAGCCAGAGAAGTCCAGAAGAGCAAGCCTAAGAACTGAATTAATTGAGGGCAAGTAAATCATCAGATGTATTTTCATCATTTGATACAGCAAGAAATATTTTCAAATTTTCCTCATTTGATATAGCAAGAAATATTTTCAAAAACCCAATCTGTTCTGGATTTTGTCATTACTGAAAGCATGATCAGAGAATGAATTTCTGGAGTCAGAAAAGTATTCGAAATGGGAAGACATGCTTGGCTTAATGTGGTTACAACTCTACACAACCCATAGCTGTAGATCTAAGGAAGAGCCAAAGTCATGGTATTAAGAAAAATAAAGATGTATTTAAACATTGTTGCACCCTACCTTCCTTTTTATTACCTGTAGATAGAACGGTTGTGCTTTAGGCTCTTTAGTCATTCATTTCATAATGAATGTGAACCTACCTGATGATGCACATGATCTCATTTGTTCCTTGTAGCTGCCCTGAGAGTTAAAAAATGGCATACCCAGTTTATAGATGGAGAAAATGAATTTAAGAGGGATTCAAAAAACTCACCTGTGACCACACAGATTGCAAATCAGTTGCAGAGTTGGAATTCCAACCCAAGTTTGTTTGATTCTAGAACCAGTGCTTTTCAGACTATGTCATGCTTTATTTCTCTTTACTGCAGGCCCCTGAAAAAAGGAGAAGTAGTCAAGTGAAATACCTGTAAAGAAAAAGGCCCAGGATAGGCCACTGCCCCAGGCTCAAAGACTAACCCTGAGGCTTGGGTTTCCCTAAGAGTAGAAGTGCAGAATCTGAGGCTCCACCCCATAATCGGAAACGGCATTTTAACAAGATCACCAACTGAAGCAGAATTTGAGGCCCCACTCTAGAATCAGAATCCACATTTTAACAAGACTCCCAAGAAATCTGTAGCCACGTTAAAGTTCTAGAAGCACTACCCTAACCACCCCAAAGCTGCTTCTGTCTACTTCCTTCATCTTGGGTTCTTTAAGGACCTGGCTCAAGGAAAGTACATGGTTGATGATTGCCCAGGTGTTAACTGACAAGACAATCATAAACAACAGGAGTCAGGTGTATTTTTTCTCTTTTCCTTTGACACCGCCTCTTCTCTTTCCACTCTTTTTCACTTGCCTGTATGACAATGAAGTGAGAAAAGAATGAAAGAAAGAGCATAAAATTAAGGAATAGGAATTTCTGACAAGGGTTTTCTGTGCCAGCATCATGCCTCCTTCCAAAATTGTGCTAAGCAACATGGTTAGCAATGACTCTGTCTTTTTGTTTTTGTTTTTGAGATGGAGTTTCGCTCTCGTTGTCCAGGCTGGAGTGCAATGGCGAGATCTCGGCTCACTGCAACCTCTACCTCCTGGGTTCAAGTGATTCTCCTGCCCCAGCCTCCTGAGTAGCTGGGATTACAGGCATGCGCCACCACACCTGGCTAATTTTGTATTTTTAGTAGAGATGGGGTTTCTCTATGTTGGTCAGCCTGGTCTCGAACTCCCGACCTCAGGTGATTTGCCCATCTCAGCCTCCCAAAGTGCTGGGATTACAGGCGTGAACCACCGCACCCAGCCACAATGATTCTAACAGAGCATGCCAGCATCCCCCACTGCTCAGCACACACTTTTCTGAATTATTACAGCATCTGCAATTGTTTGGAAAACTGAGCACATTTGCTTGTTTGTTCAATCCAGACAATAGCTGTGTAGGTTTTATTTGTATTTCACACACACTCATACACTCAAGTTTCTTAAGGGTGGCTGAGCAGAAGTATGATACATTTCAACTTTTAAGGACAAATTTGAGGAAACCGCCATTGACTGAACACCAGGGTTCAGAGTGGCTCATTTTGGTCAGAATGCTGAACTTGCCACCGGTAATGCTGACTGCTCTTCACCACCCAGGTTCACTCTCAGCTCTGAGAACTATTTGCTTCCGCTTCCAGCAACAGTGAAAATTAGCTTACACAATTTTCGCTCCCTCATTTTTTACCCCGTGTGTGATTATGAATGATCTGTGAAGCAGAAAGAAGACAAAAGAATTGTATAAGCTGGGTCTACCCTGTGGTCTCAACAGTAATTCAGTAAATGTGACATGGGTGTCAACAGGAAACTCATACACCCATCATCAGACCGTCATGTTGATGATGAAAAACAAGTCCGATTTCTTTCCTACAGGGCTTACTTTCCAACCTGCCAATATGTAAATTCTTCAGCAGGAGTTAATAAAGGAAATCCTTTAATAGAAATTCAGGTCCCTTTTTAAAAATAAAAAAAAAAAAACAAGTATTCAGAGCACTGGAATTTTCAGTTAATAGTGGATCTGGAGAGGAAACATTTCTTTGCTGTCCCTGCCTCCATGGTAAAAGAAAATATTGAGGAAGGAAGAAATGAGATTCAAACTTTAAGATAATTTGGAGAGCCAAATGATATTATATACACAGGTGTGGAATGAGGAATATTTTGTTTCATGTGTCACATCTTTCATTCATCAAATCACTGTCCTTCTCAAGGGTTCATTAAGAAAACATGTTCTTCACAGAAACAGTGATGAAACAACAGTTGATACCACCAGGTAAAACAAAACAGATAATGGGACTACCTCTTTGTCTCATTAGAATATCACCCTGTGACATTATGTTTCATTCCTTTTTATAGAGACATGGTTTTTCGTTTGTTTGTTTTAAAGATAGTGTCGTCTTTGGATCTGGATTTGAGGTGGTGAGCTTGCATTGGGTTGTTTCAAAGTATGTTCTGAGGCCGGGTGTGGTGGCTCACGCCTGGAATCTGAGCACTTTGGGAGGCCGAGGTGGGCAGATCACCTGAGGTCAGGAGTGCAAGATTAGCCTGGCCAACGTGGTAAAACCCTGTCTCTACTAAAAATACAAAAATTAGCCAGGCATGATAGCATGTGCCTGTAATTCCAGCTACTTGGGAGGCTGAGGCAAAAGAATCACTTGAACCCAGGAGGTAGAGGTTGCAGTGAGCCAAGATCCCACCACTGCACTCCAGCTTGGGCAACAGAGTGAAACTCCGTCTCAAAAAAAAAAAAAAAAAAAAAAAAAAAAGAAAAAGAAAAACGAAAGATACAAAGTATGTTTGGAGGTGTTATCCTGAAGAAAGCATCTTGCTTCAAATGCTTTATGAAAATATTTAGTGAAGTTAATAAACGGTCTAAGAATTTCCACTGTGTAGAAAGAGTTGATTTGATTTCATTTCAGAACAGTCTTAATCTGAAATTGGCATTGGTAATGATTTGAATATGTGTAATTCTCTTAGCCTAAGATGTGGAATATATGTCAAATTATATGTTTTATATCAACTTGTAAGCTACTGGTGAGTTGTGAGACAATTTAGGGATTGCTTTTAGTGAAATTATATAGAATAGAAAATATGAGAGTTCATTTAATTTGGTAAGAGTTTTGTAAATGTATATGCATACACAGTCATATTACAGATAGATATAGAAATACTTTTCACTGTGGGTCATATTCAAAAAAGGTTTGAAAACTCCTGCCTTGATGAATTTTGACATGGTCAAAACATGGTATCAGCCATGATTGGCACACTAAAAATTTTACTCTACATAACCAACAAGCTTGTCATTGTTCTTTTGATTTCTCATTTGTTTGGGGATTTTGAAATGGCTATACTTCTTTTGTAATCTTTCTCTCTTTAGTCTGTTCCTCCTGGAGACAGTGATTAGTTGTGAATGAGGGAAATAAAGCCATACTTCAAGTTCAGCATACATTAACTGGGCATATTTTCAGAGGAGAAAATATTTCATATATCCTTTAAAATTAATAATTCTGACATGTGCCTGCCTCATGGCTTTTCAGTTACCATGACTCACCTTAATTTCACCTTAATGCCACTGTCTGACATTAGATGCCTCTCCAGAGAGTAAGAAAATCATTCAGAAATTAGGTGCATAAAGGTTATTAAACTAATATTTAAAGTTCTGGCCCTGCACATTTTACTTTCCTCCTAATTAAATGCCATGAGTAGAAATGTATGATCCTCAGTATGTGCACCTGCTTGAATTCGTGTCCACTTGAAGGACAATAAAGATGCTGAGGAATTCTCATTTTATTTGCAGCCTTTCTCCTGGGAATATTACTTACAGCTACCATCAGTAACCATAACTTAAGCCAAAGCCGAAGACAGAATTTTAAAAACATGAAACACATAGAGATTTCCTTCTTTTTTGGAAACTTCTGTAACTTACTTCATCCCCAAATAACTAAGCTCTGTGAGGAATAGGTGAAAAATGCCAATAATACTCTAACTTTGGAACTTCAAGAATGGGGCTATGTTATTTGATATTATTGATAAATTTCAGGCCTCATGTCTTGGGCATCCTGTAAATGTAGGTGGGAAAGTAAAACATTATCAGTGGACTGGAATAAATCTTATCACCACAAAAACATGTTCCTAATGCTACTGCGTCTTTTCAGTTTTGTTCTTAAACCTGAGGGTTAATCACTCTTGTTGACAGACTTGGTTGCTGCTACACACTTTTTTGGTATAGCTATATTAGTAAGAACTCTTGGTTCCAGGTCTGAAACCCAGTCCTAATAAACTGGCTTAGGCAACAAAGGGCATTTATTGATTCATGTAACTGAGAAGTTTTAAGTAGTTTTGGCTTCAGTCTTAGGCAGGTCTTCATTACGTGGTGATAACCACATTGAATCTTTCATTCTATCCCTTTACCAACCAGCAGCAATTCTCTTTCCAGTAGTGTTCATAAAATCCAAGTACTGAGTCTCAATGGAATAATGTAGATCACATGCTCATTTCTGAACCAATAACTCTGGCCAATGGGATGAACAGGGACTGACCAGACCTGAGTCACATTCTTATATTTATATTCTAAAGGCAGGAGGAGGAGAAGGTTCTCTAAAGAAAAAAGATAGTGGCTATTACAAAGCAAAGGTTTTATGTAAATTTTGTATGAGGAAAAATGGGAAATGTTACTGCAGAGGTTTTCTACTGGCTATTTCAAATAACTTGATATCATTAATTTTTAAAAAGTGGTAATATTAACTAATGTCCACCTGAGTTATCAATTTAACAAATATGTAGTGAGCCAGGCATAGACATTAATGTCTCTGAGCCTATGAATTGTGTGCATGATTTTGAACAAGCGTCTGTAATATTTTATTAAATGATTTTCATCACCCTGGATAATAAACAGGTGATTTGACTTAGCAGAATGCAGGTGCTATTTTTAATACTTAGTGCTCTCTGGAGGCCTTCCAAATAATAATATCATCTTTAAAAGCTTTGGATTCCCCAAGGAGCAATAAAATTGTGCTGAGTATTGTCTGTGATAAATAACACATCTCCCTTCTCCACTCTTCCATACTCCTACTTGAGAAAGCTTCAGATTTCCTGACATTATCTGAGGGTTGATTGCCTAGTGAAGGTCAATACTTCTTTGTTTTCCATTACTACATGTTTCTTTGTGATCATACCAAAATGATGAGAATGTGACCAGCTTTTAAAATATTAAAAATCAGGGAAAATAAAAGCATGAATACATCAACAAGGAGCGTAACTTAAGATTTTAGTTTCTAAAGTGGAAATAGCTTAAATTCTTTCCTGACCAGTGGAGTTCAGGGCTACCAACAAAGGACTGGAGGAAACAAGATCCCAGAGGAAAGGAGCCACAGAGATGTAAGTTCAACATACTGCATGGAATTTTCCCTTGAGGCCTTTTTGTACACTCCCAGGGAGAGACAACAAAATATAAAGCTGAAAATATCTGATACAGGAGTAAATGGCAAAGCAGATATTGTAGCAGTCTCAGTGTCTCACAGAGTTCAGGGCTTTCAAAGAAGTAGGACCATGGAAATACTCAAGGTCCTTGAGGCCCCTGAAGAACTACAACCTAGGGTAAGAGCAAACTGGAAATATACCAGCCTCAACTGGATTAAGATGATTTTCCTGTACTCTATCTGCCTGCCAGAAGAAAATCAAATCATCTTTGGAGAAAGATAACATCATTCAAAACTTGTACAATTTCCATAAAAAGTGTATCTGTCATTCACTAGAAAGTAGTAGGCATGCCAGGAAACAAGAACAAATGGCCAATAATCAAGACAGAAAACCAACCAAAAGTAACAGATCCAAAAGTGACTGAGAAATTGGAGCTATAAGATCTATAGCTATAATCTGTTTCAGATAAGAGATTAATATGTTCAAGAAGAGACAGAGAATTTCACCAGAGATCTAGATCCTATGAAAGGAATCAAATGTACAACATGAAAGTTAAAATTACAGTAAGTGTAATTTAAAACTAAGTAGATAGGTTTAATAATAGAGTTGACACAACAGAAGAGAGGATTCATGATCTGGAAAATAGATCAAGGGAAAATATCCAGATTAAAGCAGAGTGGAAAAGAGAATGCAAAAATAAAGAAAATTTTATAAGAGACATATTGGTTAGTGTAAAGGTCTGTGTCAGGCAATTGGAGGCCCAAGAGGAGATTTCAGGGAAGATGGGGCATAAGTATTATTTGAAGAATAGCAGTAAAGAATTTTCCAAAATTAATGAATAACATCAAGCCATGGATTCAAGAAACTGTGTAAGAAAAAAAAAAAGCCAAATAAAATATGGAGGCATATTGTAGTAAAACTGCTTAAAAATTGAAGACAAATAAATGCATCTTAAAAGCATCCAAAGGAAAAAAGATATATTTTCAAAGGCACACCAATGAGACATAAAGCTAATTTTTAAACCAAAACAATGGAACCAAGAAAACAATGGGATGCCATGGTTAAAGTGCCAAAAGAAAGTAATTGCCAATTCAGAATTTTATACCTACCGAACACATCCTTCAAAAAGGACATTTTTAGAAAATTAAAACTAAGATAATTAATTATCAGCATATCTATATCAAAACTATTAAAAGGAGCTCCTCAGTCAGAGGAAATAGTCCCAGTTGAAATCATGTAAATGAAGGAGGGCATGAAGAACACCAAAAAGTATAAATATATAAGTAAGTGTCTATGAATATGGATTGTTTAAAACAATCAAAGTAATGTTTAGTGGAGTGTAAGTCCTATAACTAAAGATAGAACAATTTAAGCACTCATTGACAGTAACTGCAGCAGATGCAAATTCATCAAATATTTTATATCCATGAGTTCATAACATTAAGAATAATTATAACCGATTGGTTACCATGGAAAGATGTTAGTGAACCAATTTGTTGTTTTGAAAAATGGTATACAAATGTAAAAAATCAAGCATTTGTTCCACATCTCTTGTATGACTAAGTAAACATAGATGGGGGAATTTTCTCTTGATAATAGGATTCCTGCTAATAAATGTTTTAAAAGTGTAATATTCTTATTTTTTTATTTTAATGAATTAACGGATCCAGGCCCTGAATATTTATGGGAAAAGAGAAAAGAACATAAACCACTAGCCATGAGGTAATCTTACCAAAAACAAAACAAATGAACTTGAATCTGCATGCCTCTAGATCTAACTGCAAACAAACAGAAATTACAGCTAGGAAGCATTTTATTTAATACAATACCCATGGGGGAAAAAACATCAGAGCGTGGAAAACTTCAGTTCCAACAAGCCCCTTTCTCCAATGCATAGATAGCAAGGGGGCAAAAAAAAAAAGATTGAGGGAGAATCAATAGGTTAAATTAAGCTTAAAGGACAAATAAACCAATCACAGTATGCAGAATTTATTTGGCTCTTGATTTCAAAATACCTATAAAAATGGTTATCACATTTGAGACATTTGGAAATTTGAGTATTTCCAGAGTATTTGATGGTATTATGCATTATTTATTTATTGAGACAGAGTCTCACTCTTGTCACCCAGGCTGCTCACTGAAACCTCCCGGGTTCAAGTGATTCTCCTGCCTCAGACTCCTGAGTAGCTGGGACTACAGGCACACACCACCATGCTCGGCTAACTTTTGTACTTTTTTAGTAGAGATAGGGTTTTACCATGTTGGACAGACTGGTCTTGAACTCCTGACCTCAAGTGATCCACCTGCCTTGACCTCCCAAAGTGCTGGGATTACAGGTGTAAGCCACTGCGCCTGGCCCATTATCATTATTTTTTCGTATGTGTGATAATGACATCATAGTTATATATTATAAAAAGCATACTCATCTTTTGGATATACATACAGAAATAGTCATAAGAAATGTAATATGATGTTTGGAATTTGTTTTAAAATAATATATTTGGAGAGAAAATGGATGGGGATAGAGATGGAACAAGATTGGTCATGAGCTAATGATTGCTAAAGCAGGATGATAAATATGAACGTTTCATTAGATTATTAAGTCTATTTTTGTATATGTTGGGAATTATCCATAATAAAAAGCTTGAAAAATAAAATATTTGTGGAATTAAAATAAAGGCAACAAACAATAACAGGTAGAATGAGAGTGGATTAAATGAAGTTAAAATAATGTGAAATCCTTATCCAGACAGGATAAAAGTATCAATTATGGTAGATTCTAATAAGTCAAGAAATCATATTTTCATTTCCAGGGTAACCACTTAAAGAATGTACAGTTACCAAGCTGATAGAGGGGGAAAATGGATAATATAAAATATATTTGATTAATTGAAGACAAAAAGAGAATTTAGGAACAGAAAACTGTGAGACAAATAAAGAATATATTAAGATAGTGATAAGAATATAAATATAACCTTAATTATATTAATACAAAACACTAAATACTTCTATTTAAAAACAGATTATTAGACTGGATTATTAAAACAAGACAACTATAAGCTAACTATGTGAGGTACAGTCTAAATATAAATCCATATAAAGATTCAAAGTTGTAAAAAGAGAAACATTGTGCAAACACACAGTATTCCAAAAGAAGCAGACATAGCTATATGTATAGGTACATATAGCATGGTCTCAAAATATTTGAAAGCAAATAACAGCACTGAAAAAGAGAAATATACAAATCTTCAGCCTTAGTTGGGATTTTACCATACCTCTTCAGGTAGTTAATAGAATATGAAGACAAAATGTCAGTAAACGGCTGGGCCTGGTAGCTCACACCTGTAATCCCAACACTTTGGGAGGCCGAGGCAGGCAGATCGCTTCAGTGTAGGAGTTTAAGACCAGCCTGGAAAACATGGCGAAACCCCATCTCTACAAAACCAAAAAATTCAGAAGGCTGAGGTGGGAGGATCACTTGAGCCTGGGAGGCAGAGGTTGCAGTGAGCTGTGATCATGCCACTGCACTCCAGCCTGGGCAATAGAGGGAGACCCTGTCTGAAAACAAAACAAACAAAAAAGTCAGTAAACATATAGAAGATTCAAACACCACTTGTAACAAACTTAATCTTATGTATAGAACACTGCAACAACCAAATAAGCATATACATTTTTAAAGATTTAGTAAATATAATATATACCTAGACATAAGCACTTCTGAACAAATGTCAAAGGCTTTAAACCATAGAGTTTATCTTCTGTTCACAGTAGTATTAAGGTGGAAATCAGTAATAAAATGATAATGATAGAATTCCAATATTTGGAAATTAGGTAATATTTTCTTCCCTATGTTTCAAAGAAAGTAATCACAACAAAAATTAAAAATATTTCTGATAATGAAGATATAACATATCAAGCTTTGATGTTGCAGCTAAAGCAGTTTTTATATGGAAATTTATAGCCTTAAATTCTTAGAAAAGAAGAAAGCCTGAAAATTAGTAATCTAGTAATCAGTATCAAGAATCTAAAAAAGAAACAGAATAAATGCAAAGAAAGTAGAAGAAAATAAAGATAAGAGCAGAAATTATTGAAATAATAATCAGAAATAAAAAAGCACTAAAAAAGATATTAGTAAGATTTTATGCCAGTAAATTTGAACATTTAAATGAAATGGTTAAATTCCTTAAAAATACAACTAAATTTGATATATTTTTAGGGAATCTGAATTATCCTATATCTATTACAGAAATTAGCTTCATAATTAGAAATCTTCCCACAAAAAAGAGCCCATTTAAATTTACCAGCAAATTCTTCCAAACATTTAAGGAAGAAGCAATATCAGTTATATGTAAACTCACATCATTAGACCAGCATAACCTTGACCCCAAAGATGAGGGGTATTAAATGAAAATAAATCCACAGTTCAATTTTTTTCATGAAGATAAATGAAAAAAAAATCCTAGCCAAAACATTGGTAAATCAAATCCAGTGATATATAAAAAGAATAATATATCATTATCAAGTTGGGTTTGTTCCAGGAATACAAGCTGATTATTTGAAAATCAGTCAATGCAACTTACCATATTAATAGAGTAAAACTGAGAAACCATATCATCATCTCAATAGATAAGGGGAAAAAATTGACAAACACATTCATTCATGGTAAAATCTCAGCAAAATGGGAATAGAGCTGAGCTTCCTTAATCAGATAAATATTTATTTTAAAAAACTACAGCAGGGGCCGGGCAGGGCGGCCTGTATTCCCAGCACTTTGGGAGGCCAAGGCGGGTGGATCATGAGGTCAGGAGTTCGAGACCAGCCTGGCCACTATGGTGAAATCCTGTCTCTAATAAAAATACAAAAACTAGCTGGGTGTGGTGGCAGGTGCCTGTAGTCCCAGCTACACGGGAGGCTGAAGCAGGAGAATTGTTTGAACCCCAGGAGCTTGCAGTGAGCCAAGATCATGCCACTGCACTCCAGCCTGAGTGACAGAGTGAGACTCCATCTCGAAAAAAAAAAAAAAAGTCCTACAGCAGACTTCATACTTAATTTGAAATATTAACAATTTTCTTGTTGAGATCATAAATGTGTTTATTATTTCCATTTTTATTCATCATTATATTAGAGACCCTAGTCAGTTTAATATAATCTTGTGATGGGCAAGAATCTGTGTTTTTAACAAGCCACAAGGTGACGTTTATGCATTCTAGTGTGGATAACCTCATTACTACATGGGCTAAGATGTGATTTGCTTCTTAGTTTGAAGTGACCACAGCCTAAAAGTTGGAAAGGTGTGAGGAGAAACACATTTCTGCTCTCAACTCGGGCTGCCATTCTGGCAACACCTTGGATCAGACTGGACATGGATCTTGCCACTTTCCTTTAAAAATTGTTTTTGTTTACCAATACGATGTTCACCAGATTTCTTACTAATTTTTTTTTAGTTGATCAGAAGCAAGTAATTCCACATGCATATTGGCACAATTTACTTTTATTTACCTACAGTTGAATTTTAAATTGTAGTGGCGAATTAGCATATTTAATTTTTTTAATAGATGGTATTTGAATATGGCTGAGCCCTCTTACAATATCAGTAGTCAATTTGTAGATTATATACCGTGGGCCAGTCTGATCATGGTCCTAGAAAAATAATTATAAATAGTGAAAGTCTAGTGTAATGCATTTAGTTTCCATGATGAATGTTGCCTCTCACTAACCTGGCATTATTAAACAGTGAAACTATTTTATTGATCTTGTTTTTCAT
The DNA here is from genome assembly GCF_000001405.40 of Homo sapiens. Taxonomy (NCBI): domain Eukaryota; kingdom Metazoa; phylum Chordata; class Mammalia; order Primates; family Hominidae; genus Homo; species Homo sapiens. The sequence continues at coordinate 60,967,679 of NC_000003.12, read as the reverse complement.
ATCTGCTCTTTTTTCGATTTTTCTTAGAAACTGATACCTGCTCCTAAAACTTAAACATTGCATAAGCATAAAATGAATAGCAGAAATCCCCTATACTTGCACTCCAAAACCATATTTCAGCAGTAACCATTGACACTTTTGTCCCATCCTTTTTACCTATGTATTTATATATACTTTTCTATATTATTTTCAAAGAGTCATCAACTTGGTATCTAGTCTTTCAAAATCCAAGTGTAAATATTGAAACCATGGTTAATCCTTCCTGTCAAATTTGACAGATAGGCAGTCAATACACCAAAGTCTTAGGTATTTGCAATGCTTGTTATTTCACATTGTTTTGTTTGTTTAAGGGATCAAGCAATGATTTTGGGAAAGAATGATTACCACCAATGTGGTATAACAGAACTGTTTCTTTTGTTCCCAGAGCAACGTTCATACATATTCCCACAAATACATTTATGTTCTCATCCAGTGAATCACTGCCAGGAACAGGGAGCACATATACTACTGCTGATGAAAAATGGCTGAGGAGGTGAATAAAGCAATTTACAATATATCAAGCTAAGAGTAATGGTAATGTATTTTTATAAGAAGATACTATTTATATTTAACATCAAATATAGATTTAAATTTTTGATTTCTCTATTCCATGAGGCATAAACATCCCCATACTGACCATTGTGGAATATGATTAAGAACCATGACAGTTTTTGAAAGAGAAGTATTACGTCTACTGAGATAATTCTCTCTAACTATAAAAGCATCAGCTGATTTGGAGTACAATTTATAGACCAAATCAAATACTGCACCTTAGGACTTTATGTGTAAAATGTACCACAGTTCTCTTACCCAATTAATTACCAACCTAAATATCTCTCAGATTTGTCACATTTTACCATATCTTCTGTTCCAATTGCAGTTTAAATTATCATCCTTGCTACAATAGCCTCTTAATTGATACCCTTGCAGCCATTATTGTCTCCTTCCAATCCATTTTCCACACTGTAGCTTGACAGAGATTTTTAAAATGATAATTGAATCTTGCCACTGTCCTGGTGGAAACCATTCATTTCCACCATTTAAAAGCCTCCCTTATAGTCATCATGGGAGGAGGTTCCAAGATGGCTGAATAGGAACAGCGCCATTCTACAGCTCCCAGCGTGAGGAGTGCAGAAGATGGGTGATTTCTGCATTTCCAATTGAGGTACCCGGTTCATCTCACTGGGGCTTGTCGGACAGTGGGTGCAGCCCACGGAGCATGAGCCAAAGCAGGGCGGGACATCGCCTCACCTGGGAAGTGCAAGGGGTTGGGGAATTCCCTTTCCTAGTCAAGAGAAGCCGTGAGAGACGGTACCTGGAAAATCGGGACACTCCCACACTAATACTGTGCTTTTCCAACTGTCTTAGCAAAGGGCACACCAGGAGATAATATCTGGTGCCTGGCTCGGAGGGTTCCATGCCCACGGGGCTTCACTCTCTGCTAGCACAGCAGTCTGAGTTCGAACCACAAGGTGGCAGTGAGGCTGGGGGAGGGGTGTCCGCAATTGCTGAGGCTTGAGTGGGTAAACAAAGCGGCCTAGAAGCTCGAAATGGGTGGAGCCCACCGCAGCTCAAGGAGGCCTGCCTGCCTCTGTAGACTCCACCTCTAGGGTCAGGGCATAGCTGAAAAAAAGGCAGCAGAAACTTCTGCAGACTTAAACGTCCCTATCTGACAGCTTTGAAGAGAGTAGTGGTTCTCCCAGCACGGAGTTTGAGATCTGAGAACGGACAGAATGCCTCCTCAAGTGGGTCCCTGAGACCCAAGTAGCCTAACTGGGAGATACCTCCCAGTAGGGGCCGACTGACACCTCACACAGCCAGGTACCCCTCTGAGACAAAGCTTTCAGAGGAAGGATCAGGCAGCAACATTTGCCATTCTGCAATATTTGCTGTTCTGCAGCCTCCGCTGGTGATACACAGGCAAACAGGGTCTGGAGTGGACCTCCAGCAAACTCCAACAGACCTGCAGCTCAGGGTCCTGACTGTTAGAAGGAAAACTAACAAACAGAAAGGACATCCACACCAAAACCCCATGTGTACGTCACCATCATCAAAGACCAAAGATAGATAAAACCACAAAGATGGGGAGAAACCAGAGCAGAAAAGCTGAAAATTCTAAAAATCAGAGTGCCTCTTCTCCTACAAAGGAACCTAGCTCCTCGCCAGCAAGGGAACAAAGCTGGATGGAGAATGACTTTGACAAGTTGAGTGAAGAAGGCTTCAGAAGATCAGAATAACAAACTTCTCCAAGCTAAAGGAGGATGTTCGAACCCATCGCAAAGAAGCTAAAAACCTTGAAAAAAGATTAGACGAATCGCTAACTAGAATAATCAGTGTAGAGAAGAACTTAAATGACCTGATGGAGCTGAAAACCATGGCATGAGAACTACGTGATGCATGCACAAGCTTCAGTAGCCAATTCGATCAAGTGGAAGAAAGAATATCAGTGATTGAAGAACAAATGAATGAAATGAAGCCGGAAGAGACGTTTAGAGAAAAAAGAGTAAAAAGAAATGAACAAAGCCTCCAGGAAATATGGGACTATGTGAAAAGACCAAATCTACGTCTGCTTGGTGTACCTGAAAGTGATGAGGAGAATGGAACCAAGTTGGAAAACACTCTGCAGGATATTATCCAGGAGAACTTCCCAAACCTAGCAAGGCAGGCCAACATTCAAATTCAGGAAATACAGAGACAACCACAAAGATACTCCTCAAGAAGAGCAACTCCAAGACACATAATTGTCAGATTCACCAAAGTTGAAATGAAGGAAAAAATGTTAAGAGCAGCCAGAGAGAAAGGTCAGGTTACCCACAAAGGGAAGCCCATCAGACTAACAACAGATCTCTTGGCAGAAACTCTACAAGCCAGAAGAGAATGGGGGCCAATTCAACATTCTTAAAGACAAGAATTTTCAACCCAGAATTTCATATCCAGCCAAACTAAGCTTCAGAAGTGAAGGAGAAATAAAATCCTTTACAGACAAGCAAATGCTGAGAGACTTTGTCACCACCAGGCCTGCCTTACAAGAGCTCCTGAAGGAAGCATTAAACATGGAAAGGAACAACCAGTAACAGCCACTGCAAAAACATGCCAAATTGTAAACACCATTGATGCTAGGAAGAAACTGCACCAACTAATGGGCGAAATAACCAGCTAACATCAAAATGACAGGATCAAATTCACACATAATAATATTAACCTTAAATGTAAATGGACTAAATGCTCCAATTAAAAGACACAGACTGGCAAATTGGATAAAGAGTCAAGACCCATCAGTGTGCTGTATTCAGGAGACCCATCTCACCTGCAGAGACACACATAGGCTCAAACTAAAGGGATGGAGGAAGATCTACCAAGCAAATGGAAAAAAAAAAACAAGCAGGGGTTGCAATCCTAGTCTCTAACAAAACAGACTTTAAACCAACAAAGATGAAAAGAGACAAAGAAGGCCATTACATAATGGTAAAGGGATCAATTCAACAAGAAGAGCTAACTATCCTAAATATATATGCACCCAATACAGGAGCACCCAGATTCATAAAGCAAGCCCTTAGAGACCTACAAAGAGACTTAGACTCCCACACGATAATAATGGGAGACTTTAACACTCCACTGGCAACATTAGACAGATCAATGAGACAGAAAGTTAACAATGATATCCAGGAATTGAACTCAGCTCTGCAGCAGGTGGACCTAATAGACATCTACAGAACTCTCCACCCCAAATCAACAGAAGATACATTCTTCTCAGCACCACATCGCACTTATTCCAAAACTGACCACATAGTCGGAAGTAAAGCACTCCTTTGCAAATGTAAAAGAATAGAAATTATAATAAACTGTCTCTCAGACCACAGTGCAATCAAACAAGAACTGAGGATTAAGAAACTCATTCAAAAACCGCTCAAATGCATGGAAACTGAACAACCTGCTCCTGAATGACTACTGGGCACATAACCAAATGAAGGCAGAAAAAAAGATGTTCTTTGAAACCAATAAGAACAAAGACACAACATACCAGAATCTCTGGGACATATTTAAAGCAGTGTGTAGAGGGAAATTTATAGCACTAAATGCCCACAGGAGAAAGCAGGAAAGATCTAAAATTGACACCCTAACATCACAATTAAAAGAACTAGACAAGCAAGAGCAAACACATTCAAAGGCTAGCAGAAGGCAAGAAGTAACTAAGATCAGAGCAGAACTGAAGGAGATAGAGACACAAAAAACCCTTCAAAAAATCAGTGAATCCAGGAGCTGGTTTTTTGAAAAGATCAACAAAATTGATAGACCACTAGCAAGACTAATAAAGAAGAAAAGAGAGAAGAATCAAATAGATGCAATAAAAAATGATAAAGGGGATATCACCACTGATCCCACAGAAATATAAACTACCACCAGAGAATACTATAAACACCTCTATGCAAATAAACTAGAAAATCTAGAAGAAATGGATAAATTCCCGGACACATACACTCTCCCAAGACTAAACCAGGACGAAGTTGAATCCCTTAATAGACCAATAACAGGCTCTGAAATTGAGGCAATAATTAATAGCCTAGCAACCAAAAAAAGTCCAGGACCAGATGGATTCACAGCCGAATTCTACCGGAGGTACAAAGAGGAGCGGGTACCATTCCTTCTGAAACCATTCCAATCAAGAGAAAAAGAGGAAATCCTCCCTAACTCATTTTATGCGGCCAGCATTGTCCTGATATCAAAGCCTGGCAGTGAGACAACCAAATAAGAGAATTTTAGACCAATATCCCTGATGAACATCGATGCAAAAATCCTCAATAAAATACTGGCAAAACAAATCCAGCAGGACATCAAAAAGCTTATCCACCACGATCAAGTTGGCTTCATCCCTGGGATGCAAGGCTGGTTCACATACGCAAATCAATAAACATAATCCATCATATAAACAGAACCAAAGACAAAAACCACATGATTATCTCAGTAGATGCAGAAAAGGCCTTTGACAAAATTCAACAATGCTTCATGCTAAAAACTCCCAATAAACTAGGTAGTGATGGGACGTGTCTGAAAATAATGCAAGCTATCTATGACAAACCCACAGCCAATATCATACTGAATTGGCAAAACTGGAAGCATTCACTTTGAAAACTGGCACAAGACAGAGATGCCCTCTTTCACCACTCCTATTCAACATAGTGTTGGAAATTCTGGCCAGGGCAATCAGGCAAGAGAAAGAAATAAAGTGTATTGAATTAGGAAAAGAGGAAGTCAAATTGTCCCTGTTTGCAGATGACATGACTGTACATTTAGAAATCCCCATCATCTCAGCCCAAAATCTCCTTAAGCTGATAAGCAACTTCAGCAAAGTCTCAGGATACAAAATCAGTGTGCAAAAAATCACAAGCATTCTTATACACCAATAACAGACAAACAGAGAGCCAAATCATGAGTGAACTCCCATTCACAATTGCTTCAAAGAGAATAAAATACCTAGGAATCCAATTTACAAGAGATGGGAAGGACCTCTTCAAGGAGAACTACAAACCACTGCTCAATGAAATAAAAGAGGATACAAACAAATGGAAGAACATTCCACGCTCATGGGTAGGAAGAATCAATATCGTGAAAATGGCCATACTGCCCAAGGCAATTTATAGATTCAACGCCATCCCCATCAAGCTACCAATGACTTCCTTCACAGAATTGGAAAAAACTACCTTAAAGTTCACATGGAAGCAAAAAAGAGCCCACATTGCCAAGTCAATCCTAAGCCAAAAGAACAAAGCTAGAGGCATCACGCTACTTGACTTCAAACTATACTACAAGGCTACAGTAACCAAAACAGCATGGTACTGGTACAAAAACAGAGAGATAGGCCAATGGAACAGAACAGAGCCCTCAGAAATAATACCACACATCGACAACAATCTGATCTTTGACAAACCTGACAAACACAAGAAATGGGGAAAGGATTTCCTATTTAATAAGTGGTGCTGGGAAAACTGGCTAGCCATATGTAGAAAGCTGAAACTGGATCCCTTCCTTACACGCTATACAAAAATTAATTCAAGGTGGATTAAAGACTTAAATGTTAGACCTAAAACCATAAAACCCTAGAAGAAAACCTAGGCAATACCATTCAGGATATAGGCATGGGTAAGGGCTTTATGACTAAAACACCAAAAGCAATGGCAACAAAAGCCAAAATTGACAAATGGGATCTAATTAAACTAAAGAGTTTCTGCACAGCAAAAGAAACTACCATCAGAGTGAACAGGCAACCTACAGAATGGGATAAAGTTTTTACAATGTACGCATCTGACAAAGGGCTAATATCCAGAATCTACAAAGAACTTAAATTTACAAGAAAAAAACAAACAACCCCATCAAAAAGTGAACGAAGGATATGAACAGACACTTCTCAAAAGAAGACATTTATGGAGCCAATAGACACAGGAAAACATGCTCATCATCACTGGCCGTCAGAGAAATGCAAATCAAAACCACAATGAGATACCATCTCACACCATTTAGAATGGCAATCATTAAAAAATCAGGAAACAACAGGTGCTGGAGAGGATGTGGAGTAATAGGAAAACTTTTACACTGTTGGTGGGACTGTAAACTAGTTCAACCATTGTGGAAGACAGTGTGGCGATTCTTCAAGGATCTAGAACTAGAAATACCTTTTGACCCAGCCATCCCATTACTGGGTGTTTACCAAAAGGATTATAAATCATGCTGCTATAAAGACACATGCACACGTGTGTTTATTGTGGCACTATTTACAATAGCAAAGACTTGGAACCAACCCAAATGTCCAACAATGATAGACTGGATTAAGAAAATGTGGCACATATACAACATGGAATACTATGCAGCCATAAAAATGGATGAGTTCATGTCCTTTGTAGGGACATGGATGAAGCTGGAAACCATTCTGAGCAAACTATTGCAAGGACAGAAAACCAAACACTGCATGTTCTCACTCATAGGTGGGAATTGAACAATGAGAACACATAGACACAGGATGGAGAACATCACACACCGGGGCCACACACCGGGGCCTGTTGTGGGGTGGGGGGAGGAGGGACGGATAGCATTAGGAAATATACCTAATGTAAATGATGAGTTAATGGGTGCAGCACACTAACATGGCACATGTATACATATGTAACAAACCTGCACGTTGTGCACATGTACCCTAGAACTTAAAGTGTAATAAAAATAAAATTGAAAAAATAATAGTCATCATGACTGGTGTAAGATGTTTCTCATTGTAGTTTTAATTTTCCCAATGTGATTTAGAGTCCAACCAAGAGCAACAGTGAAGTGCTCTTTAGACGTCAGATTATGATTTCTTTCTTCACCACACAACAAAAAAGAAAGAGAAAGAAAGTCATCTCTCAGTCGACTCTTGGCTCTTAGTTCCTGCTGACGTTGGAGACCCTCATGGGATATTCCAAGTGTTAGATAGGGTGGGAAGAAGGGAAGAGGGAAAGCTTGAAACACAACTCTCTTTATTTTTCTTCTTATTCAAGTAGTATCTTTTTACCTTTGGAATTCGGAAAGCAGTGATGAGGGTAAAAAAAAAACTGCCCCAAAACTTATCATTCAGAGATAATCACCTTATATTTTAGTGTAGTTTAATCTTTGTTTTTTAAAAACATTACAAAGTATATATTTTTTGCTTTGTCTATAGGGATTCTTGTTGTTGTTGTAATTGCAAAAGCAACGCATGTTCACTGTTGAAAGGGTTGGAAATAATCAATAAGAAAAAGAAATGAGAATGAAAATTGCCCTCAGGCTCACCAAATAAACACCAAACAGTGTTGACATTAAAAAAAAAAAAAAAAAGAAAAAGCCTCTCCTGATTCTCCCATCTTGCTCACCTGGTTTTTGCACGCAAACTACACTGCCCTTTTTCCTCCTCAAAATCTCTTTCTTTCTGCCTCCCACAGAGCATTTGCACATTCTTGTTCCCTCAGCCCCATGGAAGTTTGTTTTCTTCATCTCCAGTGGCTTCATTTTCTCTCTTCAGATTTCAACTCAAATGTTTTCTCCTCTCCAAACTAGGCGAACCCCTTATGGGCACCTGTCACTGCTCTGCATTACTATTTCCTCACTGCCTTTCTCCCCAACAAGATAGTGAGCTCTGGGTGTTCAGAAACCACATATAATATGTTTTTGTCCAGTTGCCAGCTCAGCTTGGCATATGCTGTTTGTTGAACATACAAAAGAATGTATGTAAATTTGTTAATAGAATGGAGATAAGATGATTGCAGCTGATGATGCTATGATCTGTGACTAATTATGGGAAATAACTTCAAAGGGACATCAAGGGCAGAAGTTCTGTTGAAATATAAATGAAAGGGCTGATTTTTCAGACAAGGTAATTGAGGCTCATAAGAGTTAAGAAATTAGCACATGAAATCACAGCCGCTGACAGAGCCAGAATTTCAACCTAGGTCTGCCTGATAGCACCACTATGCCCAAGAGCAGTTACATTTATAAAGCCTTTAAATAATCATAAATGCTGCATACTCTATCCTTTGGAAAATTCATGAGGACCATTATGAATATTAAAGACAGACAATTCCTGAAGTAAGGAAACCTGCTTAAGTTAATGTTAATATCCTTTTCATTTGGCAAATTCCCTGAATGGAATTCACCTTGGCAAGTGTGGCTGTCATTTCTTCATTTATTCCTTTGTCCTTAGTTTGCTTTTTCTGTCCTTACTACATTGATTATAATTCCATTGCTAAATAATTCCGATTATAATTCCATTGCTAAATAATTCTTTCCAAAGAAGACATTTGCCAAATACTTCCACCTAGCTGGAAGGAGAAGACAAAACTCCCCTCTGTTCAAGATAAAACATTGTCTTTTAAAGTTAATCTGTCATAACTTAGGGTCAAGTGTCCAAAGACATGGACCTTGTTTAACCTTTCTGTCTCAGCTATACTTACTGCCATGAAATTATGCTCTGTCCCTCCCATATCATTTAGGCTACCAAATTGCACTTGATGAAGGGCCACCAAAGACCTGGAATGGCAGTCAAAATTGGAACATTGCAACTATTTTTCATGGGTAAAGAGAAACATTTGGTCAAACTTGAGTCCAGTTACCAATGATAAAACATACCAGTGTAACCTTTAATAATTGCTAAAGAACAAGACTTAAGTATAAATAATACTACATCTATTTTATTTTTAGCTTATTTCATTTAAAAATTAATTCTTGCTAAACAGTTCTCAGTGCTAGGGAAATTTGCCAAGGCTCATTTCTTTAAAATGGAACATAAGTCTTGCTGGACATGTATATACTGTACTTCTCCAGATTTCTCATAAGTTTAAATATATGGGTTTTATGTCTAGGTAGAGAATTTTACCGTGCCTTATTCTATACCAGGTATATTTATATCTATATCAATACAGGTATATTGAGAAAATCTATGCGTATCTACAAACTGACAGGAGGTGCTGTGAAGGATTTTTAGCTTAAATATAAGCACAGATTCTTGAAAGCCCCACAACAATGTGATATTGAGTCTGTAGTAATTCAGAGTGATATGTGTAGTTCTTTTCTGAGTAAAAGATTTTAAGTGTTTTGTTGAAAATTTTTAAGTGCGTACAAAAGAATAAGGAGGAATCTAGTCTAAATTCAGCATTTTTAAAATTAGCTGCTAAAAATTAAAAAATAAAATTTTTGACATGTCTGACTACAGAATGTATTTATTTAACAAACAGGTGTTAAGAACAGAGAAGGAGGATTAGACAGTATCTGTGCTTTCCAGAAGCTCACCTATGTGGAAGAGATAAATAGACAGTTGTGCATATACAATATCAGTTGTGCTGTGGTTAGGCACCACAGCAAGGGAAACAGGTGCTTTGTAAAGGGACATTTGCCTTATACAAGATCAGGGACTCAGGCTGGGCTTCCGAGAGGAAGTGACACTTACTTAAGCTATGACTTCTGTGTCTCCCAGTTTTGTATGGTGAAGAAATTGACACAGGAGGGCCTGTGTTACCTTCAGTTAACTGAAAAAAGAATATGCAGTTGTTTTGTAACAAATGGTCCTTTTGTGGCAGGATGTTTTGGCTGTGGACAGAAAAGAAGATGGGCCCGGCGCCATGGCTCACGCCTGTAATCCCAGCACTTTGGGAGGCCAAGGCGGGTGGATCACAAGGTCAGGAGATCAAGACCATCGTGGCTAACACGGTGAAACCCCATCTCTACTAAAACTACAATAAATTAGCCAGGTGTGGTGGCACGTGCCTGTAATCCCAGCTACTCAGGAGGCTGAGGCAGGAGAATCGCTTGAACCCGGGAGGCGGAGGTTGCAGTGAGCTGAGATCGCGCCACTGCACTCCAGCCTGAGCAACAAAGTGAGATTCTGTCTCAAAAAAAAAAAAAAAAAAAAAAGAAAGAAAGAAAAGAAGAAGATGGTGCTGTGTTTTTCTGGCTCTAGTTTGCTTTTGTGTGATTTCTTTGTTTTTTAATGCTTTTTACTATGAACCCATACAAAGCTACATGATGATTATCTCTGCCCGGCTTAGTATCTGATTTTGAACAAGATATTTTTAGAAGTTTAGCTGATGTGTGTATTTCATGGGGAGGGTGTGTAAAGTAGTGCATAATCCAGGCTTTGTTGCAGTACTGCCTGACCATGAGCCCTTCTGTGAGACCTGCTCTTCTACCCAAAGGGCTGGTATCTAAGTCAGGTTTGCCCAGTGTGACCCCCCGAAACTGAAATATTCACAATTCATTTTTTGTAGGACGCTGACAGTAGAAGCCTGTGGCCTAACGTATACAGATGTATTTTAAAAATCAAGAAATTTCAATGAAAATCTGGATTTCTATTATTACATATCCAAAGTGGAGAGGCAGCATGAGTTCTCTTTGTTGTAAGACCCTTTTCTTCCAGCTTCTGGTTTTACACCTGGTCAGCATCATACTTTTAATTACCTGCCTGGCCCCTGTAGTTGTTGGAATTGGTAACTCCTTATGTACAGCTGTGTCTGATTAAACCCGGTGTAGACAGATTTTGACCTTGGTTGGGTTAATTAGATTCTTTTTCCCCTCTGGGCATTTTGAAATTGTCTTCAGGGCACTACTTGGTTTAAACTTAAATCACAAGAGATACAAATATTTGGTCATGTCGATGCCAAAGCAGAAAAAGCACAGCTAAAGGTAGGGACAATAAAGTAAAGGTTCCAGAAAGAAGTAGAGACACAAGAACCTGCAGCCCAAGAGAGAGAGAATGTTTCAACCTCGGATCTGAAAGGCTGCCTACACCCTGGCTCTGGTTCTTCATAAGGCCTGGCTGTACTTGCTATCCTATGTGCTGTAGGATACCTCTAATTCCTCATCCAGAATCCTTTTACTTGAACACTTCAGGTTGGGTTTTGTTTTTTATAACTAAATGGATCTTAACTAAGAGGCTTACATATGGGTTTTGTGATGTTTTTGTTTCAGTAGGGAAATGTAACTTTAGGTTTACAACAATTTTTCATTAATACTCTATTTGGATTAGAACAAAATCTTGTAATCATTAAATAGGGTACATGAGTTGACTGTTAGAAACCTTTGGACTATTCTAGTTGCATGAGGACAAAATCTTGACCTCTGAGTTTCAGTCTTCCAAAAGTAGTTGTATCTATTCTTGAATTGCCATATTGAGATTCAACTGTGAAAAATTGACTCAGAATCAGCTAAAAAGTTTCCTTCCTTCTTAACCTTGATGTTTTGAGAAAAGTAGTATATAACATGTTGTATTTATAAAATAATATGCTTGGAGTATAATAAACTAAACACCCATGAACCACCATCTACCTTAAGAACTGTAACATTACCATCTACTGAAGTGTTTTTGTACCTAACTCATCTCCTGCCTATTGTTTCCAACAGTAACCATTATACTGAATGAATGGATGTACTGGATGAAGTATCCATTCATGTTTTCCTTGCTTTTCTTTTATCATTTTGAAATAAATTTGTCACATGTATATATGTGTGTGTGTGTATATATATATATATATATATATATATATATATATATGTATATATATGCCTAAGCAGATACATTTTAGTTTTTAAGTATTATAAAATGGTTTTATAATGGTTTAATCTCTGGAAAGAATTATTGTATGTCAGTGCTTCCTAACTTCTTCCATCATGGCATACATAGAACTTGAAAATATTCTAGAACCTCCTGATATAAATGCTCTGGCTTGACACAAGACTTTGGCTACTCCAGGTACTATTCACCCCAGAACTAAGGGGATTGGGAACACTTGTAACCCACTTACTGAGGCACACTACTTGGAAAGCACTGCTGTATGTAGTCTTCTCCATGTGCTATTTCCACTTGGATTTCTGTTTCTAAGATTTATTCCTGTGGTTGCATGTGGCCGTAGTTCCTTCCTTTTCACTGCTATATAATATTCCTATGTGAACATATAAGCATTTTCATCTTCTCCTGTTTAGCTTTCCTGCTTGCTTTTCATTTACATTAAGGGTCATTCTAGCCTACCATGAAGTATGGAAAACTACTAGATTTGACTTAACGTTTTCTTAGGATTCAGAGATGTGACTTTAAATTTTGAATTTAAAAACCTGTTTAGTTTTAGATTGAATCTTGGAGTATATGGTAACAATAAATAGAATTAATTTGATCAGTAAATAAGATACAACTTTCTCTGTTTATGTTATTAGGACAAGTCTGTTTGGTTGATGGTGTTTGCCTGGAGTACTATTGGAAAAGTATTTTGAGCCAAGTGAGGGCTCTGTGGTTAAGAATTCAGTAATCAGTTATGGATGTCTGCCTTGGGTATTCCTAATGGGAGTAAAGACATGCTTGCTTCATATTTGCCTTCCCTAATCTATCTGCCTCCCCTTCTATGATCATCTTGAAACTATCTTGATTATCTGGGTATTATCCAATTTGCAGCTAACCTCTTTTGGAAAATGAAATCCATGGTTAGATTCTGATAATTTGTTATTGTCTCTAACTACCTTCACCACAGTTGATGCTCTTCTCACATGTATCTAAAACATTCCATGCCTTCTGTACAGCATATTTTACTATCATTATTGAGCTCCAAACTGGAAAGTAAATAAAATGTCCTTTGGTATCCTCAGTTTCAGGGTTTGAACTCAGCTTTATGTACATAGATCTTGTCCCCTGTAATTTAAAATAACTAGAGTAGCAAAGCTTCTCTAAACTCTCCAGAGCCTATTAAACATTATTTTTAAGATAACATCTTTCCTTGTTCGTCATTTATGAATGTTTGGTCAGGAAATGGTCGTAAAAAGCTTCAAATCCCAATTGAATAATGTGTTCTTAAAAGTAGCTGCCAAGTGTAAATACCACTGATATACATTCATGCATATGATAGTATATAAATAACTGGGGAAAGCATAGCAAAGGTCAATCAATTATGTATAGGTCAGAATGCTTTCCATCTGGATTGAGTCATTTTAGCAAATGACATCATGTGTCCTTTGGAGTCTATTTTGAAATGTGGCTTGAGTCATTATAGATTGGCTTCTTCTCTGGGTTACCAGGATGGCAGTGGTGAGACTTAATAAATAAATGTACTGGACTCTGCAGGAGCAGATTTACATAATTAGGGTGCAGTGATGAAGGCTTCTCATTCTGCAGAAACCCTTTGGGCTCCATTAATTTCTAGTTGTTTATCCTTCGTGGTTGATTTTTGTTTTTAAAGGAACTGAAAACAAAAGAGTTTAAACTGAGCCAAATGCTCTTCATAGAACTATAATGGACATCTTTCCGTGACATTGAAAGACCAGCAGGGAATCAATAGTAATGAATCTGGCACCCTTCTCGTCTTCGTCTCTTCTAACTTCATCATTGCTCTTCTGGATGGGGCTACTTGGACACTTTAAGTTTGGTTTGTAATTTATATTTTGATCTGATGAGGAGTGGTCACACCAGATTGCCAGAGAGACCCTAGAGTCATTGGCGGGTTGGGATGTTGTATGAGATGGGAAGGGATGTTGGCATTTTTCAATTGGCACAACAGGAGCTAAATTTAGCTGATAGACCACGTGATAAAAGGAGCTGCCAAGTCCAGTCATTTCCGATTAGTCAGGGCTTGAGGAGGTAAATGTTACTTGACAGAATTTAATGTGTGATTTTTCCCTCCCTTCAGGATATTTTGGAAATGTTAAAAAGTTGACTTTTTTTTTTAAGTAGGATAGTTTGGAATGAAGGATTTCGGTCCAAATAGCTGTCATATTTTATAGACTTTTATAGTTGGAATCCAGTTCGAGCCTTGGAAGGAGGAAGGCTTGGACATTCTTAGCAAAGATGAAAGGAAATCGTCCTTGCGTTTAGGGAGCATATAGTTTAGTGGAAAGACAGACATGCAAACAGATTACGACAGTATAAAATGACAGTCACTCAAATAAGATATGTGTGAATCCAGACAACATTTATATTTTTGGCACTTATATTATCCTTTACTTGTTTGTTTGGGTTACGAATAACTATGGCTAAAAAACATGCCCCCACTTGTTCTTATTCTTAAGGCATATTGAGAGTGAACTTTCAGCTTTCAAGATGGATACTGTAGAGGAGGCAAAATTGTACACTCTTTTAGGGTTTTCTTTTCAGCTGGGCCTAAGACTTAAATGAATATAAGATAGATTAATGGGAGAAAAGCACACACATTTATTTAATATAAGTTTTATGTGACATGAGATACCTCATAAGGAAATGAAGACTCAAAGAAGTGGCAAAACCTAGATGGTTTTATATTAGGTTGAACAAAGAGAGGCAGTTGTGGAAAAGTAACTCAACTGTGTGGAAAGGCTAAAGGAAGATAAGAATTATTTTAACAAGATCTGTTTGTACAGACTTTTCCTAGTCTCATTTTCCCATCCTTGATGATAAGAATGAGACTTTCCTTCTGGTATAGCTGGACGTCTTCTATATGGGGGTTTTGTTTCATGTTTTCAGGAAGAAAAAGGGGAGGGTTAGAGAACACTTCTTGCACCTGCTGGGTTTTGTTTTGTATTTTAATGTGCCTTTAGCTCCACATAATCCTTAGGCTAAAGTGGCATATTTCGGGCTGGCATATTCTCCCACTCTTCACTACCCTATGTTTTGGCCATTCAGAGGCAATGTGGCTGCCCTTCTCCTGGAATAGTACTGAGATTCTGCATATGATCCAAAGCCCTAACTCCATTTCAATGAAACTCCATGGATTCCTAGGGACTATTCTTTGATTGTGACTACACAGACACCAGAACAAACGGTTAAAAGATGAATAAATAGGCCAAGTTGTCACTGACTTGTCAAGTTGCCTGTGGTATCCAACAGCTGATTGCACTGCTATGTTTTCTTTCCCCACTATAGTGGTTGGCCGAGATTACAATCTGTGGTCAGTGGATTGATCGACTGATTCGGTGTGGTATAGATAGATAAAAAGTGGAATCTCTTTTTTTTTTTTGGGGGGGGGGTGGGGAGGACGGAGTTTTGCTCTTGTCTCCCAGGCTGGAGTGCAATGGCATGATCTCAGCTCACCAACCTCTGCCTCCCAGGTTTAAGCAATTCTCCTGCCTCAGCCTCCCGAGTAGCTGGGATTACAGGTGCCCGCCACCATGCCCAGCTAATTTTTGTATTTTTAGTAGAGATGGGGTTTCACCATGTTAACCAGGCTGGTCTTGAACTCCTGACCTCAGGTGATCCACTCGCCTTGGCCTCCCAAAGTGCTGGGACTCCAGGCATCAGCCACTGCACCCAGCCAAAAAGTGGAATCCTTTCTGCCCCACTCAAAGAGACCTTTCCCTTTATTTAGGGAAAACAATCCTGCTATAACTATAAATACTAGTTAATGAAGAACAAGGTCTGTCTCTGATGTTTTTTGACCCCCATCTAGATCATTCTCCTTAAATACTCTCACCAGAGTTTTTCTTACATCTTTTAGCCAGATATTAATGCTTAACCCATTTCCCGTTTGCTCCGAGAGCGTTGTGCTGGTAGCAAGCTGCACTTCTTTCTTCTAAATGGTAAGTGGGTTAAGCATATGATAGGGTGATGAAGGTCGTTAGGTGTCAAGAGACCTGCATTCCAGTCCTGGCTTCACCATTAACCAGCTGAGCAATGTTAGGCAGTGTGTTTTACCCTGCTAGGTTTTTCCTCTTCGTTTGCTTGTTACGGTTCCTTTTGGTCATGGGCTGCCTTATTGTTTGGATACTTGGTGCCTTAAGTAGCACCTGACACCATAGTAGATCTTAAGTGTTCCATGACTCGAAAAACAGTAATACTAATAGCTGTAAACAGTTTCTGTTGAAGGGAATGAAAATATTAATAATGTTAAGCAGCTCTAAGAATTTTATTATTGGCATGTCTTCTTTGCCTGTGCTTTTGTTCCTTGGATGATTTGAGACTCCAACTCACAGCCTCTAGATTTCTCTTGAAGAATACAAAAGACCCTTTTTCTTGTATCCAGTATTTTTTTCTTATGATAAAACAGTACATACTATGGTAGAAAATATAAAAGCCACAGATAAGCAAAAAACAAAAACAGAATCTCCTGTGTATCAGGAATGTGTTCAGCTGCAAAATAAAGAAAATCCAACCAATAGTGACTTTCTCCAAGTCTTTAGAGGATAATCTAGAGCTGATGTTTTGGCATTTCTCTTCTACTGTTCTTAGCGTGTTATTTTTTTGTCTTCATGGTCACAATGAAGCTGCTGTTCCTCCAGACGTTATGTTTAGATTGGAAAGATAAAGGATAAATACAAAAAGAGACCTGTTAGATAAATCCGCTCCTTTTAATCAGACAAGAAGAAAAGCCCTACCTAGGCCGGGCATGGTGGCTCACGCCTGTAATCTCAGCACTTTGGAAGGCCGAGGCGGGTGGATCACTTGAGGTCAGGAGTTCGAGACCAGCCTGGCCAACATGGTGAAACCCCATCTGTACTAAAAATAAAAAAAAAAAAATTAGCCAGGTGTGGTGGTGCGTGCCTGTAATCCCAGCTACTTGGGAGACTGAGGCAGGAGAATCACTTGAACCCAGGAGGCGGAGGTTGCAATGAGCCAAGATCGTGCCACTGCAGTCCAGCCTGGGCGACAGAGTCAGACTCCATCTCCACTCCAGCCTGGGTGACAAAGCAAGACTCCGTCTCAAAAAAAAAAAAAGAAAAAAAAGCCCTACCTAGCAGCCTTCTTCTTTAATATTTTATTTTATAGAACAATTCCCAAGTGCAAGGAATGCTGGAGAGAAGAGGTTATGAATGGAAGATGGCTGACCAATGAATGTTTGTCAAACCAATGGTATACAAAGATAACAGCTCTCAATAAATATGATATTACAGTATCTACTGTTTTGCAATGTGTTTCCCCCCTTAATAGTACCACAAATCTTTTTTTGTTATTAAATATTCCACCACTTAATTTTCAATGTCTGCATAGTGTAGTCATGCCTCACTTAATGAAAACTGTGTCATTAGACAATTTCATACTCTTGTGAGCATCACTTTACTGAATACTATAGGCAACTGTAACACAAAGGTAAGTAGTTGCATATCTAAACATAGAAAAGGTAATGCATGCACAATGACTTTATGACAACTACAACGTCACTAAGCAGTAGGAATTTTTTAGCTCCATTATAATCTTATGGGATCGATATCATATATGTGGTCTGTCATTGATCAAAACTTCATTATGTGATGCATGACTGTATTCCACTTTATGGCTATACCATAATTAATTTGAACAGTCTTCTTTTGCTTGGAAATTTAAGATTTCCAAGTTTTACTATTATAAATGATGCAGTGATGAACATCCCTGTAGATAGCTTTTTTTCCAAACTCTTTTGACCTTTTCTTTCATTTTAATTCTGCTTTTTTTAAAAAAGAAATCTGCAAATAACAACGACGTAAATAAATAAGCAGATATTTAGGTACCCACTTTAACCAGAGACCGGGAAGAGGAATTTTTAATAACTGATAACTTACATTATATCTGCAAGATGCAAAATATCTTATTGATTGGGCAAAGCCGGAGAAACAATTAGTAAATTCAGCGACAGGATAGGGAGGAGGGAAGTGACCCGCTTTCTGATTAAATCAATTTAATCAGTTTAGTTAAAATAGATTAATGTCTTTTTCAGGTCTGGTTAAGGGGATCTAGAAGTTTGCAGATATGTTCATTTTCAGAATCCCTCATGCCTAAAAATATACTTTCCCTTGGCGTTGTGTTTCTTTTTGTACAAAGGTTGTCAAATGGGAGTGGGAAGGTGGTACATCTCATAGCTCATCTGTCAGAAAGTATTGCAGGCATAGCAAGGTTGAAAGGCTGGCATCCACGCTAGCTAAAAGCAGAGATTGCAAAGAAGTTTGGCCTCCAGGAGAGTAAAAGGGGAAATGCTGTCACATGCTCCCCTCCTGCCACCATTGGTGTGGTATTTGGTAGGGGGATTACTGACCCCTTCCTTCGCTTGAGAATAGTGGGTCAGCAAGGCAAGAATAGGGCAGAGAGTTCCGGAACTTGCTAAGAACATTACCTCTTGTAATAGGGCTTTAAGTGTCAACGCTTTTTCTACTGTATGCTAGGAGTACTAATTGAGAAGCTGGCCCCTACGCTTCAACTATATACAACTATAAGTTTTTTTTTTTAATGTTGCAAAGTAAGGTTAATTTTTATGGGGAATATTTTATGCCCTGCTTTCTGTTATGTGCCAGACAAATTGAGGGCGATGGAAAACTGATGGGTGATGAAGACAAAAGAGCGGTGTTGACCTTTTGGTAAATCATTCATCATACTGCTTCATCTGTAAGTGGTTTTCAGGTTGCAGCTCATATTTGCTAATCACTACACTTGACTCTCATTTCTGCAGGGGCTGATTGTTTTGTTGTGGATTGCCTTTTCTCTTTTAAAAAAATTTTGGTTATTGTTATAGCTGTTTCATTACTAATACTTCCTCCACCAGAGGGGGCTTGTGAATAGAGTTGGGAATTAATAATTCAGTTTCTGCTGCTCTTCATTCTCCTTAGTAGCTGAGATGGACTTTAAGCAATCCATTCACCTACTCTGTTTTGAGTCTTCTTGTCCCCAGTGGAATTCAATTACAAGATGGCTGTCTTTGACAGTGGCCACAGTCTGGAATAGTTAACTAGTGTTAATGGTCTAGCACCAGGATATTTTTAGTTTTCATGTTGATCAAAGTCCCATTAGGGAAAACTAAAGGGGAAAGCAAGAATAACTTCTTAGTTCAACCCTGGGTCACATACTAGAAATTATGAAATTCATTATAGTAGAAGCATAAATCTGTAGGGACCCAAAATGGATCCAAGGCTGGCATCTGGCAGAATCCACCTTACCAACATTGTAGTTACCTATGGGCTGTTAGGTCCTTTGGGCCTTCTGCCTGACTTGCCAGTGCTTAGAGTTCAGAAGCAAGGTTAATATATAAGACCCCCTTAGGGATGAATGGGCCTGTAAGACCTGCAGGCTAGGAAGGACACCTAGCACCTGGTCTAAGTGAGGACAATTAAGGAAAAGATTTTGCCTCAAGGATGCAGAGAAATTGACTGGAGAATCCACTAGGGAATCTGAGCAATTATAGTGTTGTGCTGAGTAACCCTACAGAGGCTTTATCTTAATTATATATTTTAGGGTTTATTAAACTAGGAACTCTGTCCCCTCTATGGGCTAAAGAGTATTTTGATATTTTGATTGAAATAAAATGGGAACTAGAGACACTAAGAAACAGAAACTAACCAGAAATGCTTTACTTTTCCTTTATTTCCAATCAAATGCAATGTCAAGAAATATCTAGATGTTATCTGGACTTCGCCTATCCCCTGCCTGAAGTTGGAATTCTTCTGTTGAGTAAATAGTCCTTGGGTCCCAGACTGGCATTGTTCACTAGGTTGGTGGGTGCAGATGGACAGTTGTTGCTTGTAACTTTGCAGCCAAACTTCTGAAGACATGATCACAAGACCATTCTGGATGTCTGTGTGTGTGGTTGGGTGGGCATGTGGGTACAGGTTATGACCTTTTCAAAAATAATTTTGTTAAGCCGCAAATTGTAGACTTGTGAATGCAACCAATTAGAATACTTTTACTTCATTTGGGATACCAAAGAACAAATTTCTTTATATTTTTAATAGAAATGCAAACAGCAAGAAATATGATTTCCAAATGACAACAAAATCTTTTAACAGGGAATTTTCAAATGTTACATTTTCCTTTGTTAGATATAGATAGCCAGTCTTTGGAGGGAAGGGACACTTAGATCTTAGAAAACACGCGATAGTCATAGTCTATTAATACCAGATGCTTCTTAGGAGAAGAAATAATTCTTACATGATGGTGATATTTTAAATATTTGAGGGTTTTTTTTAAGGGTCTTCCACAACAATATGGTATAGAATTTAGTCTGAGAGGAGGCTGAAATAAATTAAAATGAATTTTTGGAATCCTGCTTATTGGAAATGCTGATGCTATTGTGCTATTAGATGCTCCTCACCTCTTCCTGCTACAAATGTACAAACTTCCCTAGACTCATACCTGCCCTTGCCCTTTTCCTCAAGACTCAGAGATTAAGAAGAATTTTGTCTTCTGAATGCTTCCTTCACCTTTTACTGTTCTGCCCCATCCAATTTGTTAGCCAGTAGCCACATCTGACTGTTTACATTTAAATTCGTTCAAATCAAAGTAAAAAATTCACATCCTCAGACACACTGGCCTCGTTTCAAGGGCTAAGAAGTACATGTGCCTATTGTCTATCTTATAGGATGGCGTAGATATCAACATTGCCATCATCACAGAAAGTTCTTTTGGATAGCTGCTTGATACTCTTGGCAAACTCTTAAGGAGGCTTCCCCATCACCCTCTCCAGGGGTGTCTGTTTTTTTCTCAGTGTCTGACAGTGGAGTTGGTGTCTTCTGGTATTGTTCATTGTCACTTCTAGACAGTTCCTTTTCTCTTCCTCCGCAGAGGCTTTTAAAGCACATGCCATAAAACTCTTCTACAGCCTACTCCTCTGTATTTATTGAAGACGTTCCCCCCAGCGCCCTGTCTTTATACTCATCATTCTCAGTAAAAACATCCACAGAGAATACTCATACCTGGTCTATCAGGTCCCTGAGTTTCTCACTTGCAAATATCTCTCCCTACCTCATAGTCATACCCCAGGCCAATGGTTCACAATCTAGGAAGTACCACTCTCCTAGGGAGTAATTGCAAATGTAAGGAGTGCTACTGGTATTTAGAGGGCAGAAGTTAAGGATGCTAAATGTCATTCAGTACATGAGACTGTTATGCACGATGAAGAATTGTTTTCCCCAAATGCCAATAGTGCCCTTGTTATGAAATGCCATGCTAACCTTCAAAGTATGTTTCACAGCATCCCACTCTCTGACCACCACTTCCTATCTTTTCAGGGCTGCTGCCTCAGGTGACATTAGCATCTCTACTCCAACAGTTCTTTGATCCTGTGGGGCCTCCAATCTGTTGACTTACAGGATTTATGTACAATCCGTCATCCTCCTGTATCCTCACTTTCCTCCTTGCTCAGCTCAGATGCTATGGTTCTTCTCTTCTTTACATGCACACTGAACTCCTTTGCTCATCTTTCTCTGTCATTCTTATCTGGCAAAACTATGACCCTCATTCAGCTTTCCACCTACTTTGGGCCTGAGTGTGGATGGATGGAGGACACACAACTATGCTGACTGCAGTGGATCCTCTGTTCTACACGGTGATCCTGCATTGTTTACCTAATACTTCTACTTTCTGAGAAAACTATTTTATATCTTCACCTGTACCTCAACTCTCCAATGGCCATCCCCAGCTCTCTCAATCAGTTGATTGTCTCACTTCTTATTTCACTGGAGAAAGAGAAACAATCAGAAGAAACTACCTTATTTTCTCTAGCAAATCTACAAGCCTACCTGTATCCATCCCCACAGTCCCCATCTCCCTTTCTGGTATTCTGCATGAACTGTATAAACCCTGTAATAGGGAGGCTGAGGCGGGTGGATCACTTGATGTCAGGAGTTTGAGACCAGCTTGGCCAACATGGCAAAACCCTGCCTCTACTAAATATACAAAAAATAAGCGGGGCATGGTGATGGATGCCTGTAATCCCAGCTACTCAGGTGGCTGAGGCTGGAGAATCACTCGAACCCAGGAGGCAGAGGTTGCAGTGAGCCAAGATTGTACCACTGCACTCCAGTGTGGGTGACAGAGCGAGACTCTATCAAAGCAAAACAAAAAACCTGTAGTAACTCCCCATCATCCTTAGAATTAAATTCAGGCTTTTTGCTATGACCTCAAGGCTCTTCAAGATTCAGCCCTCTTCTTTTTACCTAGTCTCATACCACTCTCCTTTCTCCCTGCAGTCTGTTGACATTGGTTTTCTTGCTGTTCTTCTCAACATCTTTGTATTTGCTCTTGCTTTTGTTTGGAAATCTTCTCCCCGAGATATTTGTATGCCTTTGCCTCCTGTTGCACTTAGGTGTCTGCTCAAATGTCATCTTCTCAGAGAATCCTCCCTTGATCATCTTGCCTACTGTAGCTTTCCTCCTCCCTCATCATCCTCCATCTCTTTGCCCTGCTTCGTTTTCCTTCACAAGACTTACGACTCCCTGATGTTGTATTATAAATTCATGTTCATCTTTTTATTGTCAGAATATAACTTCCGTGACACTGGAGAGTTGACTATCTTATGACTTCTGTATCCTTAGTGCCTAGAACAGTGTTTAACACTCACTGTTTATTGATGAAGTATTTAACATATATTTGATAAATTAATGTTTCATCAATAAAGTGTGCTGACTACTATGGCAAAGACTCTTAATTTGGCATGCCTCTACTACTCAGAGCCACATGATGACTCAATTTTCTCACCACTTTTCTCTATTTGAAAAATTGGGAAACTTCCTTTTGCACTGTCCCATAATATCATTTGGCTTTCATTTGATATAAACGCATCATTTACATGTTAATTCTGCCTTTGTTCTTTTCTCATTAGCCCATAACAATTAAAATAGACCATTACTCTGCCACACTATGAGTTTTTATGATGTCATATCAAAGTCTCCATTAATTAAATAACTTAATAAATTAAAGTCTTATTCCATGACACTATCTTTCCATTGCAAATTATCTTCAAGAAGAGCACAATAGCAGACATGGGACAATTTTAGCATTAGGACATGCCAACCTAGCAGCCAGATGTGCTCACTGACACACTGAAAGTTAAAAGCTGTCATTTAAAGTGATTGTTTGGTTCCAGTGATACTGAGAACAGAACAGAGTTGATGGAGGAAAAAAAAAAGACAAACTCAGGCACTGCTTTTGGAAAGCATAGCTCAATTATCAGGTTGTCATTTAGATTCTTCAGGACATTAATTGGAATAAAACCATAAAAACCTAAAGCATATTCTCATAGAATGTTTGGAGCTATGATACTGTGCCTTTGGGTTCAGTTTGAGAAACACTGAGCTGTAGGGTAAAGTTCAAATTTCTTAACTTATACTATGCGACCCTCATTTAACTGGAGGAAACATTGGATTGTTAGGTGGTAGGATGAAGGCAGGGAGAGAAAAGATACTAATTCAATTGTCAAGGTAACAGGTGAGAGACTGGGATAGGGAAGAAGAAAGGTAGAAGAGACAGAATGAGAGCTGTTCCCGATAGAAATTTTTAAAAATGAGGAGGTTGAAGAGGAAAGTACAGCAACATTGGAGGTAGATGACAAGTGGATTCACTTATTTTCATGTTATAGGTAAAGAAATAAGAGTAGTAGTGGATTAGCCATCTTAGTTGGGGATTTTCTGTGTTATATATATAAGTACTTATGAGCTTGAAGCTTTAAGAGAATATTATTTGCCAATGTGTCTAAATTATTTATTGAGAACAGCTAAATTATGAGTGTAAGATAGATACAGCAATGCTTGCTATGGTATGCAGTACTTGGTTCAGTGAGAGGCCATAATTACTGACTTTTAGGAAGCTGTAGATTAATTAGTTGAAATGAGGCCAAATAATCAGTAATCAAAGCCAATATACAAATGATTAAACCTATCTGTCTGCAGGCAAAGATTCTTAAGTTGGATAGAGAGAACAGCTATACTCTCTTTAACTGTTTACAAGGAACAACCCAATTAAGGATAATAGCATGGGAAGATTAAGAGAAAATAGATGAAATTGACATAATACATCATATAAATATCATTCAAATGAAAGCTGGTGACACTATTAATATCGGACAAAATATACTTTAAAAGCAAAAATATTATTACAGATAAAGAGTTATTATTTAATGATAAAAGAACAATTCACCAGGAAGAGTTAATCCTGAGCCTACATTACCTAGTAGCATCCTTTTAAAAATATAGAAAGTAAAAATTGACACAGTCACCAAGAAGTATTGAAAACCCATATAATCATAATCTGAGAGTTTTAACCATTTTTCTCTCAGACACTGATAAATCAAACAAGCTAAGAAGCTTAGAAAAGATAAAGAATATTTAAACCACATAACCGGTTAGCTTGGACAAATAGACATATATAGAACTTCAAACTCCACTAACAGATAATATACACACATAGAAAGTCTTAATGCTGATGAATAAAAATTATATTTACTAATTCTTTATTTCAGAGGAAAAAAGCAGGAGATTAGAAACTGATACTTTTCAAAACTTTATACATTTGGAAACTCAAAACTGTACCTGTCAATAATTTGTGAGTCAAAGAAAAATGATGATAGAAATTAGTACATACTTTAAGTCTTGTGGGACACAAAGAGGTATATAGAGGGAAATTTATAGACTCATAAATGTATACGTTAGAAACGGAAGGAGACATTGTTAGGGAATTAAGGATTCAATTAAAAAGGTATAAATAAAATAGCAGAGTAAACCCAAATACAGTAGAGGGAAGGAATAATACAAAAATATTACCAAAAATGAAATAGAATACAAAGAAACAGTAGAGAAGATCAACCGAGCAAAAAATGATTATTTTAAAGACTAAAACAGCACATTCTCACTTGTCAAACTTGATCAACTACAAAGAGAGAAGAACAAAGAGAGAGAGAGAGAGAGAAATACAAACAGTATTAGAAATGAAAAATGGGAGCTAAATATAGAGACAATTGAAAATAGAAGGTCAAAAGAATATACCATGAATAACTTCTTTATGGCCATACTCTTGAAAATATACCTTCTAATTAACAGGGATACCCTATGTATATATATCCATGATATACACATTGTAAGCTAGTGTCATGACTAGAGATTGAGAAACATAATGACCAGGTTAAGTCTGGCTTCTGAGAATGAAAATTCATTCATTCACTCAATTAATATTTGTGGATACCTACTGTATACTTTTAATTATGCTGGTGCTAACATATTTTTATGAATGAGAGAGACATTAAACAAATCAGTAAAAAAAATAACTACTTCAGCCTGGCCAACATGGTGAAACCTTGTCTCTACTAAAAAATACAAAAATTAGCCAGGCATGGCTGTGGGCACCTATAATCCAGCTACTCGGGAGGCTGAGGCAGGAGAATTGCCTGAATCCAGGAGGTGGAGGTTGCAGCGAGCCAATTGTGCCATTGTACCACCCTGGGCGACAGTGCAAGACTCCATCTCAAAAACAACAACAACAACAGAAACTATTTACAATTTTGGTAAGTGCAGTATAGGAAAAGTGAGAGTGTTTGACAGGGAACCTAATTTTACCAGGGCAAAGGGCAGATCAACAAAGGTTACTTGAAGAAGTGATATTTAAGCTTTGATCTCAATGGGTAGAAATTATCCAGGCTAGAAGGTGGAACAGAGTCTAAATACAGAGCAGAAAGAAAATGATATATCAAAGCAGTGTGGTATGAAGGACGAATAGGGGATCAGAGGGTGCAAACGTAGAAAGGTGTGTGATTCGGTTTCAGTGGTTGCCATGGAATATGGTCAGGATTTGTATGAGCTAAACGCATTAAATTCATATATCTCAGCAATGTGCAAACAAATTTTCTCTTTGCTTTATTTAAATCCTAAGAACATAGTCAGTAGAAAAAGTATAAAAACATGGATAGGAAAGAAAGAAACCAATATCATTCAGAATAGTGATTGCTTCTAGAGAAGGGAGAGCAGAGGGGACCTCCGTATCCATCCCTTATAAATGCAAATTCCTTTCCTGAAAGGATGTATAAAGTTAGCTGCAATCATGAGTTTGTTAATTTCTTTAAGTGTTGGACTTATCTGGAATGGAGCCCTCAATTTAAAACACAGAGTAGAAAATTATAGAAGAGAAATGAAGGTGCCATTTTTAAGGGAGCAGTAGTTTAGACAGTACTACTCAAAGTGTTGTATGTGGACCAGTTCATGAAGAGGGAGGTGCAGAGTTTGGGAGTAATGGTTTAAAATGGCACTTTCCCACACAACAGCCACTAGCTACATGTGACTGTTGAGTACTTGAAATGTGGCCAGTCTGAATGGGGACATGCTGTAAGTGGAATATACATGCTGGATTTTGATGACTTAATTTTTTTAAAAAGTTAAATATCTCCATTATATTTGTATACTGATTACATATTGAAATAAGGTTGTGGATCTATTGGACTACATAAAATATTATTAAAATTAATTTCAACTGTTTCTTTTTACATTTTTAATGTGGCTACTAGAAAGCTTAAAATCAGACATGTGGCTCCTATGATATTTCTGTTGGACAGTGCTGGTTTAGAGACTGTCATAGCAGTTTGACACTACCACTAAATCCAAGTGCAATTTTTATTGTATTTTATAAAAGTATCACCAACCCACAACATATTGGAGTGAAAAATATAGTCAACTAGTTTTACATCCTAAATAGTTTGTGAAGCACTGCTTTAAACCATTCATAACTTCCAGAGCATTTTAACCACTATGCTTATTATAGGAAAATATGTATACTGTAAGGTCAATTTTTCAGAACACTATGAAATATTCTAAGAACCTGACTATTAAATTGATTTGGCTCTCTGTGTATGAAAAAAGTGATTGATAAAGATGTCATCATATAACCCTCAGACATTATCATATAACCCTCATTGTATTTATTTTCAGTTACATAACTTGTATATTGGATTCGGAAAGAATATAATAAAAACTATAGTACAGAACCCATTTTTAAAAAATCCAGTTGGAGGACCAGTTTGATATCCACTAGTTCTTATTTTGAGAATTAAAAAACTTGGGGTACAGAAGCTCATATCTCAGATTAATTACATTGCAGCTTTGAAAATACACTTAAGTAATTGTCTTCTTTAGATTTTGTTCTATAAAATTGACTTATTTTTCTTCAGAATAGGCTAGTTAACATTGGACTTAGAGTTTGGCACACGTGAGCTTGTGATTTACAGGGCAATTTTTCTCATCAAAACCTGGGCAGAACCATTTATTTTAAAACCAATATTTATTTTACAATGGGAAGATGGAGCAGATTAAAGGAGCATAAAACTATGATAAATCACCCAGTCTTTATCCCGTAGAAATTCTTTTAAATGGCTCTTTAAGTAATAGCAGTAAAACCGTTTCATAGAGTTTGTTTGGATGGTTTTTTAGCATATGGTATAGTCATGTAGATTAAAATCTAATTAATGAAGCCTTTATAATAATTCAGACATGGTCTGTGTGATTCCTTTTCAATAAAAAGTACAATATGATTTTTCTTAGCTACGTTTCTGAGTCTTGATCATGATTAAAAATGGAAACCAGTCTAAAATTCTTAGCTGTTTCAAATCAAAGACCCAGAAGTTAAATTTCTTTTAATGTTTCTAAAATTAATTATTAAATAGTAACCAATTTTTACATGAAATATTTAAGAACATGTATATCTATGTGTATTATAGATTATTATGCAATTGTTGAAGAAAGGAATTTTTACAACTTATTTTGTTTTATTTGGTTCGCATTTATGTCTTCGGTTATAATAATTTCTGTAGTAAAAATAATGGAGCTACATTTTTCTAATAGTATTCTTTAATACTATTCTAATGATAGTGAAGTTATATCACATAGAGCATTTGGACCAATTAAAAATACTAATGGGAATAAAATATTTTAAATGCAGATCTGCTTGTAGTCACGGTGAATTTTTTAAAAATAGGAAGTCTGTGTCCTATTGTTGAATGGATGTCTGGATTCTGTATCTAGTTAATTATGGATTCTAGGTCAGGGTTGGCAACCTTTTTCTGTAAAGGACTAAAGGGTAAATATTGCAGGTTTTTTGGTAGTATGGTCACAACTACTCAACTCTGCTGTTAATGATGAGAGCAACCTTAGACAGTATATGCATGAATGGGTGTGTGTGCAAATCCTTTAACCAAGCACTTCTATGTCTGTGAATATTCCCTAAGGAAATAATGAGAAGTTTTGGTAAACAAGTGCGTGCAAGAGAATCAATTATGGTATTACCGAGTAACATGGAAAACTGTATATGAGCCCTAGTTAATTCAAAGAAAAGCAACAAAGTAGAAGTTAAGGTGTCATTTGACTTTAATGTAATGTGCGTATGTATATGAGATTGGACCATGTAGAATTGCACCTAATTGACTGCTTTTTATCTGCAAAATGATAATTTTATATGGACAACCTAAGATGTATACATAGAAACAGACTGAAAGATTATCCACCTATAGTTTTCTGGGCGGAAGAAATAGAATAACTTTTACCCTTTTCCGTATGTTCATTATTTACAATGAACATATTTTAACCTGCAATGAGAAAAATGATGCAGGGTTTTTAGAACGAAAGAAAGGCTTTCCCATTCAAATTATGTTTCTCAATGATAAAAATACACAAAGAATACACATGTAGCTCTCTTTGGAGGGGACGGGACCTCCTGTGAGAAACTTGGAGAATTGTTTTTCTATTGGCAAGGCCATTTCTGTTACGGCAATGGATGTAGAGAGCTGCAGCCAAGGGACATTGGGTATTCTTTCCCATTGGTGACTCCATCTCCCCTGACGCTGTTTAACATTCAGTTCATCAGATGAACTCCTCTTGTTCAGATTCCTTACATGTCAGATTGCTGCCTGATTAGGATTTGGTTTTGCAGGGAAGACATTTACAGGAAGGGAATGAATGTATTGGTCTTTCTGACATCTGTGCAACAGCTATACTGCAAATCGTAGACTACTACTTTGACATTCTGGTTTTATATGTTGGTCTCATGAGTGTGTTTAATGAAGTCCATCTCATGAGAAATGGATTCCATACTGTGTGTTGAGAAAACCAAGGCCAAGGGGGCTGAAGCCTGGTATAGGGGACCATGTAAAGTGTGGATGACTTTCAGCTGGGCTTCTGGGGAGAAAGCCTGCTGCCCTTCCTCATACAGCATTCTACATAGCACAACACAGTAGGAAGCTTAAGTCTTTTCCTATTTGGACTCTGCCCCTTTCCAACTCTCAAGTTCTGCAATTCTTTGACTTTTCTGTCTTCAGCCCTTGCTTCCTCTGCTTTTCTCACTGCTTTTGTCACCTAGCAGAAACAGTGGTGAGAGACTGCTACACAAGAGACATTGTTTGCTGCTGGTATTTAACTTTCTCCTGGAGTTTTCTGTGGATGACATTGATTTATGGTGCAAAGGGCCCTCTGCTTTGGAGCTGACCTGTAGAGAAACAGAGTCCCTCAGGCCTTCTGTGAGGCTGGGACCCCCTTGTTCCAGCGACAGGGATTGGTATTTATGTGAGACTGTGGGATATCCCCCTAGAGCCAGGTGATTCCTGCAGTGACAATGTGAAGAAAAGTAGCAGAGGGCCGGGCGTGGTGGCTCACCCCTGTAATCCCAGCACTTTGGGAGGCTAAGGCAGGCGGATCACAAGGTCAGGAGTTGAAGACCAGCCTGAACAATGTGGTGAAACCCCATCTCTACTAAAAATACAAAAATTAGCTGGGCATGATGGCGTGCACCTGTAATCCCAGCTACTCAGGAGGCTGAGGCAGGAGAATTGCTTGAACCTAGGAGGTGGAGGTTGCAGTGAGCGGAGACCTCACCATTGCACTCCAGCCTGGGTGACAGAGTGAGACTCCATCTCAAAAAAAAAAAAAAGAAAAGAAAAGAAAAAAGAAAAAAAAAGCAGTAGACCACTTCTGCACCTGAGAGAGGCAGACATTCTGTGAGCTCACATATTTTTCTCATCAGACTCTGAAACAGCATTTCACTGTATTTTGATACAAATGTTCAAACTACACATTAGGGGTAATTTCTGCCTCATTTGGAGCACGAATCTAAATGATTGTATCTCCATTAGAGAAAATGAAGAGCCCTCTGTGTCTGATACTACTTCGTTAAAGAGAAAATATTCTCCTAGTAGGCAAAAGTTACTGACCAAATACAGCCCCAAATCAAAGATCATTCCTACTAAGAACTCTTACATTAGCTTCCTTTTTCATGAATTAATGTGGGTCTGTGGAATCTACATTTCTTTGAAATATTTGCACATTTTCCCTTTTCAGCAGATGAGAGAAAATCTTCATTGAAGACACATTCCTTTGTCACTTTGGGGGCTGATAGGGGATGAGAGTCTTTGTATTTCAAGACATCTAACCTGCTTACAGAATTTGAGGTTATACATCTTGAGTAAGCTTTAGGTCTGAAAATTGAGACTTCAGCTCACAAAGTGTTGATTACATCCCTTTGCTTAGCAATACAGTTTAGTCATTTGTAAAAAGTCAACTGAATACAATTTGGCCTCATCAATGAAATGTATCAAGAACCATAAAGTAGTAGAATGATGTTAAGAAAAATAACCTTTCCTTTTTTTCTTTGCTTTCTTTGTATTAAAAAATGAAAATTATCCTCTTTTCCCTTTGAGTTCATGCTACCAAAGTTTACAGATTTTATTTTCAATGTTTAAATGTTTATGCAAGGGGAGTTCAATTTACAAATCTAAATGCTACCAACACAACAGTTAATTTTAGAAAATTGTCAGTCACCAGACACACTAGCTCTAGAAGAAGAGGATTCATTTTCTACATAGGCAATAATGTATGTTATAAAAAATCAAAAGATAGTCACATGGAAAGGGGAAAAATGAATGTAGATCAATAATTTAACTCTGACCTAAGTTCTATAACATGGCTCATAATTTTTCAATGAATAGACCCTTAACATTTTACATATAGAGCTTCAGTTTTGTATTGATCTGCCCTAATGTATTCGTCATTTCACAGAAGGAATAGCATATCTCAAATCTTTAACAAACACACATTGTGTCGGCCTGCAAATGTTAGCCAAAATATGACAACATGTTGTTATTTACTCTGTTTTCAGAACTACTTTTTTTCTGGCTAAATAATTTTTTAAAATTGGAAGAGAAATGGATAGTAAATGAATGATGACTTGGAGGGCAAGTTCATGGAGCTCTTTCTTAGTTAATAGATTCCTAGTCTTTCTGCATTACTTAATTGCGTATTAAAAGTGGAACCCTTGATGTACCATGTACAGCATATATTTATTCTGTAGAAAATTATTAATTTTTAATGGACTAAGTGGCTGTTTGGACAAGGGACCCTGACTATTAATCAGGAGGTGAGTGATTGACTGACTTTCATGTTCATTAATTATTCAAGGAAGTTCACCTACAAGGGCCACAACAGAAAAAAGTTTCTGTCAGTATGCACATTTTAGTACCATATTCATTTACTCACTTAACAAATATTTAATATGTGCCACGCATTGATGATTCAGTGATGAGCAAGACCATCAGCCTCTGTCCTCAGGAAGCTGTCAGGGCAGTGCATAAAGCAGAAGTGTGTCCATGTGCGAAGAGAAGGAGAATGCTACCGAGCAGTTTAGAAGACTCAGTTTTGCTTGACTCCCCTCTCTATTTAGGAAGTGATTATTCTCTGTACATATTTCCTAAGTCTCCTGGAAATTCAACCTAGCCAATTCTAATTCTTATCTGAGAAAATATTTTGTTTGGAATGATAGGGTCACAGTTTCTTAGAGTCAGAAGAGACTTGAGAAGTTATCGACGGATGCACCCTTGTCTTCCCTGCCTCAGCCGGGACACATCCAATGCCCAGAAGAGAGCAGGCTCATGTGTGGGGCCATTTCTGTGTGGATTGTTTGAAACTTTTTCCAAATAATGAACTGCAGCTTATTTCCCTGTGTATTCTCTTTAATGATTCCAGTCCTGTATCCTGGATAAAATAATAACATCTCATTTACCTCTTATTTGGAACACATGTCATAATTGTCCATTTATTTGTGTGATTTTTGTATCATTACTCTGTTTTCCCTTTTAAACATGTGTACCTCGAGAGTGGAATTGTGTCTGTTTTTGGTCATTGTTATTTCTCTAGTGTTATCACAGTGCTAGGGAATGAATAAATGAATGGATGAGAATGATTTATCTTGTTCCAAAAGGTTTTAAGGAAGAATACATGGATTTAAACCTACATAATAGTTAATTAACTATTTGACAATAACTGTAATGGTTCTTTCACTACTCCAATTTTTCTGACACTCAGATTAAGATTTTTTTGTAAATTTTCTTCACATGTAATATTGAGTTCAGCTTTTATGGTGTCCATCTGTCTCTCAATGCATCTCACATATTTTTTTAAAGTGCCTCTCTCACTAGGAGGTTTGGGGAAGGCTTCACAGAAGAGGTGAAAATTGGCCTTGTGCTGGATCTTGAAGAATGAGAAAGCATTCTCCATGAAAATGGAGCCAGGAGGGGCACTTTCCGGGGTGCAGTGTTATGAACATGTTTACTCATCTGGCATTTGTTACCTCAGCCCTTTGTGCTTCCCTATTCTTTGGAGATTTTTGACTCATTTTTTCCCATCTTCTTCAGGAACTTGACTATTCTTTCCCCTTTCCCACTTCAACATTGCCTCAAAGCTGGAGGCAGAGATTCTTGTGATTTAGAATTTGCATTAGGGCATTAGACAGTCTGGGTTCAACCCATTTGTTACATGTACTTAAGCAAGGTAGGATACTCCTTTGAGATTTAGCATTCTCCTCTTTAAAATGGAGAAAATAATAGCTACCTCATAAAGTACTTTTGAGAATTATCATATACGTTACATGTGATGTGCTTGAGACACAGTAGAGACCTAACACACTGTAACTGTCATCCTTGCCTGCACTCTAGAAAGCCACTGCTGTAGCTCACTCTGGTGGTATAACCATCTGTCCAGCGGCCTCAGGGCATGCAGTGGCTCAGACATATTTTTTCATGGAAACCTCATCAATGGCTAATAGATGTAAAGCTATTTCAGCTTTTTCCAGGTCCTTAGTTTAGTGGTTTTATATTTCTGCCCTTGTTCTTTCCAATTTCCAGGTGCATGGGATCCAGTTATTTTTTCTTTTCTTTTTTTCTTTTTTTTGATAGGGCTGTACAGGAATCAGAATTGACACATTCGCCCATGAATTTCCCTCTTTTCAGGTCTCCATTTCTCCTGGTACTGCAAAAGCCTAGATTTCTCTGATCTCACCTCTCCCAGCCTCATCTGGGTAACCAACGTACTTATTTCATTCTGGTCAAGATTCCTCTCAATAGGTTTATTGCAGATTGCTGCAGCTGCAATCAGTGTTTACAATCTGATGACAAGTTGGAGATTAAGGCTTGTCATCACTATTTAATTAACCTCAAATTAAGCAGTTTCTGGCCCCATTCCATGCCCTTCCACAAGCCATTCAGAGCTGCTAAAACAGTGGTGTGAGGCCTGATAGATTCCGGGTCACACCACTGGAGAGTGGGAGCTGGCTCAGCAGCCACTCTGAAGAAAATCAACATTTGATTCTTACTCTTATGCCTGAGGGCTGAAGATAGGTAGCTATCCAAAGAAAATGTAAAGGGAGGGGAAGAAAGGAGGGCACCTTTCTATACTAGTAAGTGTGTAGTCTGTGAATTGCAAAGGACATGAGCCAAAAAGTGTTCCAGAGACAGAAGAAAAAAGCCTTGCTCTTAGTGTTTAAAAATAATTTGTTTTTCTAATTGCAGAGGTGACATGCATCAGTAGTAAATGGTAATGGTAAAAAAGGAGAAAAATAATAAGAAAGTGAAGAACATTCAACTTCCTACTCTACACACCCGCTTTTGAGGCTTACCTGAGCTGTCCAATCTGGTAGTCACTATCCTCATGTGGCTCTTGAGCTTTTAAAATGTAGCAAGACTGAGTTGACATGTGCTCTGAGTGTCAACTACACACCGGAGTTCTAAGACTTCATATGCAAAAGAAGAATTCAATATATCACATTATTAATTTCTGTTGCTTACATGATTAAATATTATTTTGCATATGTTGGACTAAAATATATCACTAAATGAATTTCACTGGTTTCTTTTAACTTTTTAAAACGTAACTACTGACACTAAAATTACTTATGTGCCTTGTACTGTATTTCTATTGGATGGTCTCTTTTGGACCATTTTCTCCCCATGTATACAAAATTTTTACAAAGAAAAACTGAGTTATTCTACACACAACTTTGTATCTTCCCTTTTGAAGTTAATATATTGAGAATATGTTCATGTCATGAAATATAAGTTATGGTATTATTTTTAATCATTTATAATTTTTCATTTTATGAATGTCCCTTCATTGATTAATCAAGTCCTCTTAGATAACTACCATTTTTTAAAAAATTACAAATTCTCCACGAGCATACTTATAACTGTATCTTTGGGTTCATCTTCAATTATGCTCCTAGGGTTTGTTTCTGGGAGCCAGTTTGCTGAGTCACAGACTTGCTTGTGGTGTGACTGGCTACAAGGGAAGGGTGAGTGGTTGGTTGTGGGTAGATGAAAGGGAAGCTAGAGAGGAGGAGGTACCAACTGCTAGGGGCTACCCTCCTTTCTCCAGCAGAAAGTGGATGACACCAAAACTGAGAGGTTGGAAGAGAGTTTAATGAACAGAAGATTGACAGAGGTGTGGGTAGATTTAAGGGAACCAAAAAAGATGGTGAAGCAACTATGGAAAGTCTGAAGGAGCAAAGACAGAGAACAGAATTACAAGAATCCAATGAGAGCCCTAGCTAGGAATTAGGGAAAAAGGGCCACTGACAGAAATTATAGTCAAAGCTAGAAAAATGTGGGCACTTGTCAAAAGTCTCAGTTGTGCAGTGTGAGGGGAGGAGAGAGGAAATGGGGAATAGATACCCCCAGACTCTTTCCTCCAATTCTCTGATCCCTTAATGCTGCCTGCCATTGTCTTAGCCCTATAGAAACCAAAGGGCACGGGAGATGAGTCTGTAGAGATCAGTAAGGAAGAGACCACCAGCAGGGCAGAGAAGGGTGGAGAAGAGATAGGAAGAGGTGGGTGGAGAAGAGATAGGAAGAGGTGAGTGGAGGAAAATCAGAACACCAGCTTGGATACTTAAACTGTAGGATAAGGCACTTATCCTGTGTGAGCTTTGCTTTCCTGACCTGTAAAATGTGCATAGTAATACCTACCTCAGAATGTGATCGTGAGAATAAATGAAGGAGAGCACTTAGCACAATGGTTTTTTATTTACTTGTTCTTCATCAGAGGCTTATCAGTGGACCATATCAACTTCTTACCATGTTGTCCATTTATCATGTCTAACAAGTTCATCAAGAGGGAAAGTAGCAGAAAAACTTACCCTGGCAGACTGGGACCTTATATTTAGACTTGAAAAGTTCTCTACACCCTAGTGAGGTAGCCGTTAGTGTTCTGAATTGTGCATATCACACCCTTGTGCTCTGGTAAAAATCCACAGAATTTTTCACATAGTTGGATAATTAGGACACATGCTGTTGGCTCTGCTCAAAAATGGTCATTTAAGTGTCCTTTTATTATTTCTAGCATCCACTGGGAAATTTAAATAGCTACTGCCGGTGTTCTTTATATATGCTCTTTAAAAAATGCTGAAATTGAACAGTTTAATAAAATTGCTGGACTGTCAGCTTCACCAAGCTCTCCCAGAGATAAACCTGAAAAAACAAACTCCATACCCTAAAGTAAATACTTCTGTAAATCAGGGACTTTTACAGGTGCTCCCTGGGGAGTGTAGTTTGACTAATATGGAGTTTCGTTTACAAACAGGGGTGGAAGCCGGAAGCTTCTGAGGCGATTTGACCGCTTCATTTTCCTTTGCTTAACACAGATCTGTACTAAAAACAGGCGGCAGCATTTGGAATTAGGGGCCTCCGAAATGTCATCTCTCTAATTCTTAAGTAGAAAAATGAGTTGCACATAGTGTAAAATAAATGAATATATTTTAAATACATGAATACG
The DNA here is from genome assembly GCF_000001405.40 of Homo sapiens. Lineage (NCBI taxonomy): Eukaryota > Metazoa > Chordata > Mammalia > Primates > Hominidae > Homo > Homo sapiens. Next base: position 60,931,403 of record NC_000003.12, on the reverse strand, counting down.
TAAATATGTGAATATGTTTTATTTTTATTATTTTTTTAAATTATACTGTAAGTTTTAGGGTACATGTGCACAACGTGCAGGTTTGTTACATATGTATACATGTGCCATGTTGGTGTGCTGCACCCATTAACTCATCATTTAGCATTAGGTATATCTCCTAACGCTATCCCTCCCCACTCCCCCCACCCCACAACAGGCCCCGGTGTTTGATGTTCCCCTTCCTGTGTCCATGTGTTCTCATTGTTCAATTCCCAGCTATGAGTGACAACATGCAGTGTTTGGTTTTTTCTCCTTGCGATAGTTTGCTGAGAATGATGGTTTCCAGCTTCATCCATGTCCCTACAAAGGACATGAACTCATCAATTTTTATGGCTGCATAGTATTCCATGGTGTATATGTGCCACATTTTCTTAATCCAGTCTATCATTGTTGGACATTTGGGTCGGTTCCAAGTCTTTGCTATTGTAAATAGTGCCGCAATAAACACACGTGTGCATGTGTCTTTATAGCAGCATGATTCATAATCTTTGGGTATATACCCAGTAATGGGATGGCTGGGTCAAATGGTATTTCTAGTTCTAGATCCTTGAGGAATCACCACACTGACTTCCACAATGGTTGAACTAGTTTACAGTCCCACCAACAGTGTAAAAGTGTTCCTATTTCTCCACATCCTCTCCAGCACCTGTTGTTTCCTGACTTTTTAATGATCGCCATTCTAACTGGTGTGAGATGGTATCTCATTGTGGTTTTGATTTGCATGTCTCTGATGGCCAGTGATGATCAGCATTTTTTCATGTGTCTTTTGGCTTCATAAATGTCTTCCTTTGAGAAGTGTCTGTTCATATCCTTCACCCACTTTTTGATGGGGTTGTTTGTTTTTTCTTGTAAATCTGTTTGATTCTTTGTAGATTCTGGATATTAGTCCTTTGTCAGATGAGTAGATTGCAAAAATTTTCTCCCATTCTGTAGGTTGCCTGTTCACTCTGATGGTAGTTTCTTTTGCTGTGCAAAAGCTCTTTATTTTAATTAGATCCCATTTGTCAATTTTGTCTTTTGTTACCATTGCTTTTGGTGTTTTAGACATGAAGTCCTTGCCCATGCCTATGTCCTAAATGGTATTGCCTAGGTTTTCTTCTAGGGTTTTTATGGTTTTAGGTCTAACATTTAAGTCTTTAATCCATCTTGAATTAATTTTTGTATAAGGTATAAGGAAGGGATCCAGTTTCAGCTTTCTACATATGGCTAGCCAGGTTTCCCCAGCACCATTTATTAAATAGGGAATCCTTTCCCCACTGCTTGTTTTTCTCAGGTTTGTCAAAGATCAGATAGTTGTAGATATGCGGCATTATTTCTGAGGGCTCTGTTCTGTTCCATTGGTCAATATCTCTGTTTTGGTACCAGTACCATGCTGTTTTGATTACTGTAGCCTTGTGTAGTATAGTTTGAAGTCAGGTAGCATGATGCCTCCAGCTTTGTTCTTTTGGCTTAGGATTGACTTGGCAATGCAGGCTCTTTTTTGGTTCCATGTGAACTTTAAGGTAGTTTTTTCCAATTCTGTGAAGGAAGTCATTGGTAGCTTGATGGGGATGGCGTTGAATCTATAAATTGCCTTGGGCAGTATGGCCATTTTCACAATATTGATTCTTCCTACCCATGAGCATGGAATGTTCTTCCATTTGTTTGTATCGTCTTTTATTTCATTAAGTAGTGGTTTGTAGTTCTCCTTGAAGAGGTCCTTCACATCCCTTGTAAGTTGGATTCCTAGGTATTTTATTCTCTTTGAAGCAATTGTGAATGGGAGTTCACTCATGATTTGGCGCTCTGTTTGTCTTTTATTGGTATATAAGAATGCTTGTGATTTTTGCACATTGATTTTGTATCCTGAGACTTTGCTGAAGTTGCCTATCAGCTTAAGGAGATTTTGGGCTGAGATGATGGGGTTTTCTAGATACACAATCATGTCATCTGCGAACAGGGACAATTGGATTTCCTCTTTTCCTAATTGAATGCCCTTTACTTCCTTCTCCTGCCTAATTGCCCTGGCCATAACTTCCAACACTATGTTGAATAGGAGTGGTGAGAGAGGGCATCCCTGTCTTGTGCCAGTTTTCAAAGGGAGTGCTTCCAGTTTTTGCCCATTCAGTATGATATTGGCTGTGGGTTTGTCATAGATAGCTCTTATTATTTTGAGATATGTCCCATCAATACCTCATTTATTGAGAGTTTTTAGCATGAAGGGTTGAATTTTGTCAAAGGTCTTTTCTGCATCTATTGAGATAATCATGTGGTTTTGTCGTTGGTTCTGTTTATATGTTGGATTACGTTTATTGATTTGCGTATGTTGAACCAGCCTTGCATCCCAGGAATGAAGCCAACTTGATCATGGTGGATAAGCTTTTTGATGTGCTGCTGGATTCGGTTTGCCAGTATTTTATTGAGGATTTCTGCATCGATGTTCATCAGGGATATTGGTCTAAAATTGTCTTTTTTTGTTGTGTCTCTGCCAGGCTTTGGTATCAGGATGATGCTGGCCTCATAAAATGAGTTAGGGAGGATTCCCTCTTTTTCTATTGATTGGAATAGTTTCAGAAGGAATGGTACCAGCTCCTCCTTGCACTTCTGGTAGAATTCGGCTGTGAATCCATCTGGTCCTGGATTTTTTTGGTTGGTAAGCTATTAATTGTTGCCTCAATTTCAGAGCCTGTTATTGGTCTATTCAGAGATTCAACTTCTTCCTGGTTTAGTCTTGGGAGGGTGTATGTGTCGAGGAATTTATCCATTTCTTCTAGATTTTCTTTTTTTTTTTTAGCATTTAAAAATAGGATTTATTTATTTATTTATTTATTTATTTAGAGACAGAGTCTCCATCTGTCACCTAGGCTGGAGTGCAGTAGCACAATCATGGCTTGCTGCAGCCTCTGCCTCCCAGGCTCAAGTGATCTTCTAGCCTCAGCCTCCTGAGTAGCTGGGACCCCAAGGCATACTCCACCATGCCTGGCTAATTTTCGCACTTTTTTTTTCTTTTTTTTTTTTAAAGTTCTTTCATACACTTTATTTGAACTTTTCTTTTTTTTTTTTTTAATTTTTTTAGTATTTGTTGATCATTCTTGGGTGTTTCTCAGAGAGGGGGATTTCGCAGGGTCATAGGACAATAGTGGAGAGAAGGTCAGCAGATAAACATGTGAACAAAGGTCTCTGGTTTTCCTAGGCAGAGGACCCTGTGGCCTTCTGCAGTGTTTGTGTCCCTGGGTACTTGAGATTAGGGAGTGGTGATGACTCTTAACGAGCATACTGCCTTCAAGCATCTGTTTAATAAAGCACATCTTGCACTTCCCTTAATCCATTTAACCCTGAGTTGACACAGCACATGTTTCAGAGAGCACTGGGTTGGGAGTAATGTTATAGATTAACAGCATCCCAAGGCAGAAGAATTTTTCTTAGTACAAAACGAAATGGAGTCTCCTATGTCTACTTCTTTCTACACAGACACAGTAACAATCTGATCTCTCTTTCTTTTCCCCACATTTCCCCCTTTTCTATTCAGCAAAACCGCCATCATCGTCATGGCCTGTTCTCAATGAGCTGGTGGGTACACCTCCCAGATGGATTGGCGGCCGGGCAGAGGGGCTCCTCACCTCCCAGGCGGGGCGGCTGCCGGGTGGGGGCACGCCCACCTCACAGACGGGGCGGCTGCCGGGCGGGGGTGCTCCCCACCTCCCAGACGGGGTGGCGGCCAGGCAGAGACACTCCTCACCTCCCAGACAGGGCGGCCGGGCAGAGGCGCTCCTCACATCCCAGACGGGGCGGCCGGGCAGAGGCGCTCCCCACATCCCAGATGATGGGCGGCCAGGCAGAGACGCTCCTCACTTCCTACACGGGGTGAAGGCCAGGAAGAGGTGCTCCTCACTTCCCAGACTGGGTGGCCAGGCAGAGGGGCTCCTCACATCCCAGATGATTGGCGGCTGGGCAGAGATGCTCCTCACTTCCTAGACAGGGTGGCGGCGGGGCAGAGGCTGCAATCTCAGCACTTTGGGAGGCCAAGGCAGGCGGCTGGGAGGTGGAGGTTCACGCCACTGCACTCCAGCCTGGGCAACATTGAGCACTGAGTGAGCGAGACTCTGTCTGCAATCCCGGCACCTCGGGAGGCCGAGGCGGGCAGATCACTGGAGGTCAGGAGCTGGAGACCAGCCCGGCCAACACGGCGAAACCCCGTCTCCACCAAAAAATACAAAAACCAGTCAGGCTTAGCAGCGCACGCCTGCAATCCCAGGCACTCGGCAGGCTGAGGCAGGAGAATCAGGCAGGGAGGTTGCAGTGAGCCGAGATCGTGGCAGTACAGTCCAGCCTCGGCAACAGAGGGAGACCGTGGAAAGTGGGAGACGGAGACGAGGGAGGGGGGCACCGTGGAAAGCGGGAGACGGAGATGAAAGGGAGAGGGAGAGGGAGCTAGATTTTGTAGTTTATTTGCATAGAGGTGTTTTTAGTATTCTGTGATGGTAGTTTGTATTTCTGTGGGATCAGTGGTGATATCCCCTTTATCATTTTTTATTGCGTCTATTTGATTCTTCTCTCTCTTCTTCTTTATTAGTCTTGCTAGCAGTCTATCAATTTTGTTGATCTTTTCAAAAAACCAGCTCCTGGATTCATTGATTTTTTGAAGGGTTTTTTGTGTCTCTATCTCCTTCAGTTCTGCTCTGATGTTAGTTATTGCTTGCCTTCTGCTAGCTTTTGAATGTTTGCTCTTGCTTCTCTAGTTCTTTTAATTGTGATGTTAGAGTGTCAATTTTAGATCTTTCCTGATTTCTCTTGTGGGCATTTAGTGCTATAAATTTCCCTCTACACACTGCTTTGAATGTGTCCCACAGATTCTGGTATGTTGTGTCTTTGTTCTCATTGGTTTCAAAGAACGTCTTTATTTCTGTCTTCATTTCGCGACGTACCCAGTAGTCATTCAGGAGCAGGTTGTTCAGTTTCCATGTAGTTGTGTGGTTTCGAGTGAGTTTCTTAATCCTGAGTTCTAGTTTGATTGCACTGTGATCTGAGAGATAGTTTGTTATAATTTCTGTTATTTTACATTTGCTGAGGAGTGCTTTACTTCCAACTATGTAGTCAATTTTGGAATAGGTGTGGTGTGGTGCTGAAAAGAATGTATATTCTGTTGATTTGGGGTGGAGAGTTCTGTAGATGTCTGTTAGGTCCACTTGGTGCAGAGCTGAGTTCAATTCCTGGATATCCTTGTTAACTTTCTGTCTCGTTGATCTGTCTAATGTTGACAGTGGATTGTTAAAGTCTCCCATTATTATTGTGTGGGAGTCTAAGTCTCTTTGTAGGTCTCTAAGGACTTGCTTTATGAATCTGGGTGCTCCTGTATTGGGTGCATATATATTTAGGGTAGTTAGCTTTTCTTGTTGAATTGATCCCTTTACCATTATGTAATGGCCTTCTTTGTCTCTTTTGATCTTTGTTGGTTTAAAGTCTGTTTATCAGAGACTAGGATTGCAACCCCTGCTTTTTTTGTTTTCCATTTGCTTGGTAGATCTTCTTCCATCCATTTATTTTGAGCCTATGTGTGTCTCTGCATGTGAGATGGGTCTGAATACAGCACACTGATGGGTCTTGACTCTTTATCCAATTTGCCAGTCTGTGTCTTTTAACTGGAGCATTTAGCCCATTTACATTTAAGGTTAATATTGTTATGTGTGAATTTGATCCTGTCATTATGATGTTAGCTGGTTATTTTGCTCATTAGTTGATGCAGTTTCTTCCTAGCCTCGATGGGCTTTACAATTTGGTATATTTCTGCAGTGGCTGGTACCAGTTGTTCCTTTCCATGTTTAGTGCTTCCTTCAGGAGCTCTTGTAAGGCAGGCCTGGTGGTGACAAAATCTCTCAGCATTTGCTTGTCTGTTAAGTATTTTATTTCTCCTTCACTTATGAAGCTTAGTTTGGCTAGATATGAAATTCTGGGTTGAAAATTCTTTTCTTTAAGAATGTTGAATATTGGCCTCCACTCTCTTCTGGCTTCTAGGGTTTCTGCTGAGAGATCTGCTGTTAGTCTGAATGGGCTTCCCTTTGTGGGTAACCCGACCTTTCTCTCTGGCTGCCATTAACATTTTTTCCTTCATTTCAACTTTGTTGAATCTGACAATTATGTGTCTTGGAGTTGCTCTTCTCGAGGAGTATCTTTGTGGTGTTCTCTGTATTTCCTGAATTTGAATGTTGGCCGTCCTTGCTAGATTGGGGAAGTTCTCCTGGATAATATCTTGCAGAGTGTTTTGCAAGTTGGTTCCATTCTCCCTGTCACTTTCAGGTACATCAGTCAGATGTAGATTTGGTCTTTTCACATAGTCCCATATTTCTTGTAGGCTTTGTTCATTTCTTTTTATTCTTTTTTCTCTAAACTTCCCTTCTTGCTTCATTTCATTCATTTGATCTTCCATCACTGATACCCTTTCTTCCAGTTGATCGAATCGGCTACTGAGACTTGTGTATTCGTCACGTAGTTCTGGTGCCGTGGTTTTCAGCTCCATCAGGTCCTTTAAGGACTTCTCTGCATTGGTTATTCTAGTTAGCCATTCGTCTAATTTTTTTTTCAAGGTTTTTTACTTCTTTGCCATGGGTTCAAACTTCCTCCTTTAGGTCGGAGTAGTTTGATCGTCTGAAGCCTTCTTCTCTCAACTCGTCAAAGTCATTCTCCGTCCAGCTTTGTTCCGTTGCTTGTGAGGAGCTGCGTTCCTTTCGAGGAGGAGAGGCGCTCTGATTTTTAGAGTTTCCAGTTTTTCTGCTCTGTTTTTTCCCCATCTTTGTGGTTTTATCTACCTTTGGTCTTTGATGATGGTGACGTACAGATGGGGTTTTGGTGTGGATGTCCTTTCTGTTTGTTAGTTTTCCTTCTAACAGTCAGGACTCTCAGCTGCAGGTCTGTTAGAGTTTGCTGCAGGCCCACTCTAGACCCTGTTTGCCTGTGTTTCACCAGCAGAGGCTGCAGAACAGCGGATATTGGTGAACAGCAAATGTTCCTGACTGATTGTTCCTCTGGAAGTTTTGTCTCAGAAGAGTACCCGGCCGTGTGAGGTGTCAGTCTGCCCCTACTGGGGGGTGCCTGCCAGTTAGGCTACTCGGGGGTCAGGGACCCACTTGAGGAGGCATTTTGTCCGTTCTTAGATCTCAAGCTGCATGCTGGGAGAATCACTACTCTCTTCAAAGCTGTCAGACAGGGACATTTAAGTCTGCAGAGGTTTTTGCTGCCTTTTGTTTGTCTATGCCCTGCCCCCAGAGGTGGAGTCTACAGAGGCAGGCAGGCCTCCTTGAGCTGTGGTGGGCTCCACCGAGTTCGAGCTTCCAGGCCGCTTTGTTTACCTACTCAAGCCTCGGCAATGGCAGGGGCCCCTCCCCAAGCCTCGCTGCCGCCTTACACTTTGATCTCAGGCTGCTTTCCTAGCAATGAGGGAGGCTCCATGGGCGTAGGACCCTCCTAGCCAGGTGCAGGATATAATCTCCTGATGTGCCGTTTGCTAAGACCATTGGAAAAGCACAGTATTAGGGTGGGAGTGACCCGATTTTCCAGGTGCCGTCTGTCACCCCTTTCTTTGACTAGGAAAGGGAATTCTCTGACCCCTTGTGCTTCTCGGGTGAGATGATGCCTTGCCCTGCTTTGGCTCATGCTCAGTGTGCTGCACCCACTATCCTGCACCCACTGTCCGACACTCCTCAGTGAGATGAACCTGGTACCTCAGTTGGAAATGCAGAAATCACCCGTCTTCTGCATTGCTTACTCTGGGAGCTGTAGACTGGAGCTGTTCCTATTCGGCCATCTTGGCTCCACCTCGTGAATATGTTTTAAATACATAATTACCAGACTCTTTTAGGAAGTATAATTATTGAATGAATAAGGTATCAATTAGGAGGACCAGCTTGCATTTACTTAATCTTTACAAGGTTCTGGTCACTATTTAAAATGCTTTGTGTACATTATCTCATTTCATCCTCACAGTAGCCCTGTGAATGAATAGTGTTTTCTTCATATTACCTACAGGGAAATGGAGGCTCTGAGAAATGAAGAAAAATGGTTATGGCAGTGTCATGTTTAGCAAGTAGCAGAGGCAGGGATGAAACACACACAACATTTGACTCCAGAGTCTGAACCCTTAACCACCATTCTATGTCATTTCTTCCCTAAACGTTTGTGGAGAAACTTGAGAAATTTTGTAAAAAAATGACAACTTAGGTAAACCCATGTGGGATAATTAGGCACAGTTTTTATTCCCATAAACCACTTGCAGATTGTAGACATGTTCCTTGGTTTCTTACTAAAAAGCACCATCTAAGTGAATCCCAATATTAAATCTACCACACTAGTTGAGCTGAGCTAAAGGAGTTTTATGGCCAATGAAGCAAGATGTTTACTGCGTATTTGCTTAACATTAATGATTTTTTATTTTTAATGATCAAGTGTTATTCAAAGTTTAACTTATACTAGTTATACCACATGCTGAAAGGCATCTCTAATTGTACATGTATTGACTGTGAGAGGATGCAAAGTAGGATTCCACAATTTTAATTAACTGTTCCTCCTCTGACATTTCATTACTGGTTCTGGAAGTGGTAGTAGATGGCAGACAGTTAACTGTAAGAATTTTTCTTTAAAGAAGGTAAGATGGAGAAATGTTAGTGTTGTCTTGGTGATTGGAGAGGAAAGCAGGGAAGGGAGAGAAATGGCTGATAGCTTAACATGTTGATAACATGGTTGAGTAAACAAGGCTTCCAGCATTTGTAGGTAAATTTTAAAAATTTGAGCAGATAGACAAAAATGGAAATAAAAAATAAAGAAATCACTAACTTCAACTTTTGCAACTTTTATATTGCAAAGGCAATTTCTTTCTCCTGAAGGTGGGTACCTCCTAGACATCATATATCTTTACCCAAAAGAGTTTTTGAGGATTTTCTGTGAGTCCCAAGGGGCACAAATGTGAAGGTCAAAGATAATGGGTCCCCATCTGACACTGGGCTGATTTGCCAAGCACCCAGGATGCATTTTTATTTCTTTTTCATGGTAAAAGCCAGAGAGAACACTGTAGAGTTTAAACACGGTTTCTTTATCTGGTGCCCGCATGGGGAGATGAAGGTAAAGAGGCCAATTTATCCAGCAAATGTGCCCAAGCAAGTCGGGAATAATTACCTCCCTTGACATCTGACAAAACTTTGCTGCATCCCCACAAAAATTCTATAGGCAGTCCTTCCAAGTCATTTTCAGAGACCCCACCATGGCAGGTGAGCTTATTTATTTATTTCTATTTTGAGAGATCCACCTTTCTAGACTCTCTTTTAAGGTTTGCCTCCTGTGTAATGAATGGAGATCAGTGGGTATTTCATTACCAGGTATCTCCCTGCTGCAGGCAGTGCCTGGAGAAGTTTCTCTCTGTTTAGCTTTCAAGCCTCATTTATTTTCTCATGCTTTCTACTGTGGGCAGAGCCTGGCCGACTACATTATTAAATTACTATTATTACACTGTGATGTCTTGGCATGATCAGGGGCTAAGTTGGAAAAGATAGTGTTGGGCAGGGAACATGTCTTGCCCCTTCCCTAAGCTGCCCCAGATGGACCTTGGCTGGCTTGTTGGGTCTGTTTCAGCAGCGGAATTCTCTGAAGACAAAGGGAAGGTCTGATCATATTTGAAGCAGTTTTTCTAGTAAGTGTAAGGAATGAACATTTCACTTTTAAGTAAGTGGCTTTTGATTTAAGATCAACTGGATAATTCATGGTGGTCATGTTTTTGGGGAGAGGGGATGGCATTTCATATTCAAAGGATTTGACATTTTAAAAGTTATAATGTTATTTAAAAAGCTATAATATCATGAATATATTTACATGTAGTTCATTTATGTTTACACAAGCTTTCAAAGGCTGTCTATTCTCAGCAGAGAAGTTTTAATTAAAAGTATTTTATTGCCATTCGAACCCTCCTTAAGTGAAGGCACTGTTCTTCACTTCTCTGTTTTTCTTTCTCATGCACTCTTGATAATCAACCCAGCCTTATTTACAATAAAAAAGTTATTGCTATTATATTTTAAGTGATTTCTCATACACCACCATGTCACCAAAGCTATACAATACCAGCATATAGTCAGTGCTCAGTAAATTCTTGTGAAAGGAGTGGTTCAATACGGCCCATGCATTTTATGGTTCAGCCATACCGAAAAATGTTTTAGCAAAGACACTGCCTGGTCCACCTTTGGAATTTTACCCACCACTCAGAAGTGTCGTTTGCCTTTCAAGTCTTAGCACTTTTTAGACTGCTTATTTGTGAGTTTTCTCCTCCGTCCCCTATCTATGCACAGTTCCGGTGTATGCATTAGGTGCTTAATAAATATCTTACGGAATGAGTGAGTTACCAAATGAACCTATACTTATACAGTTAGCCCTCAGAGAAATCGTCTGCGGCAGTTTACAATTTTTGTAAACAATAAAATAATAAAAATGAAATTTGAAACATTATTTTTCTTGTTCAGTCCTTAACTCAAAACTCTCTAATGCCTCCCTGTTCTCTTTAGTAGTGGTTTTCTAATGATGATAATCCGATCATGGGATCATGCCTTTTTCCTGCTTGAAAGTCTTTCAAAGGCTTCTCATTACCCTTGGGATAAATGTAATTTAAATTCTTTAAACATGACTGAAAAGGTTCTACCGCTCCAGCTGCAGTTCTCCCCACGCCTTGTTTACTCTTCCACATGTTGATCGTGGAATATGTTGAATCCAGGAGGTTTCCTCTTCCCCAGGTCCTTGGCATGTTGGGTTTCCTCTGCTTGGGGCACTTTTCACCTCACTTAGTTAACTCCTTTTATGTTTCAGTTGGTCTTATTTTAAATATTACCTTCTGAAGGAGGCCTTTACTGTCTATTCCCTGCCACTACCACTGATCACCACCACTATAACCCCACCTGCCTCTACCGATCTAGACTATTTTCCTTCTTTGTATGCCTTTGAAGTATTTTATCAATGAAATGGAATAGTTGAATAATATGGGATGTTTTGGACAACTCATATGAAATACTAAGCTAATGCAATTTAAATTGATAATTTCTGCAATCTTAAGCTTTTCTCTCATAAATTTCTCTTCACTATTTTGGCAGCTCACATGACCCTCCCCCATTTTCCCAAAGCATGCATATTTATTATAGGCAAATGCTGTGCTAAGTGCTTTACATACATTTATTCATTTGCTTCTCACACCAGCCTTATAGTGGATACTGTTATTATCTCCCATTTTATTGAAAAAATTAAATTCATTGAGCTTAAGAAACTCACATAGAAGTGAATGGCAAGCTGAGGTTTAAGTCCATGCTATATGCACTCTTTTTTTTTTTTTTTGAGACGGAGTCTCGCTCTGTCGCCCAGGCTGGAGTGCAGTGGTGCAATCTCGGCTCACTGCAACCTCTGTCTCCCTGGTTCAAGCGACTCTCCTCCCTCAGCCTCCTGAGTAGCTGGGACTACAGGCACATGCCACCACACCTAGCTAAGTTTTGTATTTTTAGTAGAGATGGGGTTTCACCATGTTGGCCAGGATGGTCTCGATCTCCTGACCTTGTGATCTACCTATCTCGGCCTCCCAAAGTGCTGGGATTACAAGCATGAGCCACTGCGCCTGGCCTATGCACTCTTATTCCCTATAAAAAATATACAGCTCGTGATTAGACAGGTAAAGTATTCGAAGACCTGGTAAGTATTTGAAATATGTGAAAATAGCCTTGTTTGTATATTGGTTATCTTCAATTTATCCTTTCCTACCCACTCTCTGCTTTGCTCTTTGCTTGGGCAGTTCTCTGTGAACTCTATAAGTAGGCTCCCGCCTTGTCCCTGGGTATTGCATTAATCCTTGGTTTCTCCACACCATGAATACACTTTCTAAGCATTTCTGCAGATTACCCTATTTGAGTATTTTGTGAGTCATCTGTTTCTTGCCCATATCATAATAGATATAGACAGCTTTAAAAAAAAAAAAAAACTGTGGTTGTGATTGTGCTTTTGTAATTCACATATAGTATAAAGTTGTATTTACTTCTTTCCACTTTGTGTTTAAGTTTGTATAATGAAATGGTATAATGGAATTGAAGATTGCCATATTTCTTGCTGTCTTGAAAATAAGAAGCATGCCACACTCAAATATAACGCGTGTGTTTTCAAGGAATTTGACCTTGTTGCAAATTGGGAAACCACAGTCCTACAGAATATTTTCCAGAATCCTTAGCCTGACATGAGGCCCCCTGCATCATCTTGACAAGAGCTTAACTTTCTTCTCTTTTCCACTGAGCCC